>NC_000001.11:41675047-41978077 GCF_000001405.40 Homo sapiens
CATCCTCCCATGGGTGTCCCTGTCCCCCCACAGGTACCCCAAATGTCCTTGACTCCAGGCTTTAATCCGTACCCCTGTGTGCCCCATGCCTGTCCTGCTTAAATCCTCTCAATGGCTTCCTTCTGCTATTAAGACAAAGGCCAAATTCTTCCACATGGTGTCCAAGGCCTGCTTCAGTGACCCCACCTGCCCCTCCTGCCACATCTCCCCCTCGATCCACCTGGGGCGTAGGGTCTTCTTTCGGTGCCCCCTGCCTCAGGGCCTTTGTACATGCTGTGTCTGTGCCTGGGACACTCTGCTCGTACATCCCTTCCACATCCAGCGGACTCCTCTTCAACCTTTCCATTTCCCCTTGCATGTCACCTCCTCAGGGAAGCCCTCCCCTGCCCCCAACTAAACCAGGCCCTGTGCACATTCCCCAGCACCAGGCATCTCCTCTCCAGAGCCTCTCAAGTAGCAGCATTTGTAACTTTTATTTATGTGTGCAGTCTTGTCAGATGAGAGTGACATGTATGTTTTGCTCACCATGGAATCTCCAGAAACTGTCAGAGTAGCTGTGACCCACATGGATTGTTTCTCAATGCTGAGCCCTGGGATCAGAGAACTGATCACCCTGTGAGGTTAGTACTGAGGTGCTGTCTCCACTCAGAGCCTGCTGAGCCCTAGGAAGACCAGGAGAGTTTACCACTCATCGTGAATTCCCTGCACCTGGCATAGAATATGATTCAAACTCAGCCCTCAATATGGGTGTAGAGGAAAGTGTGCAGGGGTGGTGGGTGAGCCCATGGGAAGGAGAACCAGGCCACAGGCTCTGCTGATGATTGCGGCTCCAGGGTGTGTCCACACGGCCCAGCTCAGACACATAATGTTATGGAGCTGAGGTGACATAGGATCTTGGGGACCGGGGACAGGACAGCTGGGGAACTGCCAATGGCCGGGCAACATCTAATGCCACATCACCCCGCTTCCCCTCGACCAGCTCTGCCAACCAGGTGTTTCTTTTCTTTTCTTTCTTTTTTTTTTTGACGGAGTCTTGCTCTGTCCCTCAGGTTGGAGTGCAGTGGCACCATCTCGGCTCACTGCAACCTCCGCCTCCCAGGCTCAACTGATTCTCCTGCCTTAACCTCCCCAGTAGCTGGGATTACAGGAATGTGCCACCATGCCCCACTAATTTTTGTATTTTTAGTAGAGACGGGGTTTCACCATGGTGGCCAGGCTGGTCTTGAACTCCTGACCTCGTGATCCATCTGCCTTGGCCTCTGAAAGTGCTGGGATTACAGGCGTGAGCCACCGTGCCCGGCAACTAGGTGTTTCTCAGCACTCCCTGAGGCCTGGGTGAGGCTGGGGATGGCGGGGACAGTTTCCTCCCCATGCAGGAGAAGGTGGAAGAACAGGGGAGTCAGACTCCAGCCCAATGTCTCAGAAATTCACTGTGGGAGCATGGCAGGGTCACACAATGCTTCCGAGCCTCAGTTTCCCTATCTGTAAGATTTAAGGGATAAGCCAATATAGAATGATTTACATATTTTGCCTCACATTATTACTGACTCAGCGCTTTCATCCATCTCAGGGTAATGCACGACCATTCCTTTTCTTTCTCTGTTCAGTATCCTCTCTCCCCTTTCTTCTGGCAAGAATTCCTCAGGAAACTGCCCCCCAACTCCACTCTCAATTCAGGCAGGGCTTCCCTTCACAGGAGGCCACCATCCTGGCCAGGGCAGGGAGGGGCAACCTGTTTGGCCAAACACAATCGCGCAGTGACCCAGGAGTAGTCATGTGGCCCAAGACGGGCCAATCACAGCACCTCCCTAGGATTTTTCACCCTGCAACAGCTGGGAGGAAAGTCCACTTTTCATTCTGGAGTCACCAGCTGGGATGGTGAAGGCTAGGGAGCCAGCAGGGGCCATGGCCCTTCTCCACCCTGCAGAGTCACTGTGTTATGCCGTGTGGAGGATGACGCCCAAAAGCAGCAGATGAGACTGAGATCAACACGAAAAGGAGTAAAGATGAAAAGAATGGGGAAAATAAGAGTCTGGTGATCTGATGACATTATATCAGCTCCTGGATCTAGCCATGCCTGAGCTCCACCACCTACTCATCCCTATAAAATGAGACAATGAGACAAAACTCAGTTTCTCTCTTCCCACCCCAACTCTCACTTTTAAACAATCTCTGAAAAGGCAGGAGGAATGAAAATGAGCATGCACTGAGAGCCATGCACTGCTCTAACACGCTTCACACGTATAATCCGGTCTAATCCTCATGACAAGCCTATGTCGTAAGAGAGAAATACAATAGTGTGACAGAAGACAATGGATGCTAGAAAAGGGTGTTAAAGACCTGAGCTCTAATCTTAGCTCTGCCGTGCACCAGCGGTGTGACATTGAGTCAGTTCCTTAACTTCTCTGGGCTTATCTTTGCTTCACTATAAAATGGGGTAGTGATGCCTACCTCAAAGGCCATCAGGAGAATGATGAGACAAAACAAATGAAAGAGCCTAGAATGTTCTTGGCTAGGAGAACTTTAATACGTGTTAGTTGAGCCTGTGAAGTCCAGAAGCCCTACAGCTAGTCTTGTTTCTAAGAATTAGTGTTGGCCATGGGGAAAAGAAGAGAGGAATGTGTGACAAGCTCCCAGCTAAAGTCCAATATCTGGTTAATATCCAGCATTGGCCTGTAACTATCAAATCTCCGATGACGTGAGGTTGGCTGATGCGTCTGCTTCCCCGCACATCGGGCGGTCAGGTGAGTCCGCAGGAACAACAGTTCTGGTGAGTGGTGATGGGTCACCAAGGAAAGGGGCCTGTTAATAGTTTCCAGATGGGCCTAAGCTGCTTCCAGTCTCCCCTGCACAGTGTTGAAAAGATGGGCTAGGACTCTGAACAAAGCTGAACTTGACCTGGAGGCCCCAGCTAATGGGTTATTGGCTCTATTGGGTTGGGGACAGGGCATGCCTCTCTGTGCTGGGCTGTCTGAGAGGTTGGCCCATTTGTGTCACCTTCTGGAGAGCAATTCTAAAAAAATGCTGCTCTGAATAAATATTTTGGTTCCATTTTGCGACGTGGCTGTTGGGGAGATTTCCATCGAGTGTGGTTTGCAAGGCGATTCTCCTCTGTTGTTTACTCTCGGCGATCCCCACAGCCTGTTCCTGGCAGCATCTGCATCTGCTGCACTCCTGGGCCGCTGGGACCTGGATGCTCCGCTCCAGAGAGAGGCTGAGTTGGCCGGCCCCTCCATTGGGAGCCTGATTGCGACAATGCATTAGGCAGCTGGCCACCAGACCCACAGGGCCTCCCCACTCCTCAGCTTAACCTTGCTCTCCTTAGCCAGCTCTGGCTAAGGCTGGTGCTCTTTTAGAAGTCCCATTCCCACCAACAAGGAGGAGGCTGTAATTAGCCCAGCTGCTCTAGGCCAGGGGCTTGGAATTCCTGTGGGCCTAGAGAAGCAGCCTTGTCCATTTCCTCTTCCCAGGGGTGGCCTCCGGCTCGCGCTCCTCTCCACCCACACACCTCTTCCCCAGAACCACAACCACACAGCAGCAGGCACTATCCAGTCTGAGCAGTACCACTGTCTCCCACCCATCCCCCACACATCAAAGCAACTTGGAGAGAAACCCCAGCCCCCTTGGGCCTGAGCCCACCACACCTCTTGGTTACAGTGACTGTGACGACTGCCCTACCCGCTTGAGGCCAGGTCCCCAGGGCTGCCAAGGCTCAGCATGCCCAGCCCTGCTCAGATGATGACAGCTCTCCAGCCAGGAGGCCACACCTCATCTCAAAGAGGAAGCAGTTAGAGGTGGGAGCCTTAAGCACACTTTCAAGCCAGCTCATCTTAGACTCTGCTCCCTATCACCATGGCCAGATGTCCAGGGAGAAGAAGGATTCATGGGGTCAGGGTCTGGCAATCAAGACAGAGAAATGGCACAAAGTAGGGAGGGTGCTTTCCAGGCATAGAGTTTGGTGTCCCAGTACAGGACCCATGGCCCAGGGAGAAGGTGCTCCACAAGGGATACATCTCAAGGATCCTGGGTGGGAGGACTCATATCACGACTGGGCATTTGGAATGTTCAAGACCCTTGCCATGGAGGCAGAGGCTGGCACACACTGTTCTTTCTCCCTCCCTTTTCTTCTCACCTCCCCAAAGCCACTCCCCTACTCTTTTTGACATGCGTCCAATTCTGGTGGCTCAAGTTTTCATGATGCAGGCCTTCTGGGACCCTATTTTGCAGATGAGGAAGCTGAAACTCCCAGAGGCCAAGGTCCATGCCCAGGGTCACAGAGCAAGCAAGGCAGAGCCTTGATTTGGGCCCATTTGTCAGAATCCAAATCCAGCACTCATTCCATGGCACCATGGCTGCCTCTGAACATAGAAAGGACAGATCCTATCTCCCCAGTTGGGTGCGTGGGACTCATTTGCCTATACCTGCAATGGAAGCTGCTAGTCCCTCCCTAGCCTCACTCAGTGGTCCAGAGACCAGTTGCATGCATTTGGGGAGGGGACTGGTGGCAGGGATGGAGGACTGCTTTGGTATGGAGGGGAGCTGACCAGCCTACAAGGTGCTGCTGCCCAGCTGTGGCTCTGCTGGCACCATGTAGACCAGCAGTGTCCCTCCTTCTCCCAAGCTCTGCTTGGCTCCAGACTCTCAGCTCAGTGCCTGAAGGCTCAGCCCTGCCCATCACTGAATTCAGCCTGCCCAGACCTGGGAGGATGTGGGAAACCCAGTTCCATCTAGGGCTAGAATTAATTTTCTCACCAGAAGCCACATGCCTTGTGGATGCTCTGGGCTTGCCTCTACTCGCTTGCCACAGTCTTCTCCTAGTGCCCTTGGGAGGCAGGGCATCTATCTGGAGGTCTGACTTGAGCTCAATCCTGCTGCCTTAATGAGAACTTCAGGTCCACTTTGCTAAGGGTCTTTGCAGGACACCTGTCTGGCTCCACAGCCACCCACTCCATGACTATACCCTGTGCCTCATCCTTTTAGCAACCAAGTTTTGGATCCTGCCCTGAAGGGGAGATGGGCCAGGATGGTTGAGCCTCCTTCTAAGAGACACTGGCTCTCACACCTCAGGCACACACTGGTCCCTGGGATGACCATGTGGGCCAGACAGCTAAGGATGTGACATAGTCATTTCTCTACAGGTCACGTTGGCAACCAGGCCTGACATTGGGCCACTCCTCTCAGGCCAAGCAGCTGAGACCCCTGGGCTCCATCAGTACTGAGCATGTCCAAGGTATCTAAGAGGATACCTTAGATTCTGGCCTTGTCCTCAAATGCCAATTATCTTCTTCCTGTCCAAACTCTTACTCTGGCAGGGAGTCACTCAGAGTGCTAAAACAGTGGGAAGGATTGGGGGCAGTAAGCTTCAACCAGAAAGATCACTTACAGGTTCTTAGCCTCATCACAGTGTCCAGCTAGGTGGGGATCAGCCTATAGTTCCAAGGCCATAGTCCCACTTGCTTCTTTTTGAACCAGCTGATAGCTGTCTCAGTCCCACTCAGGGCAGGAACATTGTCTTTTATGCTGGTGCTGGAAACACAAACCACACCTCTGCATGGAAACTGCCCTGTGCTCTGCTCTGTGATTCTCATGCTGGCATCCCAAATCTTTTAAAGCAGAATGTGGAGTTCCTAATCAACCGGCATCAAGTTTCAGTGAAGCCAGATGAAGCAGCTCTGGCGATCTGCCGCACAATGTTGTATTAATACCTGTCGTCTACAACAACGTATTGTACACTTGAAATTTTGTTAAGAGGGTAGACCTCAAGTGTTCTTGCTAAAATAAAATAAAACGGTATATGGCATATAAATCAAACAGGACAACCCCCTCTCCGTGGAAGCTTTTATGAAAATAATCACAGCTACCACTTACTGAGTACTTGCTATGTGCCATGATCTGGGCTGACCATTTCACATTTATTTAAGCCTCACAATAATAATCCCTGGAGGGGGTATTAATACTATTCCCAATTTGCAGATGAGAAAACTGAGGCTCAAAGTCCATCCTATTCCAAAGCTCTTATCATTCCCCAGAAGCTAAGAACTGGTGTGTGTGTGTGTGTGTGTGTGTGTGTGTGTATAGACAGAGACTGTCTGCTGGAGTGCAGTGGCACAATCACAGCTCACTGAAACCTCAAACTCCTTGGTTCAAGGGGTTGTCCTGCTTCAGCCTCCTGAGTAGCTGGGACTACAGGTGTGCATCGCCATGCCCAGCTAATTTTTATATCTTCTGTAGAGACAGCATCTTGCTTTGTTACCCAGGCTAGTCTTGAACTCCTGAGCTCAAGTAATCCTCCCGTCTTAGCCTCACAAAGTGCTGGGATTGCATCCGTGCAGCACCGTGCTGAGCCTGATCTGTGTGTTTTATCAATGGGCTTTGGAGATGGTTCTTGAGGGCCAGGGGTGACTCACAGTTGAACTAAAATGAGATGTGCCCTCTCCCCGGCAGAACATACTAAAGTGCTCAGCTGGTGCTCACGTGGCTGCAGGCCTCCTGCCTGTGTGATCCCAGGGTTAGTTTGTGAGCCACAGAGGACAAGGCACCCTTGCACCACATTCTTTCACAGGCACAGCTCTCGGGGCACACATCCTCTGGGCCAGAATGGTGCAGCGCTGGCCTGGCCCCTCTCTCCTTGCTTCCCCAGAGACCATCCTAATGGGATGGGCAAGTGATCCAGTGGGCTGGTGGCACCTGAGGGAGGAGGGGCTGGGAGGGAAACCTTGTGTTCAGCTACATAAGTTCCACTGCCACAACCTTGTGACTATGTCCCCTCCTCCTGATATGGACTGGCTGCCCCAACTTGGATGTTCTTTCTGACTATGTGCAAATTCCGATTCATTTACAAATCTGCTCCCAGCTCCCCTCTGGGAATGGTGAAGCCCTGCTCAGGCACATCCCTCCTTCCTCTAACGCTATCCCTGATGACATTTCCCTGGCTATTACATAATCAAGGGAGCTCAGCCAGGACTTTAATTGGAAAAGCTCTTCCCCAAGGGTCTCCGCGGATATCACTTGTGCCAGCCCAAGCCCTCTTACCTCTCAACTCCTCTCTGTGGTCTCTTTCTCTCTCTCTCTCTCATACGCACACAGGGACACGCAGCTGAGGCCACATCTTCTGTGCCTGTCCTTGGCCACACTCAGTGGCTTGCATGCTTGGTGCTCACTGTGAACTATGCTGCCCTGGGTCTTTCAGGCCCATCCCCACCAGGAAGTCTTCTCTGAGCACCTCCACAGGTGGCTCAGGGCTGGCCTCCTCCTGGCTTCCGTGGCACTCTGTGCTTATGGCATTGCTGTGGATGTGTCTGTCTCCCTACCTAGGTCGTGAGCTCTCAAGGGTAGGCACCAAGCCTGATTCTTCCCTGTGCTCCCAGCCCCTGAATTGGCCCAGCCCCAAGCAGGCTCTGGGAGGGTTGATGGAACGGGTCAGTGAAGCAGAGGGAGGACCCCGCCGAATACCCTGTGGTTGGTGTCTTGGGGAGCTCTGCATTAGCTGCCTTACAGACTTTCCAGAAACACCAAGAAATACCAGCTCTAGACAAACCAAAGAAATGAATCCAGTTTTCAGAGTGGAAACTGACGCCCAGCCGGGGACAGGTGGTGCCTAGGGATGCAGGACCTCTTGGTGGTAGAGAAGTCTTAAGGGGGCTCAGTGCAAACTCCCTTAGGCCTCTCCACCCTCCTGCTGCCTCTGAGACCTCAGTAAGAGCCTGCGGAAGCTCACTCAGGGCTGTGCTCTGGGGGACTCATTTCTATTCCTTCCAATAGACACCTTCCAGGCCCTGGGCTTGGCCTGGGACTTAGTCCTGGTGCTCACGGAGCCGTACAGACATGGACCAAAAGAGCTGCAAAGCGGGGTGAAAATCTAATAACAGAAATGTGCACAAAAGTGCCACCACGGAAGATGGGGGAGGTCAGGGGAGACACCATGGAAGGAATGACATCTAAACTGGGTCTTAAATGAGAGTTTACAAGAGGACTAAGTGGAGATGGGAGATGAGAGGAAGTGGGTGGTTCAGTGAAAGAGAAATGTGCAAAGACAGAGAAACATGAAACAACACAGCAAAATGGGGATCTGCCCAAGCCAAGTGGTGGGGCTGAAGCCCCCAAAACAGAAGGGAACCTGCACTTTAAGGCTGAAGCAGTGGGCAAGGCCACATCAAGAAGGACTTGAAAGCTACACTAAGCCAACTGGACCCCAGCTGGTAGGAAAAGAGCCTTATATTTGCAGTCCGTGTGCCTCATGCAGAGCTCCCTTCCACCAACCCCAAAGTGGGAAAAGGCACTGGCATATGACATAATCCTATTCTATCCCTTACCCAGGCAACCCCCTAGGCCCTGTAACAAACACTTCACCACTGATGGGAACTCCTCTTAGCCACAGACATCCTTGCATCTCAGAGCTGGAGCTGTGAAGTGCTAACAATTAATCATTGCAGAGATGAGTTCACGGTGACTTCAGAATATGGAGTCCTTAGGGATAAGTTTTATAAACAGGTTTGGAACTTCAGCAAAAACAGCTTCTCTTGAGTCTGAGTAAAGGAAAGGGTTATTGCCTGGCTCAGGGCTGGTATGGCCATGGCTGGAGGCTGGGAGGAAGCCCACAATGGCTGTGTGTTTTCCCGTGAGATTTTACCTACACTGAAAATCCTGGAGCATCTTCTTGGACTCTCACTAGGGCCCAGGACTCAGTAAAAATTCAAGAGCATGAGTCAAAGCAGCCTGGCAGAGGATAGAGCTAAGTTAGAAGAGGCTCAGGACCTGGAGGCAGCCCTCTGTGGTGCTGCCCCTCACTGCCATCTCTATACCAGCACTTCGAGGTTCTTCCCATCACCACCCTCCTGGTCCTATCACTGCTGGTGACCCTCATAACCCATGGAGGAACTCAGCAAGTTGTGTGGGGTGCAGGGTGTTGCTACAGAGCTCAGATGACTATCAGTTCCTAATTGGTTAGCAGCTGTGTGGTCCTTTGTCCTGTCTTCCAAAAGCACTGCCTTTAAAAAAGACCTTTGCCTGACCTTGAGATCAAGTCTGCTCTTTTGACAAATGTGGAAACTGAGCCCCAGCAAGGGGAAGTGGTTAACCCAGGGTCATGAGGGGAGGTGGGGACAGGGGTGCGGGAGGACCCAGGTCTCCTCACTGTCTGCCTCACCACTCTGACTTCCTGGAGGTGACTCAGCGAGACAAGCAGCAGAGGAAGGAAGTGGGAAAGGGAAGCCCAGCCTGCTGGATTCCAGGTCACCACTTTGTTAGTCCAAAGCCACCAACCACCTTGGCCATGCAGCTCTGCCTGGTGCCAGTGACCTTCCAGCCCTTCCTTCCCAAGGCTGCAGCTGCTGACCATTTCCTCCAAGGCCAAGCTCACATGGCCTCTCCAGGGTCTCCAGCGACTCCCTGCTGTACAGTCCCATGGTGCTGCCCTCCTGCTGGGGTCAGGAGTCACCTCCATAGACCTGGCATCTGGCTGAACCTGTGCAGGCCGAAGGTTCATCAGTGAGATGAGAGGAGGTGTAATTACTGCCTCATGTTTAATAGCTGGGCTCTGGGGCCTGTTTTCAGTTTTCATCACTTGCTGGCCATGGGTGCTTTGATCAACCTCCCTGAACTCAGTTTCTTTAATCTGTAAAATGAGATTACATGCAACAGTATCTACTTTGTAGGTTGCTTGCAGGATTAGATGAGATAATGGCCAGCCGCAGACCATGAACTTAAGACACATTGGCTCTTGACATCATTGACTATGCTAGGTGTGTTTACATGCATCCTCTCATTTAATCTTCACAACAACCTGCCAGGTGGATACCATTATTCTCTTTCACTGGTGAGGTGAGGGCACACAGCTCATGGCCAGACGTGAACCTGGTTCTGTCTGATTCCAGAGCCTAAATATTCTCCTACCAGCTACAGAACCTTCTCTTACTGTTATATGGTCAAGTGCCTGTTTTTGCCCTATCACCACGTGCTTGTGTGGACAGGGCCTCTTCTCCTTCTCCCTGGATTCCAGTCCTGGCTCTGACACTTCTCAGGAATGAGACTTGTCTCTGAGCCCCCACTGTCCCATCCATACACTGAAAAATTGGCACTCCCCCAGCCTTCTTCTTGGAGGAACACACAAGAGGACGGATGTGATGGTGTTTTGCAAACTGTACCTTGCTGTTTGAATGCAAGGTGCTACTCCCCCAAACAGAAATGCTTTTGGGACTGTTGCGAGTGCAGCCTGAGGGCAGAGATCCAGGAGGACCAGGGCCTGTAGGAGTACCTGCCTTGGCCACCACAGGAATTGCTGCAGGTCCCTTCAGTTTGTGGCTTTCTATATGTTGAGAGCAGGTCCTTGAGAGCAAGGCGGGGAGGCTGCAGATACAGTACAAGTCTTTGTTTCCTTGCCTGTTTCCTCCACTGCACTGTAAGTTCCTCAAGGGAACTGGACTGGCTCACAGCACATCCCTTGGATGGATGGCATTCACCCCCCTCTCCAGCCACATGGGCTCCTGGGAGCTCACCAAGTGGGCCATGCTGCTTTGCCCCCATGCCCAGCTCAACTCCCCACGGGAAGAGATCATCTTTCTCTCATGAACCCAGGTCCCCACCTCAACTGTAGCACTTACTATATCACAAACCCGATTTCTACCTTGAATCCTTTTTGGAACAGAGTCAGGGTTTGAATAAATAAATATACTTGAACTTATTTGTTTTCTGTCTGTTTCTTTTGCTGGATTGTAAGTTCCCTAAGGCACCTTCTGTGTGATACTCATCTTTGTAACTCTCAATAACCAGCACCAGGAACCTTTGGGGTATGTGTAGCATGGTTCTCTCTCCAACCCGCCTCTCTGTCTTGCAAACTCCCCCTCTCTCAGGGGCTGGTGTGTGTTGGAACTGTGTGTAACAGTGGAAACAACAGGCACCAGTGGATCTGACCAGCAAATGGACTGGCTTATCATTTGGGGGTTGCCTCATGTCTTGATGAATTCTGGGTTTACTTTTGGGTTCTAGACTGTGGTTTTTTTGTTTGTTTGTTTGTTTGTTTTGTTTTGTTTTGTTTTGTTTTTTTTGAGATGGAGTCTCACTCTGTCACCCAGGCTGGAGTGCAGTGGTGCAATCTCAGCCCACTACAACCTCTACCTCCTGGGTTCAGGAGATTCTCATGCCTCAGTCTCCCGAGTAGCTGGGACTACAGGCACACACCACCACGCCAGGCTAATTCTTTTGTATTTTTAGTAGAGATGGGGTTTCACCATGTTGGCCAGGCTGGTCTCGAATTCCTGGGCTCAAGTGATCCTCCCACCTTGGCCTCCCAAAGTGCTGGGATTACAGGCATGAGCCACCACACCCGGCCATAGACTGTATTTTCAAAGTCACCACTTAAGTAATCTCCTCCAGAACAATGGGCCCATCGATGTTCAAGATACACAATGGGGAGAAAGCAAGGAGTAGGAATCCATCAAAAGCCCCGTACAGTTGTCTTCTTTTCTCCTTGACTTTGCCGTTGATGAGTTTACATGCCTGACCACTTCCAGGACATATCAAGCCTGGACATAGCTGGATTGTGAGAGTGTGCTGTGTACTTCTAAGTACTGACTGGAACCATGCAAAAGCCCAGCCTCTTTTATGGGTCAAGGAGTCCTGGTGAAGACAGTATCAAGCCTTCTGGGGGTGGGGATGGAGTATAAACAGACAGCAGTTCTGAGACCCCAGAACCCAGGAAGCAGTTCTAGCTGCTATGAGTCCCTGGTTCTCATCTGTGAAAAGGGAGAATAATAAAATCCACCCTGCAGAGTTATCAGAGGAGCAGCATGAGATTACAATATATAAACACAGGAGCATGGTAAGAATGGATTCATTCACTCCACAAATAATCATTTAGCATCTACTATGGACCAGGCCCTGGTCCAGGCACTGGGCACAATATACAGCCAGTGGCATGTGGGCTGGTCCTGAGTGCTATCAAGAAAGGTGAAGCAGAAAAAGGGAACACGGAATGGGGGTGGTGGCAGTAGGAGGTGCTGCCATGTTAAGTAGGGGACCAGAGAAGGCTTCACTGAGAAAGGGACATTTAAGTAAAGACCCAAAGGAAGTGAGGGATGGGCCATGTGCATATGCTTCCTAACAGAGGAAACAGTAAGTGCAAAGGCCCTGAGGCCAGAGTTTGTAGAACAGTACACAGTCCAGAGGATATGGGGGCAAGAAAATCACTGGGGCTGTGAAGGCATTTATGCAACTTCTGAATTTCACTCAGAGACAGGAAGCTATGGGGGGTTTTCCAGCCAAGATGACATAACCTGACTTTTAGAGCTAATCACTAAACTTTAGCTGCCCCTTCTCTTCAAAGCCTCATTTAATATCCAGACCTCTGCAACTCCAGCCTATGTGCCTCTCCTTTCTCAGATTTCTTCCAGCTTTCCACATCTCTCCAAACCAAGAGGGCTTCATCATGCTCTGCCACATGCAGGCTGGAGAGGGACCTCGCAGAGAGGCTGTAGTTGGGAAGGGAGAGAAACAGAGCAGTCTTAGGTAATGGATCTTGCTCTCCTCTCTCTGTGCTCTGAAGGCCTCTGGGCCTGGCCCAGCTGCAGCAAACGCACACACTTAGGTGCACGGCGATGCTGGGAGCAATGACAGAGTCCCCGGTGCCCCTTCATCATCTGAGAAAGCTCAGTGCAGAACTGGGAATTTCACTCCATGCTCCCTCACCCTGCTTATCTACCAAAAGGTGAAATCATTTGTTTTAAAATAAAACAATTCCCATATCTGTCAGTGGTTTTTAACCTTTTTTGGGTCACTGGCTCCTTTGAGAATCTGCTGAAAGCTATGAGCTATCAGAAAATGAACATGAGATATGTACTCATTTTCTTATCATTTTAGGGGTTTCACAGATCCTTGAAAATTCAGTGAAGAAACCATTATCTAAGCCAACAATTTCCCAGCCACAGCTCCAGATGAATGAATGAATGAATGAACAAATAAATAAAGAGGCTGAGTGCAGATGGAGGAACGATGGGGGATGAACAGAGCAGAAAGATGCATGTGCCTGTGGGCACCACGGTTCTTGTTGATAGTTCCTGACACCTTCAAAGAAGCCAACTGGGAAGTGATATGGGGTCAGGGTGTGCTTGACAGGTGACCTCCAGATAGCCAAGCCGATCTTCTTCAGTTCCTCTCGTCTGACCCCTTCTGTTGTTCTCCTCTGACCCCTTCTGTTGCTCTCCTCTGGCCCCTCTGGGTGACTATCGTCCTAAAAGGTATCAAAGCACACTTCCCTGTCTTTCTCAGGGTGTCCTGAACAAAACAGGACTCTTTTCCTGGATGGCTATGGGGCAAGAGAATGAACGTAAATTCAGATGTATAAAATGTAAGCAATCACTTTTTCTGGTCATATGGCTGACCTGGCTGAGGCCCAGAGCCCCCACATCGGTCCCTCCCCAGCCCTCTTTCTGGGATCCAGGTTTCTGGCCTCCCAGTTCATTTTAATTTTTGATACATCTCCAGGGAAGGTGGAATGAACACTTAACTCATTCTTAAAGTCACAACTCCCACTGTGAAACTTTTAACACAATCTCATTTTTTTCTAATCATTGTTCTACACTGTAACATAGGGAGACCTTAGGTGGACTAGGGTGGGTAGGAATCCGTCCAAACACACAATGGTCCCAGGGAACTCTTCTGACAGAGAAGCACCTCCAAGGCCCCGGTGATGTGGCTCCGCCACCTCTCCTCTGATCATTCTGCCTCCTCCTCGGCACCATGCTCCAGACATCCTGAGCTGGGAGTTCCCCAAACGGATCTGTTTTTTTTTTTTGCCTCTGTTGCTTCATGTGTGCTGTGCTGGCCACCTGGAACACAGGCCACCACCTGCTTGTCTCACAAGAAAGCTCTTACCTCTCTGCTCAAGCTCACCTCCCAGCCTCCTCAGAGAGCCCATTTCCTTCCCCTGGGAATCCCGCGTCCTCACCTTAACCTCAGCACTTAGGACACTGTATTTCCAACTTCTAAAAAAAATCTTTTTGGGAGAATAAAGTTACAGTTTAGAGAAAGACACTTACAAGTGTTTACTTACCGATTCATTTCATGAACTGAGTCTTATTTATCTTTGTTTCCCCAGCAAACAGCACAAGGTACGTATTGATGTTTCCGTAGGTATTTGCAAATAAATGTTTTCCTGGTAGAGTGGTTCTCTCTCTACCCTTCCAGCTAGATTGTCTGTTGTGACCTCAACCCCCTGCTGGTAGGGTCCCACCTTTCACTGGCCTCCCTCGGCCTCCACAGGGCACCTGTTAGAACTGTGTGCAAACCACGAGGGAATAGGCGCTGAGGGGCTCTCTCGGGAGTGAACTCGCCAACTTAGTGTTTGGAGGTTGTGCCTCAAGTTACGGCTGCCCTGGTGAGTCTGTGCTTTCTGGGATCCGGGTGGGTAGGGTCACTGGTGGGGAAACCTCCTCCAGCAAGTTGTCATAGTAACCAGGACTTTCCATTTCACGGGAGAGAGTCCCTGGGAGGAAAAACACACCAAGGGCTTGGGAGGAGTGGTAGGAAGCCATGAAAAGCCTTCTGACACTGTCCTCCTGTACCCTTTGCTTTGCTTCCTACTGGTTTACATGCTCAAGGTAGAGGCCATTATGTGTGGGCATCTGAGTAGAAGCTGCTGAAAATAGCCGCCCGACTATTTCAGGGAGCAGCTGAATATGCATGAAGCTATTTTAGAAAAGATGTCCCTGGCCCAGCTAATCCAAACCCCATCCTTTCCCTTAGAAGTGCCAAGACAAGTTGAATGGGACCTTTCTTAGTCTTTCCCACTAGGGTGGGGGTGCTTCAGAAGCCACAGAAACAACACCCTGGCTAATGTTGGCCTTGCAGCCTGTCGGCTCCGCCTCCCAGTCCCGTGGTCACAGAGGCTTCTAGCCAGACAGCTCAGCCTTCCACGGTCCTCCGGGGCCTTGGCAGCCTTCAACAACTACTTTGCCACAATCCCGTGTGCCTAGGTCCTTGGGAGTCTCAGATCTTAGATATTTCCACATTTGTTCATTTATTCATTCAATACACTTGTATTGCTGGATAACATGTGTGAGGATTGTTTTGGGTGCTGGGAAAAAATGGTTTCTGACACCAGCTTATGGCAGGGGAGTGTGGACAGGTGAGTAGAAAGACAATAACCATAAAGTTCCAAAACAGAGAGGAATCAGGTGTTGGGAGGTTGGGGAAGGAGCCCATGCTTCTTCCTGATGGCTGGAGAAAGAAGATGGCATTTGAGCTGAGCCTTGTCTGAGAAACATGGCTGGCTCAAGGGGCAGGGGATGGCTGGGTGTGGCAGGGGCACCCTGGTGGAAGGGTGTGCCTGACAGGAAGTGAGAAAGAAGGGCAGGAGATTGTGGGGACACTGAATGCTGGGCTAGCAATGCCTTCTCTGAGTCCTCAGGCTGGGATGGGGAGCACCCCGCTTCCACGAGCCTGAAGTGCCTGGTGCACCCTTGCCACTGCCTTCAACCTAGACCGGAAGTGCCTTGGGCCAGGAGCCTGGTCAGATCCTCCTGAGCATCTCCAGAGCCCTGTGCCAGGCTTGGGACTGAGTACACTTACATATTGTTGGCTGAAAGCATGGATTCTGGCCCGGCACGGTGGCTTACACCTGTAATCCCAGCACTTTGGGAGGCCGAGGCAGATGGATCACCTGAGGTCGGGAGTTCGAGACCAGCCTGGCCAACATGGTGAAACGCTGTCTCTACTAAAAATACAAAAATTAGCCAGGCATGGTGGTGGGCACCTGTAATCCCAGCTACTCGGGAGGCTGAGGCAGGAGAATCGCTTGAACCCAGGAGGAGGAGGTTGCAATGAGCCGAGATCGCTCCATTGCACTCCAGCCTGGGTGACAAGAGTGAAACTCCATCTCAAAAACAAAAACAAACAAAAAAAAGAAAGCATGGATTTTGGAGCCAGACTTCCTGGGTTCAAATCTGGGCTCTGCCCCTTACTCACTGTGACCTTGGGCAAGTTATCTGACCTCTCTTTGCCTCGGCTATAAAATGGGGATAATACTAGAGTCTATCTCATGGAGCTTCTTGGTGAAAAGACTCCATTACATGAATTAATATATGTCAAGGGCTTAGAAGTCTGTGTGGCACATAGCAAGCAATACATAAAAGTGTTAACTATATTATTCTAAAGAATATGGATTTTTATCTTGAAATGGAGTGCCATCAATAACAAGTTTTCCTTCTAAATTGAAAATAGCTTTATTGCTTTGACTGATCATATCATATGTACCTACTGTAAAAAGTTAAAGCATTATCAGTATAAAGAAGAAGAGAAAAAAATCCTCCCCTTAAATCCTGACTCAGATAACTACTGACATGACCATCTGCTATGGCCTGAATGTATGTATCCCTCCAAAATTCATATGTTGAAATCCTGACCATCAAGGTGATAGTATTAGGAGGTGGGGCCTTTGGGAGGTGATTAGGTTCTGGGGACAGAATCTTCATGAACGGGATTAGTGCCCTTATAAAAGAGGCCAAAGAAAGACTTCTCATCCTCTCTACCATTTGAGAACACAGCAAAAAGGTAACACCTATGAATCAGACAGTAGAGCCTCATCAGATCACGAATCTGCCTTGATCTTGAATTTCCCAGCCTTGAGAACTGTAAGAAATAGATTTCTGTTTTTCTAAGCCACTCAGTTTATGGTATTTTGTTATAGCAGCCTGAATGAATGAAGACACTATCTTTTTAGATACAGTTGATCCTCTTTATTCATAGATTCTGTATTTGCAAATTTATGTACTTGATCAAATTTATTTGTAACCTCCAAATCAATACTTACATTCATAGTCACTTGTGGGTGTGCAGAGTGGTGAATTTTTTTTTTTTTTTTGAGATGGAGTCTCATTGTATCTGTAACCTCCGCCTCCCGGGTTCAAGTGATTCTCCTGCCTCAGCCTTTCGAGTAGCTGGGATTACAGGCCTGCGCCACCATGCCCAGATAATTTTTGTATTTTAGTAGAGACACGGTTTCACCATGTTGGCCAGGCTGGTCTTGAACTCCTGACCTCAAGTGATCCACCTGTCTCAGCCTCCCAAAGTGCTGGGATTACAGGCGCGAGCCACTGCGCCCAGTGTGGTGAAAATTTTGAGTTGCCTAATGTGCGTGTTCCCAGATGAGGCTGAATGAGGCGACCTTCTGCCTTCTAGTTTCAGATCCCATATGGTAAACAAGTGTCCACGAAAAGGACACTATGGACAGTTTTCGCAGTTTTGCACTTTTTGTTTGGTGATTTTACTTTTTCAAATGGCCTCCAAGTACAGTGCTGAAGTGCTTTCTGGTGTTCCCAAGCACAGGGGAGCTACTGTGTGCCTTACAGAGGAAATGCCATGTTAGGTAAGCTTTGTTCAGAGAGGAGTTATAGCGCCACTGGCCCTGAGTTCAATATTAATGAATCAACAATCTATGTTAAATAAGGTATCTTAAAACAGAAATACACATAACACAAGGTTATACACTGATCAGCTGAGAAAAACATTGTAACCAGAGGCTCACAGGAATCTTATGCTGTAGTTCTCCTAGGAGCAACAGTTCAGTATTTGCTAATTCTGTGTTTGTGAGGACTTTATAGAACATAACTACTATGAATAACAAGAATCAGTGACATCTTTCTATATATATGGATGTACGCTTCTGTGCAATTTGGAATGGACGTTCCATACCCTTTTGATACTTTAAAAAATCATGTTAATATGTCAAAGGCATCTTTCCATTTTCATAAATACAGGTCCTCAGATGGCTGCATCACTGTGCACGTCTCTGTAATGAATAACCAGTAGCTCCCTATTGATGGACAATTTGGTTGCTTCCCATTATTTGCTATTACAAACAATACTATGATGAACATCCTTATTGGTAATAATAAAAGAGCTAGCATTTATTCAGCACTTAGTAGGGGCCCAACCCTCTGCTAAGAGTTTTATAAGTGTTATCTCATTTAAGCTTTGCCACAAGCCTATGAAAGTGGTATTATTATGCCCACTTTGCAGATGAGGACTTTGATGCTTAGAGATGTTAAGGAACTTTTCCAGGGCCAGGTGGCTTGAAACAAGGTCTCTCTGATCTCAGACTCCACACTCTTAACTAATGCTCTGCTGCTTTCCTACACACATAAACCTTGGGCACTTTAGGATACTTGTTTAGAAGTGAACTACTGAGTTGAAAGGTGGGGACATTTGAAAGTATCAATATATAATCTCCCCTCCAGAAAATGTGTATCAATTCGTGACCCACTAAACAGTGCTCCAGTGTTCCTGTTTCTCATTCTGCATTTCCCCAAGTATTTTCATTCTTTGAAATGGCCCCCAAAGGACACTTTGATTGTTTAATGTGTCTCCTTTGCCCCTGGGTGATGACTCTTCACATGCTTTGTATCCTCTGTATTTTGTCATTTATGAATTGCTTGTTCATAGCCTCTGCCCATTTTTCCGCTGGCAATTTGTCTTTATCTAATACTTCACTTACAAGAGCTCTTTGGGTATTAGTGCTGCTAACCTTTTACCCATCATGCCTATGTTGAAATACTTTTCTTAGTTTGTTATCATCCTTTAACCTGATTGTTGTGGGGTGGGGTGTTTGCCCATAGGGTTTTTAATTGTTTTCCTTCACAGTTTCTGGATTTGATATTACACGTAAGGAGGCATTCGTCATTCCGGTATGACACAAATATTCCCTCGTTGTCTTTCTTTTAGTATCATTATGGTTTCATGTTTTTTAATCTCCTTGGAATTTATTTTGGTGTAGGAACTGAGGTAGGGAGCCAGTTGTATTCCCTCTCCTCCATACAAATAGCTCGTTGGTTGTCTTTAGAACACATCAGGAATCACCTGCATTTTCATCTCTAATTATCAATGCCATGCATTCACATACCAATCCTCACGTACACTGATATCTACTTCTGGGCTCTCTGTTCCTTGAGCCACAGGTCTATTTCTGTACCAACACTGATTTTTTTTCTAGGCCATTCATCCATGTTTATTTTTCCAGATGTACTTTGTAAACATTTTATGAAAAATTTTTTTTGGGATTTCGAGATTCAATTTTATTTATAGAACAATTTATAATACCTTCTTCAGTTGACTCTTCATAATTTTATGCTTTTATTTCTTTGGAGAATGAAGTCTTTTTCCCTCTATGCTTTCTAACTGCCTTATTTTGGTACCACCTTCTTGATGAAAGCTTTTCTACTCAGCCCTGCAAGAGTCTTTTCTAATCTCTCCCCACTCAGCACTCGGCCTTTTGCATGCCCCACCCGACCTTTTTACCCAAAATTATAATTACTGCTTAGACAGTGAGCTCCTTGAAGGCAGGTTCCTTGCATGGCCTATTTATACATTTCCTACCACACCTGGCAGGTTGTCGGGGCTCTGGAGATATTTGCCGGGTGAATGAATGAATGAACAAGTGAATGAAAGACATCCTCCTGGAAAGCTAATTGTGAAATGAAACAAATCGATTACAAAAACCCTCTTTCATAGGCTTTCATTAGAAAACAAAATATTTGTCCTTGGCTAAATCTCCAAGAACGTGTCAGAATGAGAGAAGTGGCTCACTACTAGACTGCGTGTCATGTGCAACATGCCCCAACACCTGTCCTCAGAGACTGCCATCCTCACCAAGCAACAGGGCACTTCTCAGGCAGGCTCTCAGGCCCTAAAAGGCCTCCAGGAGAAGGAACACAATTATTCACCATGTGCCTGTCGCTGAGCTAGACTTTTACCAATAAGATACAACACCCTGAAAGTTGGGATCACTAGTCTCATTTTGCAAATGAGGAAACTGAGTCTCAGAGAGATGTAACCCTACCTAGTAAGTGGTAGGGCCTGCTGAAGTCAGGGCTGTGGGACTCTAAAAACCTCGCCTCTCCTATAATAACCTCCAGACCACCAGAGTCTGGGAGGTTGAGGGGCTGTGGCCCAGAGGGGAATGCTATACAGAGTCAAAGAGCAAGGGTCCTGCTGTCACTAAACCAAGACAGTCCCTAGAAAACTTGTTTCCCCCAAAGCTGTATGATGCCGCTTCTATAAATCATTCCTAAAGAGCTTGGGTCAAAGAGCTACTGTCAGGCAGGGGGCACATCACACAGGCATTATTGTTGCTATGGGACTGGGGAGTGGAGGTATGGGGGAGGTGGTGGACTCGCCATGGAGGCGGGGTGTTGGTCTCCAGTACCTATCTGGAGATGGCCCTCCAGAGTCCTCCTCCTTGCTTGCCCAGGGGGTTGTGGCTTTTAGACAGCCCTGCAGTTCCATCCTGGGAGTGCTGCCAAGCAGCCACTTCCTTATCAGGCTGGCAGTAGCTGGGCAGGCCTCAGCTTATTTCTAAGTCTGGATTAGAGCTCAGGTTTCTCATGGAGGACCATGGGTTGGGGGCCAATACATTTACTGGACTTGACTTTGTGCCTGGCCCAGTGTAGGCCCCAGGGACATGGGGATGAGCAGCCTACAAGCCTCCTGCTTCATGCAGCTCCATTCCAATCAGGAGGTGAATCACAAGGAAAACCCCCAACCCTGCCCAAGAGCCACAGTAGAGATCTCTAATGCTGAGGGTGCCCAGATTTGGGGGGTCAGCCGGCTGCAGACTGTGGAGGTTGGATGTCAGGTGAGGGCATATGGGCTTCATCCTGTGGGCAGAGAGAAATGCCCTACATTCTGAAGCAAGAGCCTGCCATGGTTAGATTTGTGCTTTAGAAACAGACCAACTAGGTATATTCGTTTTCAATAAACGTGAATTCTTTCTCAGGTGAAAATTAAAGTGTTTCCATTTTGGACAAATAATCCCAACGTAAGGAATCACAGCAGATGGCTATGGGCCTGGATGAGCCACTTACCTATGGGGCTGATGAATGGGAAGAGCCCTGGGCTTGGAGTGAGAGACCCACATCCACGGTCAAGTCCCTGCCACCATCTTGCTGTGTGACCTCCAGCAAATGACTTCCCCATCTCAACCTCGGTTTCCTCATCTATCAGACAGGAATACTGCCACCTAATACACAGGGCCGTCTTCAGGACAAAATGGGGTATCAAATGGCACTGTATATTTGTACCTACTTGACAAATGTGAGGCATGAGGGTGAGACTCCTGAAGACCAGTCCACACCCCTGAGGGCATTTCAGATGCCCCACAGCCTGCAATGTCTTGGGAAGTCTCTCTCAGCTGTTCCAGCTCCAGTCAAAGACTATCCTGTCAAAACATGACCCCATCCAGAGAAGCAATCTCCCGTGTGTTTGGTGGGCCACCTGCCCACGGGGCGCAGCCTGCTGGGCCACGAACATCAACAGCAGCCCCTTCCTGGTGGGAGAAGGAACAGGGAGCTGGCTTGTTCTCTAAGAGCACAGTGCTGGCGGGTGACGAGGCACATTTTAAGGTGGGATGCTTCTTCCTGCACCGTTGGCAGCTGTCTACATAAGGTGCCCATTATGTGCAGGCCCCAAGGCCAGCGGGCCTGAGAGGCCAAGCTAAAATTACTGTCAGATGTGCACCCGCCAGACACACTGAACATCTGAAGGTCAGATGCCTCCAAGCAGCCACCCGGGCAGGAGCGTGGCAGATGGGCACCAAACAGCTGTGGCAGCTGCTGCCTCTTGTTCCTCCCAAGCACAGAGACAGACGGCCCTGTGCAGCAGCCTGGTTCAATAGCCCAGCTTGAGTTAAAAAATAGAATGTAGAGTATAATCCTAATTTAAAAAAAAAAATCTGCGTAACTGCATAGAAAAAAAGGTGGAAGAGGAATTCACTAAATAGCCCAGTCACGGATGTGGAATAGTAGGTGAATTTTTTTTCCTCTACTTTCCAAAATTTTCTCAATACATATGTATTACTTTTGTAATCAGAAGAATACACAATAAGATGCTATGTTATATATTCCTATGAAATATATAAAATGATTAAATGGCATATGCTTTGACATGTGGTATATTTGTGTGTGTGAATACATTTATACGGCTGGCTGGTATTAAAGATCAACATTCTCCAACCCCGCGTTGCACAGAAGAGACGGAGGCCCCAGGAACAAAGCAGGAAGCAGAGAGGCAGATTTTCACTGAGGCTGCTGTTGCACTGGAGTTTCCCCAAGCCTTGCCCCACTTAATTCTGTAG
The DNA here is from genome assembly GCF_000001405.40 of Homo sapiens. Taxonomy (NCBI): domain Eukaryota; kingdom Metazoa; phylum Chordata; class Mammalia; order Primates; family Hominidae; genus Homo; species Homo sapiens. The sequence goes on from NC_000001.11 coordinate 41,697,165, forward strand.
CTGGTTTTATTCCCACTTGATGGAGATGGAAACCGAGGTACAGAGAAGTGAACTGATTCACTCAAAGATGACCAGCTCGGAAGCCATAGAGCCAAATCCCAACCCTAGCTTTCCACCCACAGCGCACTGAGCTTCAAGAAAGGAAAGGCCTTTGAAAAAAGAACAGAACAAAACAACAACAAAAACACCCTGCTCCTTGAAGTCTCAAACATTCAGAAAGCAACTCCTTAAGGGAGTGAGTTTTGAATTATTTCCTGAGCCCCTCCACGTGCACGCCTTTCTTAGCTCTGCGGGGCTCATGGTCATCTTCCCAGAGCTACCCATGGGAACCTTTGAGAGGATGGGTAACAAATCATGATGTGGGGGCACAAAAGGCACAGCAAATCCCAAGGTGGGACTGGCTGGCAGGTGTCAGGCCTTTGGGACAGGGTGAGGGAGAGCGAGTTGGCTGGAGAGGCTGCTGTCTAAACTCTCAGTCTTCCAGTGCTTTGGGAGGGGCAGCACCCCTCTGCAACGCCAGATGCCCTGATCTGAGGCCTTTGCTCCAGCTCTTCCCTCTGCATGAGTGCCATCTCTATCCCCACATGCTGCCCTCAGTCTTCCAGGGCCCAGTTCATCCAGGCATTTGTGCATTCTTATTGGTGAACACATTTTAATTGAGGGCCTGCTAGGTGCTAGAGCAAAAGACATAGTATCAACCCTGTAGGTGCCTCTAGTGCTCAGAGAAAGGCTACCCAGGGTCATTCAAGCATAGACTCTGGGGCCAGACTGTCTAGGCTCACCCTGGCTAAGCCACTTCACAGCCCTGTGTGTTTGGGCCAGTCACAGTCTCTCTGTGCGTCAGTTGTCATCTGTAAAAGAGGATGAAAAGAGCACCTGCCTCACAGACTAGTGCAGGTGGAGTGTACATCTGTGTAAAGCTCTTAGAGAACAGTGCCTGGCATGTAGTAAGTGCTCAATAAACCTCAGTTGCTATAAACATTCTCATCATTACCCTCTGGTGCAGATTCCCTCCTTATGATGCCCACCCTACTTTTGTCCTCTGGCTGGTACCTCCTCTATGGTCCCATAGCACTTTGAACACCCCTCCATGAGAGCACTGATGGGCATGCAGTACAGGTGTCTGAGGACCTGTTCCCTCCTTGTCTCTACCTGGGTAGAGACTAAGTTTATTCATCTCCATCCCAGCACCCAGCACAGATGTTATAACATCACCAGGTTTATGTCAGCATTTGCAGGTAATGTGTGCCTTCAATTCCAGTCGAGAAAAGTCTTAGAGGCATTAGAGGTTGTCTATCTGGCCTTATCATGTAGCTCATCCATGTTGCCCTTGAACTGTGGGGTCTGACCCTGGGTGTGATCTTTCCGATGAGAACCAAGTTGATGAGGGAGCTGTGTGCTAAGCTTCCATGAATGCTTCTCTGTGACAGGGAGTTCTGCTGGGCAGGACATCGAAAACACCAACTACTGACACCCCAACACATCCTGGTGTTTCCCGTGCCATGCCTTTCTCCACTGGGGCCCCATGACCCCACTGCTGATCTAAGAACTCCCATGGATCCTTCGGGTGCCAGTGCTCCTGGCCCCACCCCCCACAATGCTTCTGCTAGCCACAGCCCCCACTGAATGTAGCTCCCTCTCTCCTGGTCTTCTCTTGTTTCTGCCCTGGGCCTGTGGGGCTGCTCCTGCTCTCAGTGTGTGGCTGTTCCTTTGTCTATGTGTCCCTTCTGGAGAAGGGGCAAACTTGCTCTTGTTTGGGCCCCCAGTGTCCACCAATGCCAGGATCAGAGGGGTGTCAGGAAAGCTCTGCTGAGCTCATTTTTCAGAGGAAAGTCAAGCCCGCTGGCCTGACCTCCCATTAAGGCACGCACGCTGACTGATCACACCACCTTCTGAACCCAAAACTCACAGGTGGCTCTAGGCCAGCCCTGCCCATCAGTTGCCACTCACTCCATCGCAGGGCTGAGTCAGCAGGGAAGCCCCGAAAGTAAGTGCTGAGCACGTGGTGCATACCGTGCTGGCCTCTCGCTTGAGCTCTTGCGTTTGACTCTGGCACCGCTGCAGGAGGTGGGTGTTCTATACAGAGAGGCCTTCCTGAGGCTCTGATGGTTCCACCGCTCCTCAAAGGAGGGGCAGGGCAGGGTTGGAGCAAGGCTCTCTTTGGCCCCAGAACCTACTCATTCTACACTCCTGTGAGACGACAGGTGTGTGAAAGTGTTCTGAGTTCTACCAACGGAGGAAACTGTAAAACCATAGAATTGCCAGCTATTACCCACCACACAGAAATCACTCTAGTACAACCTTGCTATCAAGAAGAAGGCTTCAGGGGCCTTGGGAACAGCATTGAATCCTTACAGAATTGCTGCCCAGGAGGGGGTGGCCTATTGTCCTTCAGGGGTAGGAAAGGAGGAGAGTGAGTGGGAACTGGAAGAGCAGAAGAGAAGCAGTCCTGTGGCTGGAGTGGCAGCCCAACGCAGGATGGGGCCCCGGGGACCTGAAAGGATGCAGAGGGATGCTGGAGTCTGTGAGAGCCGAGGCCACAGACACTTCAGCACGGGGTGTCCTGCCCTGGGCCCCTATTGAGGTTCTGTAGATTCTGACATGTGCACCTCCTCTCATCTCGGCCTCCCCACCACTTTCCTCCCCACCCTCCCACACCCCGGTAGGGGCCTCTCTCAGAACCACAGGGCTGACTGTCTCCCTTCCCTGCTTGTGTAGGACCCAGCCTGAGCTCCTGGGTGACCAGAGTCCTGCCGCTCTCTTGGCCTCACTCCCATACTCCTCCTCTTGGGCCCTGCATCCCAGCGACTCCACTGCTCCACTTGCTGTCCCTTGGGCTCAGAATGCTCTTCTTCCATTTTTCACCCGGTGAACTTCTATTCATCCTTCAAAGCCCAGTTCAAGCGTCAACTTTAAATTGTCTTCCTTGAACTACCCCCACAACCAAACCCCGACAGAATAGAGCCCTCCTGCCTTCACAGGTTTTGCTGTTCTGTGGCTATTTGCACATCGATCTCCTCCACTGGAGCAGAAGCTTCTTGAGGATAATGCCATGATTTGTTCATCTCTGTGCCTCAGTGCCCAGCACAGAGGATAGAGCACAACAGGCAATAAATGATGTCCTGATGACGAGGTCATGAGAGGGCAGGCATGGGGCTGGTGATTGCATCTGAGTTTGACTTCCAGCAGCATTTACTAGGAGAAATACAGGCCCCCTCCCCAAAATGCACACGTACACATATAAGGTGAACACACAGCTCAGTCCAGGATCTCTGTGGCTGTAAAGTCCATGGAGCAATCAAACAGGAGACTGAGTTCTAAGGATGTGGTACACAGCTGCAGTGTCAGCCCCACTGTCCTCCCCAGAGCCCAGGGCCTTGGCTTGAGCCCTGCTGGGTTCACCGAGTCCCACTCCCTCACTTTGCAGACAAGGAAACAGAGACCCAGAAAGGAGATGCTTGCTTAAGATTTTCCTGAGCAATAAAGGCAGGCCTGGGGTCAGAAGCATTTCCCTTGGCTCCTGGCCCAGGACTCTCCCATCACCATATGCTGCCATTTGCAGAAATGCCAGCTGCAGGACTCGTGACATTTGGGTGGCTTTTTCCTAAAGTGTCGGTAGCGTGTGGGGCTCCATTCTCCTGCCCGAGGCTAAGGTCATTCCTGTCTACCTCCTGGCCTCAAAACACAGCCTAATGGCCTTTGGGCTGTGCTGAAACTGCCCTGTGTCCTGTGGGGGATGGGGAGGGCTCACCTGCCAAAAACCAGCCGTGGTCTCATGGTCAAGATGTGTCAGAGATTTCTAGAGCTTGGAGAACTGTGTTGGAGGGAGGCCTGTGGGAAGTAGAGAAAGTGAGAATATTATGCCACCGCCATCTGTCAACTTTCATCTGAGTTTGAAAAAGGCACCCAAAAATGGTGAGCACAGCCTTGCTGAAAGCAAAGCCCCGGCCACTACCCCTTCTCTAACATGGTTATGACGAGGTCAAGATCAGGTCCCTGCGGATGAAACCACAGCCTCAAAACCCCAGTACAGAGCTGCAAGTCACAAGTTGTCTGCCCTGAGGAACCCCACAGGTATGCTGGTCCTGTACTCAGGCCTAAGGCTGGAGGAACTCCCACTTCCAAACACTCCTCGGGGAAAACACCCTTTGTGGGTTCCCTAAGCACTGCTCATTGTAATTCACTCATTCTTGCTTTCATTATTCATTCATTCATGCAAGCATTCAACAGCCATTTGGGAAATTGTTAGGTGTTGGTATCAGGTCCTCATAGAGATGAAGTCTCTGAGTGTGACAGCCTAGATCCAGTAAGAAAGGCGTGTGTAGACCCAGGACAAATGCCACAGGCTGGTGGGTTGCCTCCCTTCTCCAAGTGACCTCTGTGCCAGGTGCTGGGCAAAGCACTTTGGTTAAGCTGTGCAGGATGGCAGAATGTTTCTACCATTTTCGGTACAAGGACCTCTCTTTGTATGAAATTATTTCTCCAAACTCCTGATGGTAACTGTATACCTATTATCTTCTCATTGAGAAAATAAACAATACAAAAGTTACAATGAACTAATGCTTTACAATTAACTTGTATTTTAGTAATTATAGCACCACTACATATATTTAAATTAAGGTTGGACACATACTCATTTGAGACATATTATTTATGTCTTCTAGGCTTAAGGCTTTGAGCCCTTGGGGATCCATTCATTCAATATTCATTCATTCAACAGACATTTATGGAGCATCTCTGAGATGCCCAGCCCTCTGGCTCAAAGATTAGGGATCCTGGTTCAAGAAGGAGCTCCAGCTCTGCAGTGAGGTACACTTAAGCTTAAGCCCAGGTAACACTGGATGTGTGCCCTTAGGGAGGCCATCTGGTCTTCTTCCAGCTCTGAGTCCTCAAGAGTAAGATGGAGATGTAATCCTGACATTGGAAAGTTGTTACGAGGAGTAAATGAGATAGTAGAAAGCATCCAGGTAAGGGCCTGGCACCAAGCAGAAGCTCAACAAATGGGCACCCGAGGATTATCATCATCACCATCATCCCCACCAACATCAACATCATTACTATCAACAACAGCAGCAGCAGCAGCACCACCACCATCTTGCTTCCCTTCTCTTACTGAACCTTGAGAAGCCTTTCCTTGTCCCTCTACTAGGGTATACAGTAGTTTCTACCTTATAATAGAGTTATTTGTATCCACACTTAAAATACCTTATAATAGAGTTATTTGTATCCACATTTTCTTTCTTTGGTTCATGCCCAGCTCTGTAATTTCAGAGTTGCGTGAACTTAGGTAAGTTATTTAACCTCTCTGAATTTGTTTCCCTGTATGTAAAATGGGAACTGTATTTTTAGTAATTCATTGAATTGTAATGACTAAATGAACTGATGTACATAAAACCTCAACACAATATCTGTCATGTGGTAAATGCTCAGATATTGCAGGTCATTATTATTCATGTTATTGTTATTATTATTAACATTAGTATTAATACAATTTCTCCTCCTGGCCTGTGAGCCCCTAGGGGCATAGTCCATTGAAAATTCATTTCTGTCTCCCCACAGAGTCTAGCACAAGGCCGGTCTCCCAGCAGATATTAATAAATGATTGCTAAAACAGTCTTGGAGGTTCACACAAATCAAGTGCAAAATAACTCAAAGGGCATGGTCAAGGGTAAAGAGCCTTGTCAGGACCCTGAAAAACCCCAACAGATGTCCTGAAGGGAGTTTTTTGTCACCCATGGAGCCAGGCTGCAGGACTGCTAGGACCATTCATTCATTCATTCGTTTATTCATCACACTGACACCCAATTTTCACTTTGGTTGACTAACAAACCCTTGCCCGGTGCTTTTTCCTATTGTGAAATCTCGTTTCCATCTGCTACCTCATTTAGTCTCCACGAAAATTTTGAGAAGAAGATAGAATAGGTACATTACTGACAATCCATTCTGTAAATAGATGAAGGCCCAGAGAGGTGACAAGGCTTGACAAAGGACATACAGCTGTCAAGGCCACAGTGGGAAACGGACCAAGGCTCTGCTCATGATCTTGACTCCTTCCTGCTGGCACTTTCCAAATCCAGGATCATTCATTCTTGATTCTCATTGTCCAGTTTGCTTCTCAGCAAATAAAACTGAATTAAATTATTTTTGGTGTTATTTTAACATGACTGTTGGAAAAGAAAGACTCTAAATTCCATAAGGGCAGAGACTATGAGAGCCCTAACAGTGTGGGGGCAGGTAAATGTATGAACTCTGATCCCAGACTGCATGCGTCCGAATCCTGATTCTGATACTTAATAGCTGTGGGACCTTGGGCAAATTACTTAACCTCTCTGTGCTTCAATTTCTTCCTCTATAAAAAAAGGATAATAATAGCTATCTATAGGGTTGTTGTGAGGATTAAGTGATCCAATCCGTGTACAATCCCTAGAACAGTACCTGGTGCATAGTAAGGGTTAGTTGTAATTATTATTTGTATTATTATTTGTGACGTATCTCCTGCACCTAGCATAAGACCCAACACATAAAAAATCCCTAATAAATATTTATTGGATTGTTGAATGGATAAAATACTTTCTGTAAAGAAGTAAGTATCTATGCTTTAAGTATTATTAAATATCTATGCTTAAGTATTATTGAGCAAGGCAAAAGAATAGCTGAAGCTCTGGCCCCAAAGAAGCTGGAGTCCCCCAGTTCCTTGCTCACAGATCTAGGCGGGAGGAGATTCGTGATTCCAGGATTCAAAGGCCTGTCCACCAACTGGCAGTAAATGTGACTCATGGTTAGGAACACAGGTTTTAGAGTCAGACACTTAAATTCAAGTCCTCACTCTTGTTCTGTCACTCACTAGTTGTATACTTACCTCCTGTACTTGCCTCAGTACCCTCATCTGTAAAATGGGAATACTCACACCTACCTTGAAGGGATGTTGGGTGGATTAAATGTCATATGCAGGAGGTGAAGCTTCCTGCACCTGGGCCCAGTCCACAGCCACAGTAACAATGAGCTTACAGGATCAACAGCAGCTCATCCTATGGGCCAACTTGTTCTGTGCTAAGCATCGCTTCCACCGCTTTCTCCCTCACATGGGATTTGGGGGCCTTCACCAGGGATGGACTCATTTGCATAGCCCAGGCTCCACCTTCTAGGCCAAAAGGCTGCTATGAAAAGGCACATTCTCTATTTGGCTTCAGCATGAACTGGGCTCTGTGGAGGCGAGACAGCTGCTTAGGAAATGGGCTCCTGGGAAAGGTGGTCTCCAGAGAATCAGCTTAGAGAATTCCTTGCAAGCGCCAGTGCCAGCAACTAGCAGCCTGTATGCAGCTGCCTCTGAGTCAGTCCCAGTCCCTGTGGTGGCTACAGACCCTTCCTTTACTCTGTTTCTCCCACTAAGACCCCAAGGCTGGCAGCCTGTCCTGCTTATGGGAAGGAGCTAACATCCATTGAGCCAGAAGCTTTAATTCTTTGCCTCGTTTAGACTTCACAATGAGTCTGCAGTGGGCACTTGAATCTTGCCACATACCAGCCATGAGACCCTGGGCAAACCATTCAGCTGCCCATGTCTGTTTCCTTAACTATGAGCACATGTCAATATCCTTGTACACTAGACCCATTTTGCAGAAAAGGAAGCTGAACCATAGAGAGGGAAAGGCATTGTCAAGATCATAGAACTAATAAATGACAAAGCTGGAGCTGTTTGACTTCAAAGTTCCATGCATTCATTCATCCATCAATTATTATTTTAGAGCCTACCTTATGGTGGGCACTGGCTCCATAGACTGTTTTTAAAAATATCTGTATTATCAATTTCCCACTGCTCCTAAGATACCAGTATGCAAGGCAATTCAATTTAACAAAGACATCAAGTCCTTCTATGTGCCCAGGCACTGTGCGAGGTTCTGGTATAAAGGATCACATTGAACCCTCATGACAATCCTGTGCAGTTGACCTTTTTATGCCCTTTACAGAGGACAAAATGGGTAATTCAAAGAGGCAAGAGAACGTGTCCAGGCTCACTCACGGAGCCTGGATGGACGCCTATGCCCATGTGATGCCAAAACTCACTTCTTTCCCTTCCCACCATGTTTCTTTCTCTACGCTCTCATCTCCCCACCCTGGCCTGGCCTGCAATGATGCAGCCTCTGGAAGTTCCATCAGTATCCCTGGCAGAGGGTGTTCTCCATCCAGCAGAGAAGGACAGCTGTCAGCCCTACCAGCCTGTGCCATCCACACTGGATCTTCAGGACTCTGCTTCTCCCTGGCTCCTTCCACTCCCTGAACTTGACCCCAGGATGACAGACCTATAAAACCCAGAAACATGTTTGCTTGTATCTTGCCTACTTCCAAAAAGGATGTGAGGAAGGTTAAGGAACAAAAGTGCAGACCGAGGCTCAAAACACTGGACAAAAGCAAAATCCAGATGTAAAAGAGCAGGGGGTGCTGGAAGCAAATGTTTTGAAGGACACTGCCCGGCGCTCACAGGGTGTGAGGAAATGGGTGCTCTCACATCGCTGCTGGTAGTGAAAATAGACAGAATGCTTTTGAAAGGCAACTTCAGAGCGTGCATCAAGAACTTTGCCTCACAAATATCCACACTTCTGGGTGTAGTCATCCCAATTCCCAGAAAGACAGTCTAAGAAAAAAAATTCTAAGCAAGTTCCATGCAGTCTTACTTCTAATACTGAGGCATTGAATACCGACAGCAAATCTAAGTGCTAACACAGGGAAAGGGCTAACACACCATTGAAAACTAGGGTACAGCTATATCAAGGGTTGATAGCCTGCAGTACAAATCCAACTGGTAGCCTGTTTTTGTAAATAAAGTTTTATTGGGACACAACCATGCAAACACATGGAAAGGGTTAACCTACCATTGAAAACTAGGGTACAGCTATATCAGAGGTTGACAGCCTGCAGGACAAATCAGGGTACATGTGCAAGTTTGTTACATGGGTATATTTTGTGATGCTGAGGTTTGGGCTTCAAATGATCTCATTGCCCAAGTGTGAACATAGTACACTATAGGTAGTTTTTCAACCCTTACCCCCTTTCCTCCCTGTCCCCTTTTAGGATTCCCAGTGTTTATTGTTCTCATCGTTGTGTCCGAATACATGTGTTTTATTTTTATTTATTTACTTATTTTTTTTGAGACGGAGTCTTGCTCTGTTGTTCAAGCTGAAGTGTGATCTCAGTTCACTGCAACCTCTGCCTCCCAGGTTCAAGAAATTTTCCTGCCTCAGCCTCCCTAATAGCTGGGATTACATGTGTGCACCACCACACCTCGCTAATTTTTGTATTTTTAGTAGAAGCGGGGTTTCAGCATGTTGGCCAGGCTGGCCTTGAACTCCTGACCTCAGGTGATCCACCCACCTTGGCCTTCCAAAGTGCTGGGATTACAGGCGTAAGCCACCGTGCCAGGCTGGAATACATGTATTTTAAAAAGAGAGATAACTAGCTGAATATGCTCTGGGCGTATTAGTGGCCACAGTAAAGAGTGAAGATGGGTTTTAATTGTCTGGCAGTAGGAGGGGACCAGGAAACCAGGAAAGTCAAACTCTCCTGGCCCAGATTTTGGAGAGGAATTAGTCACCAGGGTCTTTGTTTCAAGGAGTTTCTGAGCAACACAATGGACAACTTTCTCTACTGTTCCGCCGATGTTCTGAGGTGTTGCCCACATAGACAGCAAGTCCTGGTTATTGGTCCTCTAACAATGTCAAAGAAAGAATGTTAAGCTATCGTTCTATAAAGGCAATTCACTCAGTGGTCAGGGTGATATAGGAGTTCAGTTCAAATAAAATATTGCAGAATCTTCTAGAAAAAAGCATCATCATATCTAGCTGACCAGTGAGTTTTAGCCAGAGAATATTTTCTTTGAAAATAACCCTTAAATTGCAGATCAGCATGTAAGACAGATAAAGGCAGGGTACTCTGGTGGAAGCTGTGCTGGGTATATTTCATGCTGCTCCCCTCAGCTCCCCCGGGGCTGCCCCTTGAAGGGGTTCTGCAGGACCTCTGGGGCTTCTTAGAGCCCAGCTGGTGAACTGCTACATTAGACCATCCCCAGGGCACCTGCTGCATCCCTGGTCTTTTGCCAAGTCGAGGGCACTGGCAGGAGAAGCAGAGGATACTCTGCTACCCACAGAAGGCAGAACCATGTCCTCTAGAAACCAGAACTACCACGAGGGCAATGACAAGATTTCGTTGTGAAAATTAAAAAGTGCGACTTATGATTATGCTTCCATGGAGGGCCTTGGGTGGGGCAAGAAAGGACTTACCCTCTCTCGGATGGCAGTTCTGGAGCAGTTTCAAAGTCTCTTAAAGGGCCAAGGCTGAGGCCCAAGTCCCCGTACTGGGAAGGGTGAGGAGGGTCTCTGGCGGGTGGATATGCCTAGAGGACAAATGTGTGAACCAAGGTTTTTGATCCATTTTCATTCCAAGAGGGAAGAACAAGAAGCCTATTGGGAGTTGGGTGTAGATGGTACAGTGAAGTCACTAAGAGGGGGATCTTGGGTCAGATTTGAATCCTGCTCTGCTACTTATTAGCTGTGCCCATGAGAAAGTTACTGACTCTTTCTAAACCTCAGTTTCCTCATCTGTAGAAAAGGAAAATGAAAGCCATATATGATAGAGTTGTGGGAAGAATAAAATGATTTACTGCATGCCAAGTGCTTAGCACCTTACCTGCCCTAATGAATACATGCTCAATAACGGTTTGCTATCTGCAGCAATAGACCTGGCCAAGCCGAACCCTGGCCTGTCAGGAGTCAGTAAGCCTGGGGTTTGACCTTCAATTCATGTGGGCTTGAAGAAAGATTCAGGGATGTTCCGGGGCTGACACCAGTTTCCTGTAGCTGATGAGCAGAAGACTTGTTAGAATTTCTAGAGTGACTGGGAGATGCCAGGAGGGGCCATCCCCCAGGTGAGTGCACAGGGAGCCTCTAGAAGGATTCGATAGAATCCTCTGCCCTATCAGGGTGACATTAGGGAGGGACTACCTTTGTGGGGACCTGAGAGAGTGCTTCATGTACCTTCTGCTCTGAGTGACCAGCCCCATGCAGTTGAGATTGTACATCGTTTACCTCCACATGGGAAGGCATGCCAGTCAATCTCTGCTCTGTCTCTGGGTCAAGCATCATGTGCTACCGTGGTGGGCATTTGTTGACTTTTGCCCACTTGGCACCCCTTCTCCCCACTTTGGCAATAGCATTCTGATTTCATTTGGGGAAATCAGCTCTCCTGGTCTTGGTGGACAGTAAATCAGGGCTTCCTGCTTTCTCACAACCAAGGGGAGGGCATGAGCCTAAGCCAGGCATCTCAGATGCTCTTTGCCAGGCCCTGACTCTGCGAGCTCATTCTTCCATCTCTGTGGCCATGACAAGACCACTTCTGATTAGTTCCTGTTTTCTGGTCCCTGGAGGGGCCCTGGATCCTTTTCTGAGTCTGCTTCTTCAGCCTTCCTGTCAATTCCGTAAGATTCTCATTATCCTTCTGATATATTCCCTCTTTGCTTAAGTTATCTCAAGTCAGCTTCTGTTGCTTACACTGAAGAGCCCTAATGGTTTCTGAGAGGAACAAGTCAAATGGCTTCCTTTGGCACAAAAAGCTATGACCAGGAGCTCTGGCACCAAAACTGCAAACAAGAAAACTTCAAGTCAAGTACTAGAAGCAACCTAGTAGCCATGTCATCCCCCATGTCTTCTCTGCTGTTGGAGGCTGCTTTTATTGGGGTGAGCTCAGAACTGAATGAAACTCCATTCCATTTTCCAGTGATTGGCTCATATGACTCAGTTCTGGTCAGCGGGGTAAATTACTCCCATTTTAGAGTTAAGGGAAGCCTTTCTCAGGGGTTCTGGGAAAGAGTTTCTTTGCTAATAAAAAGAGAATCTGGGGAAGATGTTCCTCTTCTGCACCCCCTACCACCACATGGCATATGGCCCTGGACTGTGCCAGCTACCCATGGCCTTGGGTCATGACACTGCAGCTATGGAGGTGAGGCTGGCCAACGGGGAAGCTGGAACATGCCTGGATTCTGGATTTCTGGGCTGTACGTTTTTCAGCTTTTGAACCACTCCTACCTCCACTCTTTGGAGTGAAACCCCTATTGTGTAAGTCCCTTGTAGTTAGCTTTCTGTTACCTGCAGCCCAAAGCCTCCTAACAGCCAAGCGAGCTTTAAACCTGGGAATGGGCACCCCAGCAGCAGGCCAGGACAGCTGCATCCGGGTCATGTCAGGTGGAAGCCCAGAGAAAGGAGCATCCAGTGAGTGGGGCAGACCTGTGGTGGATCCAAGCAGGGCCATTCACGGGTGGGACAGAGGCAGCCTCCAGGCAGTAGCAATCTCTGAGGTCAGAAGAAAGGCAGTGTCATTTCCTGACGATCTTCCTTGTTTAGGGCAGGAAACCAGCCTATAGCTTGAGGACATGGAGAACAGAACCAAGCCCCAAGTGGGGTTTGGGTGGAATGGTGATCGCCAGTCAGGGGCTCACTGAGGACTGGAGTTCATGTGGGGCTCTGGCTTTGTAGATAATTGGAGTCTTAGGCAGGGAAATTGAGGCAGAAAGAGGCAAATCCAGTTATGCTGAGTCACTGACACGGCAAAGTTTAGGCGAGGGTGCAGCTCAGTAACCCCCGCCCTCCACTGCCATCCATAGGAATGCCAGATGCAGAGTTCAGGGCAATGGGGTCAATTGCAGCTTCTGCTGGCCCACTGGGAACTAAGATTCTGCTGGCTTTAGCCAGGTTCAGCTCAGGTGATGAATAGGCATTTTGGAGGGACGTGTCTGGAGTGGGGCAGGGGGAGGTAGGGACTTTCGGTTAAGAACCCACTTCCACCAGCAGCTGAGAAAGCCCTAGGGAAGTTTCTAGCTGTGCCAATCTGAGTCAACATGCAAGCAACCCTAATGCCCGAAGAGAGCTCTACTCAAGTTCAAGGCAGAGTGTTGGTCCAGCACTCTGCCCTCCATCCCATTCTTCGTGCATCAGCCAGGGGATTTGTCACTTCCTCCTGCCACATTTCTCATCTGCACACTCTGCCTCTTCAGAGCTCCCACCTCCCCTCTCCTAGCATGGAGCAAAACCCCAAAATAGTCCCTGGGGGTCATCTGCAGGGCTAGAAAGATTCTAAAAGTGTACCCTCTTCATGTGACCAAAAGGAAAACAGAAGCACAGAGAAGAGCAAGGGTGTTCTGTCATCCTGCTGTGTGACCCAGGGCAGCCAACACCATTTCTAAGGTCGCGCCAGCTCTGACATCCCATGGCTTTGCTTCAAAAGGACAAGCACATGTGAAGTGGTCAATGAATTCTTCAGAGCCTTATGGAATGGCTCTAACTCTAAGCCCTCAGTGAGGGTCTGACTATCCTCTCCCCCATCTCTTCTCTTCCAATGGCTGGTCCCCTGCGCCAACTGGCCAGCACAGTCCTACTCCTTGCTCTCAGCCCAGTCCTCCCTCTCACAATGAGGCGCATCTAAAGAGCCCCCGCCCAGGCTTCCCTGCCCTAATACTGTGTCCTGTGTCTAGAAACTATGTGTCTGTCTCGTTCCCAAGGCCAAGCACCCACCTTATTCCTGGGCACTGGTGCTGTGTCCTGCCGTGGCCTCACACCCCAAGCCTGACTCCCCAATCCCTGTGGCCGTGCAGCAGTGGTCACCATAGGATGGCGGCTGATCATAGCTTCTTAAGGACCTGATTCCTGCTAGGTTCTCAGCTAAGAATTTGACATGGATTACTCCACTGACTCCCCAAAGAGGGCCTTATCGTATAGTCACCATCGCTACTCTCACTTTACAGATAAGGAAGCTGAAGACCGGAGAAATCAACCAGCTTGCTGAAGGTTGCTTGGCTGGTAAGCGGTAGTGCCTCGAAGATGTCCCTGAGTCAGCCCTTTTCTCTGGACTCTCCGCTCTGCTGCGGGCCTAGACTGCAGTCCCCACTGCCACCCACCGGGCTGGCCTTCTAGTGCCCTCCCTTCCCTTTGCGCACTATTGGTCACAAGTTCCTGGCTTCTCTCAATTAGTAGCCCCAGGCCTATGCCTGGCCATGATATCTCCTTCAGAGAGGGGTGAGATTTGACAGGACCCAGAAGAACAGGCAGAGGGTACGGGGAGGCCAGGAAGAGGCCAGAAATCAAGGCTGGTGATTTGCAAATGCAGAGCCCATGGCAGCATCCATGGCGTCTACTGGTTCCCTCTCCAGCTCGCTCACTGGCAGTTGCTGGGCTATAGCTTCATGGGCTGATGGTGGCCGAGCACCACCACCACCCAGCAGACACTAAGGAGCACGGTGAAAAAGCCTGGGCTTTGGGGCCAGACAGTCCTGTGTTCAGATCCCAGCTCTGTCCCTTAGAAGCTCTGCAAGTTTGAGGAAGTTCCATGGGAAGGTGATCTCTTTGAGCCTTAGACTTCCAAGCAATAAAATGGGGTTGATAACACCGATCCTGCATAGCCTTTGTGAAGACATATGAAAAGCATTTGTCAAATGCCCGGCTTTCGGTAAAAGCTGGTTCCCTTTTATGCCTTCTCCTCGTCCTTCCTGCTACCCCTTGGAGCTGGCTGTCTCCCGATGCCAGAGACAGGCTCTCTGTGTTGAGCGGCCCGAGTGGTTCCAACGATGCCCACCACGTGGCTGGCAGGGGCCCGAGCACACTCGGCACACTGGAGATAAATACAGGGTCCAGGCACCTGACTCTAAACAATGGGCTATTCTGGGGTTTTAATTGCTCATAAAAGGGAAGGCAGGCTCTGGGCGGTGACCAACCTTGGAGGTCAGGACATGCATTGGGGTGGCAAACAGGGCAGCAAACACACCAAGGTGCAGGTGCAGAAACGCCAGCCAGCAGGTCGCTAATCCCAGAATGTCACTGAGGGAGGGTGGCTAACAAGCCTCTAGGATGATTACCCTCTCAGTGTACAAATGGGGAAACTGAGGTCCGGGGAGGAGAGCACTTTATTCTACTGCTTCAACAAGTACTCATCAAGCACCTGCTCCAGGCTGTGCTCCGTGCTCTGCCTCAGCATTTCACTGCGTGAAGCAGAGACAGATTCGACACATGCAGTTACAGTGCCCTGCGACAAGTGGCAGGAGAAGCAGGAACAGGGCCATGGTGATATGAAGGAGGCATGCCGCCCTAGTCGCATGCACCATTCATTCCGTAAAGATGCGCCCACTGCTTGTGCGCACCAGGCACTGCTCAGGTGCTGGAGACACAGCCCTGGACGAAGGCCAGGCCCTGCCTCTGTGGGGTTTCCAGTCTCCTGGCAGAGAAAGGCAGTAGTATAAATGAAGAGGTAGAGAATGTAACATCAGGGTGTGTAAGCACCGAAAAGGAAAACAAAGCAGGGTAAGGGGACACTGGGCACCTGTGGCTGGCCGATGGTTTAGGCAGATGGTCAGGGCCGATGCTAACAGTGACAAATTAACTTTAGCACATGAGATGCGCAGGACAATAAAGGCTCTGCCCTTCTGAGTGAAGAGGGAAACCAGCGTCCTGAGCTGACCTGCCTCAGGGGTCTCAGAAAACCAGAAACAGAGCCACAACCTGTCCCAGGTCTCTTGTATCACAGGCCAGAGCTGGTCCCCTGCATGGCCCGGCAGCCCCTCCCTTCATAGACACCGTTCCTCCCTCCATCCTCCCTGGGGAGAAGCAACAAACTGGTGCCCTCCCAGGCTGGAGGCCAAAGCCACCAGGCCTTTTCAGCCATCACCTCCTTCCTGGCCAGTTGCCCATGCTGGCCTCAGGCAGTGGAGCCTGACAGGAGATCCTTGGCCTCCTGACACAGCGGGGCAGGCTTGTCCTTCCCTCTGCCACCTCCCACCGATGTGGAAGTCTTGGTGTCAGACACACGTGGTCCTTCCACTTCTGAGATGTGTGACCTTGACAAGTTCAGCAGAGCATTTGTCAAAACTGGATGCTGGGCCATTCTCACAGAGCCCCTGGGAGGATTAAATAAAGTAAGAAATAAAAGGCCCCCAGGAGCCTATGGCCTGCAGCAGGCTTGGTAGGCACGGACACCTTCCCCTCTTGCAGTGTCCTCCCACCCCCGATCTGCGCCCCAGCCCAGAGCATCACTCCCTCTTCTGAGCTCCCACTGCCCTGAAAGCACTTGTTTTCTCTTTCTGGGTCTGCTCTTTGTCCCTGAATAGGACTGCCAACTCTCAGAGAGCAGTCTCTGGCTTCTGCAAGTCCCTGAGCCTCCTGCCTGGGGCTCAGCTCAGAGAGTCACATGCAGTCGCTGCTCAATAAATGTTCTTCCAAGTAGCTTTCAGCCACGAAAGTTTAACTTGGAGAATAATGGGGCATGTAGAGCTCTGGATTCACAGTCAGCCTCTTTATCAGCTAAATGACCCTGGGCAAGTTAACTTTTTATGTAAATGAGGATAATCACCAAATACCCCAAGGTTCTGCAAAATTATATGGTGATTTTAACATTATTGTTTCCATTATGGAATCATAGGTGGAGACAAGAGTCTATTAAATTTGTAACCTGGTACTACAGTTCTTCCCACAACATCCAGCCCCCTGGATGTTCGGCCTCTACTTGAACTCTCCAGTGACAGGGAACTCACTACCTGCTGGGCAGCCCATGCCATGTTTTGACTGCTTCTGAGCATTAGAAACTTGGCTTTCTATTGTTTTAAGACCTGCCATGCTGAGCTCTGGAATGCAGGGAAATGAGTGGGTGATGAGCAAGCCTGGGGGAGGGGCTGGAGAGAGCTGCAGGATGATGGTGGGAGGGTGGCAGGGAGCTGAGAGCCCCCCGAAACAATGCTGCTGGTCAGTGGGCCACAGGCTGTCAGCTCCCCTTCCAAGAGAAGCTCCTGATAATGGTGCCTCATCTGCTCATGGCTTCAGAACCTGCCAGCCCTTCCAGAAGACTGCCTCCTGCCCAGGGCTGCTCAGCAGCTGGACTACAGGGGCCCGGGTTCTCAAGCCCTGATGTATGATTTATGACTCCGATGAGCTCACCAGCTCAGGGAGGGAGGGTGATCCGAGGGGAGGCTGGAAGAAGGCTGGTTATGGATTTTAACCCTCTGATGTTACT
This sequence comes from Homo sapiens, assembly GCF_000001405.40. Taxonomy (NCBI): domain Eukaryota; kingdom Metazoa; phylum Chordata; class Mammalia; order Primates; family Hominidae; genus Homo; species Homo sapiens. The sequence continues at coordinate 41,714,199 of NC_000001.11, forward strand.
GGCTGGGAATTTAACATCAATAATTCAAGGCAGTGGGGAGCAAGGGATGGGAAAAAGGCAAAAGAGAGAGGGAGGTGGGGATGGAAAGGGAGAAAAGAGGAGAAGAAGTGGAGGACGGGAAGAAGACAGGAAAAGAGGCAAAGATGCATTTATTGAGTGTTTCCCATGGGTACCATGCCACCTTCGCCTCCTTTAGCTCATTTAAGACTCACTGAAATCTATGAGGCAGATACTGTCACCTCTAATGACTGGATAAAGAAATTAATGCTCCAAGAGGAAAAGCAAAGATTTCAAGGACAGCAGGGGGGATGAGGGGATGGGATTTGGATCCATGTTTGCTGATTCCAGAACACGGGTTCTTTCTACTACACCTTGACTTTAGAGGGTAGCCAGGTCAGGGGACACAGAGGGTCCCTGCTGGCCTCAGGACACCTGGCCCCAGCTCACACTCTGGGGCTGACATGGGGAGAGATGAGTCTGAAGGGCTTGGCCCCTGGGAGAGAAACCAGCCACTGGCCTTCTGGACAGCACCAAAACTTTGTTGCTGAAGCTGAAAAAATTAACTGCTATATTTAAAAGCATTGTTCAGTTGCTATGGTAACAGAGGGGCTAAGAATAATATAAAAAGAAGATGATATGCCAGGTTGTCACTGGCAACCCAATTTTAAGGGTGTGTGTGTGTATGTGTTTTAAAAGGAGTTTTCTGGGGGGAGGTGTTGAGGTTCAGACTGTCTTCCCCACTCCCTCCGGCACCATCTGCCCCAGCGACATGTCCAAGGTGCAGCCAGGCCTGGCATCTCACTGGTCTGCTGGCATCGGGGGAGCTGGCACACCCTGGCCCTGAGCCTAAAGATAACGAAGGCTCTCAGCTCCCTAACTGCTGTCCCCTCCTGGCAGCCCCCCACTGCCTGGGCTGCTTCCTTCAGCTGCGGAACCCCAGCCGGAGGCACCTCTCAAACAGATGGCCCCCAAATAGCTTCTTCTCTCCGACCTGGGAGCTTTCAGCCAGCCTGGCAGACTCCCTGGGGACCACCAGGGAAAACAGATGGTCAGGAGAGAAGAGCAGGAGACAGATTTATTGATCTGCAGCATGGATGTCAGAGATAGGAGGCGGCTTGGCAGATCTGGGCATGGGGCTGCCCTACTCCCTGACGTGTCCTGGTGAGACATGCCAGGTCCAGCCTGAGTCTTCAGCCTGGGCCCAGGCGACCTGAAGGGGACCCACGGCAAGCCTGGGGAGGGTGGGAAGATGGATGGGGACTGGGGGTCCTCACGCACCAGCCAACTGTTTGTCAGGGCTGTGATGGCAGCACCCATGGGAACCATGGGAAGAACTGGGTGGCAAAAAGACAAAATCCCCAAGGCAGTTTATTGACAGCCAAGGATTAGAAAGAGGCCTGGTATTTTTACTGTGTCATGGTCATGCAATATGAAGGAGAGTTTTGAAATCAGACTGGGGTCCCCAGGCCGGCTTTGCTGCATGCTACCATGTGACCTCAAGCCAGGCCCTCAGCATCTTGGTGCTACCATAGGGAAAATGAGAGTGACCCTTAGGACTATGGTTGGGCCTCAATAAACTGAAGTTTATCAAACACCAGGCTTCATGCCTATAATATCCTCAGCAGGCAGCCCTGTCTGCCAGGAGAAACCTTCACCTTAGCATTTCTCTATGTCAGGCCCAAACCGAAAGCCACAGAGGAACTTGCACATATACACAGGGAATGAGACACAGTGAGAGGTGCCTTCACATGGAAGTGGACGGTGGGGCCCCGAGCAACCGATCATGCCTGGAGTGGGCAGGGAAATCTGAAGGAAGAGTTTGAGGTAGTCCTTGAAGCAGGAGAACGGCAGGGTGACAGAAGCACACTCCATGTGGAGGAAAGCAGCAAAGGCCGGGCAGGGTGCAGGGAGCACAGGGAGGGCTTGCTGAGGGCAAGTCTTAGCCTCTGAGGCCAGAACCTACCAGCAAGGTGGGCAGGAAGAAGGGAAATGATCAGAGCTGGGTGAGGCTCGATAGGGAGGCTGGCTGGGCTGGGTGAACCCAGAGGCAGGGAGGCCCATGGGGATGCTGGGCAAAAGTCCCAGCCAGAGATAAGGGGGCTGGGCCAAGGTAGGACAGTGCTTTACAGTTTACAAGGCGTGGCCATGTCCATTACCTCATTTATCATCACAGGATGGAGAGAGTTTGCTGCCCCACCCAAGCTCTCCCCCCATCACCACCTATCAGCACTTCCCACAGGCTGGGGGCACCCACCATGTACAGAAGGAGCTACATCTAGATTCCTGAGCATCCCCTAGAAGTGGAAGAGTCCAGAAGAGCTGGGGGGCCCCGATGAGGGTGAGATCTCATGAGTGGGTGTGGCCACAAAGGGCTTCTTGTAGGAGGAGCAGTGGGAGGGCCCTCTGGACAGACAGCATGCTTCAAACAAAGCTGGGGGATGGGACAGGTCATGGTGCATTGGGAAATAGTCCCTGGACCCTGCTGGGAGAAAGCAGGTTGGGGATCCAGGCAGGTCTGGGTCACGGAGGGCCCTGAATTCCAGCTGAGAGGCTGCATCCTCCTGCAGGCAGTAACAAGCCGTGGGGAGCTCAGAGGGGCTGGGGCAGGAGAGGGAGATGTGAACGAAGCCGGTTAGAAGCCAGGCTGCATCAGACACCACTGCCTTCCTCCTCTCTGTCACTCTCAGGCATGACTCTCCTTCTCCCCTGGCTGTCTGAGTGCCAGCAACAGAAAGCAGGCCTCAAGCTGCACGCACGTTGTGGAAGACGAGTATGTTTACTCAGCAGCACACAGCCAGCTCTGCCCAGGCCTCGGCCTGGCAGTCTTCTCTTTTGGGGAGAGCTGGTTGCCCTGTGTCCTGCTCTGAGGGCACGCAGTTGTGACCTTGGTTTCCCATGGTGAAGGCACCCAGAGTGGTACCTGGGGGAAGGTTCTGGGTCTCGTGGGAGTTCAGGCTGAGCCAGGAGAGAGCTGCCCAAGTGGCTCAGCATCTGGGGACCAGAACTTGGGCAGGGGAGGATCCCATGGAGCTTGCATTTTCCGACGCTCTTTCCCTTATTCCCTCCAACCAATATTTGTTGAATACCTACTTTGTGTCAGGCGCTATTCTAGGCGGTGAATCAGACAAGAAAAACTCCTGTCCTCTTGGAACTTAAATTCTAATAGGGGAAACAGACAACATTCAAACAAAGAAATGTTGTCAGGTGGTAATGAGCCCTATGAAAGAAAATACAGACAACTTGAGAAAGGAAAGAGAAAGTGACTAGAGAAGGTGCTTGAGTTGATGTGATCAGGGAAGGCTTCTCTAAGGAGATGAGGTTCTAGGGGTGACATCTGAGCAAAGGCCTGGGTGAAGTGAGGGAGCAGGGGCACAAGGATTTCAGGCACGGGGTTGGTACATGCAAAGGCCCTGAGGCAGGAATAAGCCTGGTGTGTTTCTCTGACTCCTTGTCTAGTGCTCTTGGGAAAAGAGAGGCTCAGGCAGGTTAGGTGACTTGCCTGGAACCATGCTGCAGATCAGTGGCTGAGCAGGACCAGAGGCAAGTTTTCTGCCTGTTTATCCAGGGGTCGCCCACCATATGTGGACTGGGCACATTTCAGGCATGGACCCTGGCCAGAGGATGGACATTGACTGTAGGGGAGGGTGAGTCAGTCATTCAGTCAACAAACGCTGACTGAGCGCCTAGCTCACGGCAGGCTCTGGCTGTGCTGGGCCCTAGCACACAGCAGGGCACCCATGGATGGAAGCGCATGTCCCCCTGGAGCCTGCATTCTAGTGGAGATCAGAGATTATGGGGATCATGGGATTCCAGGACCCTAGAATCTGTGGCCAGAATCTGGAAATCCCAGAATCAGAATGACCGGTATCTTAGCATCCAAGGATTCGGAATCCCCCAAGCACGGCTTCTCCATATGGGAAATTGGCAGGGCCCTTCAGCGGCATCCAGCCCATTTTAAAGAGGGGTGGAACCAAGGTCTGGTGCACTGAATGTCCCACATAGGGTGGCCAGTGGTGGAACCAGGGCCTTTGCCAAGGAGTCTGGGCTTCTGGGGCAGTGAGGCGACTGTGGGCAATGGGGATGAATACAGGCTTAGGCCAGACAGACTGGCCGTGGGTCTGTACCCTACGCTTGCTATGTCGTGGAATCTTTCTAAATCTCAGCTTCCTCATCTGTAAAATGGCACTAAGATGGCATCTACCTCAAATGGTTGTCGTGAGAATTAAGATAATCTACGTAAAGTGCTTAGCATGGCAAATGCTTCTAACACTTGCTGTTGTGCTGGTAATTATTAGTGAGACTTCAATAACACTGGTATGAAGTGTTAGATGACAGAGATTGAACCCTGCTGGAATGGGAACAGCGGACCTGCCCCAGCCACCCGGCTTAGCATCCCACAGAGGATCTGCCCAGGCGTGTCAGCTGATGGGAATAAGGGTTGTTTCACTCTCACCTCCAGAGACAAACATGGTGTGTGTGGCCTGGCACGAGTCCATTGCCCTCCTCTCTCCATCTCTCCTGTCTTCCCATTCCCTCCTCTGTCTCTGTCTCTCTCTTTCTTTCTCTCTTTCACACCCACACACACACACACACACACACGTGCACACACACACACACGTATGTGCTGTAATTATAGCCATAAGACCTTGACCCAGCCCAGAGCAGTGAAAGCTGAGACCAAAGGCATTAGAACGAAGGCGCTAGTGGATTTTAGCTGGGGGTCAAGGTACATGTTTTAACCCTTCCTCTTTGCTGGACTGAAACTAGGCTTGATGGACTAGGACCCACCAGGAGGTTAGAAGGGCAACAGCCCATGGCCAAGTGGGAGTAACAAGAAGCACATTCTTAATACTGTGAGAGATAAAGGCCAGATAGCTAAAATTGAGGGCTCAGAGTGTGCTGCTGCAGCTAAAGACAAGAGCTGCACAAAGGACAACCAGGTACCCTGGAAGACTTCCTGGAGGAGGAGAGAGAGGAGCTTTGAAGGATGGGGAGGATTTGACCATATAATTTATTGCTCTATATGAAAACAGCATTCAAGGACAAAGTCAAACAAAATCAAGTACAAAGGCACAGAGGCTCAAACTGTTAGGGTGCAGGAGACAGTGAAGCTCCTCTTACAGGTTAGATGGAAGTGAAACAGACTGGGAGGTGGAGCAAGAACTTGTTTTGCCTTTAGTTCTCGCCTTTACCTTGAAACAATGGTCATTCCTTCATTCATATGAATAACTCATCTATCTAAAACAATTTTAGGCAGCCCTAGTGAGCCCTAGTGAGTTTTCCTTCCCTTGGCTCAATTTCTCCATCTCCTAAATGGATTTGTCACTGACATGGAGAGGGAGACTGCCCAAGAGCAGATGTTCCTGAACTAGTAGTCAGCTGTTGGCTGCTCCACATCACTCAGGGACGTCCCTGTCCCCACCATGAAGTCTTAGGCTCATTGGAAAGCCTTGGGGTTCTTGAGATGTCCGTCTTTCTGGGGCAAGTTCACAATAACAGAGAAAGATGACACGGTGACCAGGCTCCAGAAGGAGACACACAGAGCCCTTCCTCAGGGTCACTTCAACCTCACAGCAGCCCCAGTGGGACTCCTGACTCATGTTAGCACCAACACAGGGAACCACTAAGCCTTGGAGAAGTTCAGTGTCTTGCCTGAGTCCTATATCTGGTAAACTGGCAGAGCCAGGCTAGGAAGCCCAGACGCTTCCTGGCTCCTATGTCCTTTCCATCAGGCCAGGCTGTCTCTTGCCCTAAGTTGCACAGGCCAAGAACAGAAGCTAAGACGGAAGTGATTTATTCCCAGGTACACAAGGACTCAAACTGTGGAGCGGGGCTGGGGTCCAGCCACACACTGAGCTCCAGAGGCCCAGTTCTGGTTTCAGCTGAGTGGCCCTACCAAGCTACTTGCTTTCCTACGTCTCCCCTCAAACATCCTCCCCACCCTCCATCTACATCGCAGATGCCAAAAAGTCATCAGAGCAGGCAGGAAATTCCATAATTGGCATGCTAAACCTGATGAGCTCAGGACACCACCTCTGAGTGGGCCTCCAGGGCTGCTCCCAGGCCCCAGACTGCAACTCTTGAAGGGCCTAAAGAAGGGAGATCCTATAATTTTCCCCATTTGGGACATTCAACAAATAGAATGGTTCATTCACAGATTTACTCCATTTGGACACATCGGGAATAGCCTTGGGTCTGTCTAGAAAGAGACATGTTCATCCAGCTCTGACTCACCCAGTTCCAGCACTGAATATACTACATTATTATTCTACCTTTTCAAAGCCTATTATGTGTGATTCCTATGTGAGGAGTTGAGGGAGCTACAGGTGAGACCAGAGTCAGGCTCTAATGTCAAGAGGCTCCTAAGACAAGAAATTAGAACACTTGTGCACTGCTGGTAGGAATGTAAAATGGTGCAGCCACTATGGGGAACAGTATGGAAGTTCCTCAACAAATTAAAAATAGAACTACCATATGATCTAGCAATCCCACTGCTGGGTATTTATCCAAAAGGATTGAAAACAAGATCTCAAAGAGATATTTGCACTCTTATGTTCATTACAGCATTACCCACAATAGTCAAGATGTGGAAAAAACCCAAATGTCCATCCAGATGAATGGATAAAGAAAATGTGGTACACACATACAGTTGAATATTATTCAGCCTTAAAAAAGAAGGAAATCCTGCAATATGTGACAGCATGGATGAACCTGGAGGACATTATGCTAAGTGAAATAGGCACAGAAGGACAGATACTGCATAATTCCACTTAGACGTAGTGTCTAAAATAGTCAAACTCACAGAAGCAGACAGTAGAATAGTGGGTGCCAGGAGCTGGGGGAACGGGAAATGGGAAGTTGCTGCTCAAGGAGTATAAATGTTCAGTTAAGCAAGTTGACTAAGTTCTAGAGACCTGCTGTGCAACATTTGCCTATGATGAATGATACTTTATCTACTTAAACATTGGTTGAAAGGTAGATCTCATGTGAAACATTCTTACTGCAATTTTTTTTTTTTTTGAGACAGAGTTTCAGTTTCACTATTGTCGCCCAGGCTGGAGTGCAATGGAGCGATCTCGGCTCACTGCAACCTCCACATCCCAGGTTCAAGCGATTCTCCTGTCTCAGCCCCGAGTAGGTGGGATTACAGGCGCATGCCACCGCGCTCGACTAATTTTTGTATTTTTAGTGGAGACGGGATTTCATCATATTGGTCAGGCTGGTCTCGAACTCCTGACCTCAGGTGATCCGCCCACCTCGGCCTCCCAAAGTGCTGGGATTACAGATGTGAGCCACCATGCCTGACCCTTACTGCAATTTTTTTAAAAGCTCATAAGCTAGAACAAGAGACGTAGGTAGGTGCATAGGTTAATCAATAGTGCTAATAGCAAATATTTATATAATCTGGATCCTGCATCAGGCACAGTTCTGAGTTTTTACCTGTATTAACTCACTTGACACTTGCAATGCTATTAATACTATGAAGGAAGTATCATTATCATCTCTGCTGTACAGAGGAGGAAACTGAGGCATAGAGGGGTTGAGTCATGGACTCACAATTGCTCTGCTGCTCACAGGAACAGAGCTGGGATGGGAGCCCAGGCAGGCAGCTCCAGAATCTGTGCTCCTAACCCCACACGGTGCTGTCCATCGGTGCACAGAACTGCCTTCCCTAACAGAGGTGTGCCCTGGGTAGCACAGAGGCTAGTGAGCGTGATCCACTCCATCAGAGGGAGGGGCATGGACATTTTCCTAGAGGAGTGATGCCTGCACAGACTCTCAATGATGAAGCTCTCCATCATCTCTGAAGACTAATGAAGCCAGCCATAAACATGCCATGGGAGGAACTGAGAGGGCCTCTGGCCAAGCAGGCTGCCCCTACCCCTGCCCCTGGGATCTCTACCTCCCCACCTGACCCTAGTAGGGTCTTCTTCCTCCCTCATGCAAGCTCCTGGAACTCTTGGTGTGTATCTCCTTCGCAGTGTGGACCACAATCAGCTTTGTCTCTGCTGCAGACTTGTCTTACCTCCCTCCAGTGGAGTCCTTGTTCCACCTCCCTTCACCTCTCTGACATCTCTAGCTCCCAGCACAGGCCTGGGATGTAGCTCGTGCTTGTGAAATACTTGTTGCACTGATACTAGTTTTCCACATATATCAGGGCTGGCCCTGGCTGGACCTGGAGATCAGCAAAATAAATTTGGCTGGCCTTCCTTCCTTCCTTCCTTCCTTCCTTCCTTCCTTCCTTCCTTCTTTCCTTCCTTCCTTCCTCCCCTTCCCTCTCCCCTCCCTCTCCCCTCCCCTTCCCTTCCCTTCCCTCCTTTCCTCCCTTCTCTCCCTCCCTCCCTCCCTCCTTCCCTCCTTCCCTTCCTTCTGCCTGCCTTTCTTCCCTCCACTTTTAGCAGGTATTTATTGAGTATCCATTGTATGTGGCAGGTGCAATGCAGCAGGACAGTCTCTATTCTGTGGGCACTCACAGTCTAGTCAAGGAGACAGACTAGCAAAAAGACAATTGTTGGTGAAATGCATTCTGACATGAGTCCAGGGAGCATAGGAGCACATGAAATCCACAGGCTTCCACAGGTGTGGAGGAAGTAATCAAGGAAGACTTCTGGGAAATGGCATCTAAACTGAGACTTGAATATTGAGTGTGCATGCATGTGCATATGTGTATGTGTGAGAGAAACAGGAAGAAAGAGAAAGACAGAGAGAGAGATGCATGTGTGTGTGTGAGCTAGGAAGCAAGAGGTTAAGGCCAGAGCTTTGAGGGAAAGAGGTAAGACCAGGTAGGAGATCCTGAGGGTCCTTGCAAGTTGCTCTAAAGGAATTTAGCATTTAACCCCAGAGGCCATGGGGAGCTATTAAAGGATTTTATTTGGGGAATGACGTGACCAGGTTTGTGTTCTAGAAAGATCCCCCTGGTGCACTATGGGGAACAAATTAGAGGGGGCATGGTGGTGGCAGATAAAAGCAGCTACAGAAATCCAGGTAAGACAAGGCTGTTAGCAGTAGGAGTGACAGGAAGGGACACATCTGCCAGATCTTGAGTCACTTGATTTTCCTTGGGGGTTGGGGGATCAGGAATGAGCCCTGAGTTTGGGTCATCTCATCCCTTCCATGGGGCCCCTCTCTTTCCTGCCACCATCCCCATCCTTATCCCATTGTTGTAACGGAAAGTCATGGAATTCTTGGGGGAACTCCATGAAATACTAAAGTTCTGGTTCCATCACAAGAACTGGGAACAATTTTCACTAGCAGAAAATGCACCCATACCATAAAATCATACACACACACACACACAGCCACCACACACACACACACACACACACACACACAGCCACCATAAAAAAATATGCTGCAAAACTCCGCAGAATTGGCTGGTTTTGATATTCCTCATTAATATTTGTTTGCTACTTGTACATTTCATTTTATTGCCTATGAGCACTCATTAGCAGTCAAGCAGTAGCAAGTGCCCAGAGCTTATGAAAAGCCAATGGGAGAAAACTAGAAGAATGAGATAATGATAAGTAATAACTTTGTCCTTTACTGCAAATTGGGAAGAGCTAGGTATTGGTTTAGTGTAGGAGTGAAACATCTCAGCACAGCCCTCAGAGCCCAGGGTCAGGGTTAGGATTAGGGTTAGCACTTTCATAGGTTTCTTCTGGTCAAGGCTGGAAAGCAATCTGATTAACTAGATCATGGTAAGGAATGAATGACCACCAGAGTAGCTTAATCCTGCCTGGAGGTACTAGCAGCTCGGCTTTAGAGATGGAGAGGAAGTAAGCTTTCCCAACTTCCTTCAAATGCTATAATCTGCCTGTAAACTCAGAGGATAATACAGATGTTAGTTTCTCTTGCGATAATAATATCATGAGGGGGGAGGGGCAGCTCGAGGATGAATCTTTTTCTCCAGGTTTGCAGCGGTAGCTTGAAGTAGTGTCTTGGGGTGGACTCTGACATCCCCTTCCACCACTATCCACTGTCACCTTCCGAAGCCACTCCAAATGAGCAAACATAAACTCTAGGTTAAAAGTGTGCTTATTCTACAAATGCAGCTTCAAGATAAGTCTTCTGTATGTTCCCACCCCTCACCAGAATACTGTCCCTGGGATCCTCCTCTGAGAACAGTTGGCAAAGCTGGTTGGTCCCCTTAGGGAGAAAAGGGCTGGCCTTCATATGGAATGCCTAGGGCTGAATAAACAATCAGATGGGGTTTCCTTCCTGACCTACTACTGCTGCCAAGTAAAGTGAACAGAAACGTCCACCACAGAAGGCCATTCTCCAGATGAGAAAACCAAGGATCAGAGAACAAAGACTTGGCTTGGATTACATATGCAGGAGGTTCCTGCACATCTGGCCACACCTACCCTTTCTGGCTCTTTGGGACATATGATGGAGACTGGAGGCTTCCAACTCTGAGCTGATGCACGGGTAATGGACAGGGGCAGCTCCACGTCAGTGAGACGTGATGCATTAAGATGCTGATACCATGGAAAAAACTGGGAGGTGTGAGCCCCTCCCCAGCCATCACACACAGGCCAAACATCTGGTCTGCACTAAGGGCACCTGCCAAATCTCGCCTGAGGCCATGAACTCCAGCCCAGGTGAGACGGTTCTGTTCCTTTGCAAGGGTGGCCCCTAGGCCTGGACAAGGCTGAGGTGAGAGTCCGGCTGGGGCTCAGCAGAAGCCTGTGAATGACTCCGGTTGTGCTCTCACACCAAGACAAAGAATAGCACTGGCATCTCCCACCTGAAGTTTCACAATGGTCTACTTAGCCTTTCTCACCCACAATCCCACACCAACTCAGGGAAGAAAGACCAGCTGTTTGTTTTCCTACTTGGCAGAGGAGGAAACTGAGGTTCAGAGTGGTCAAGTGACCTGCCCAGAGTCATACAGCAAGTGAATGAGAAAGGCAGAATTGAAACCCAAGACTCAACACTTTTTACCATCTTTGAATGAAACAGCTGACCCTAAGCAGGATGGGCACATAAGAGGCACCTCTCATGCTGTGAATGGCATCCCTGAATCAAGAACGCTTCGGGACATGCAGACATGCAGCTGGGCCCCTAACTGGTTGCCACTTATCAGCCGATGTCTCCTCACTCCTGCCACAAGCCTCTCCCAGTCACAGGGACAAGGGAATGATGGTTCCTTACAAGGAATAGCTGTCAAGAGGCAAGAGAACAGACATCTCTTTTTCCTGAATTATGTTAGAGCCCAGGAGGGATGTTCAATCTTCAAGGGCATGTGCGGACCTACCTAATGCAACAGCAATGGAATAACTAAGAATTCCCAGGACTTCCCACCTCCCAAAGCCCAAACTATTGTCTGTGCTGATGGTAACTGCTCGCTCCAAGATGAATGGGCAGAAGCTGGGATGAAAGGCCCAGACACATAGGACTGATAAAGCAAACAGGTTCAGTGTCCAGCATCCGTATGGAAACTCCATAAGAGGCAAGGGCCAACAGTCCTCTGTCCCTTCCTCCAGTGACCCCCAAAAGACAGGCAGGCACTATCAGATCTCCAGGATAGGCTCAACAATACTGGAAAACAGGTGTATTGTCCCCATTTTGCAGATGAGGACATAGTGGCTCAGAGAGATGAGTTGACCAGTCCCAGGGTCATTTTAAGACCCAAGCTGCATTACTTTTGGAAGCCTCCCCGACATTCTATAAAATTTATCCCTTGCTGAATGTAATATTTTGCTGGAAAACAACTATACATTTAAAAGATAATTTTGTTTTTGAAGTGATTTTCAGTGAGTAACCTGTAGTATGAATGATATGCTCTGATTTCTCAGCAGTCATTGTCTGCAATCAGGAACCTTGGCAAGGTGAGGCATGCTAACCCCCAAAAGGAGGGCTGTTTCTATAAAAACTAAATCATACAATTCATTATGCTTGAGTATATTAACTAAATATTAATTTTGATGAGCAGTTTTCATATTTTGAAACCAAACCTTTTTCTTTTCATGTCTCAAGCATTTTCATGAGCCCTCGAGAAGCCACATGGGCCCATGGTGTCTCCCGGGTAAATCAAACCCGGGATGGACCTGAGATTTGAACACAGGTCTACTTCCAAAACCAGGGCTCCTTCCTCAATGTCTGGCTGCCTCCAAGAGTCAAGGCACCATCTCTAAGTTGTAACAGGGAAACTACCAAATAGAACCAGCAGGCAAGCAGGCATGAAGGGGGCTGGAAGTGAGGCCCTTTGAGAAGCTGTTACAGATTTTGTAGATGTTTGATCATAAACAGCCATGGCAGTGGGTGACGTTTACACACCCGCTCATGTTAAGTCCCACAGTTACCTCCTTTTGAGCGTGGAGGGGTTAGGAAACTCCCAGTGTCACATAGATAGCAAGTGGCCTCACCACGATTTGAACTGGGGGAGTTGTGCTCTGGAGTCCAAAATCTTAACTGCTCTGGGATACTGGGACACTGGAGCAGAAGGATTTGGGGCAAGTCTGGAGAGGCCCAAGTGCAATACTGAGACATCTAGAACAATAGGAGAGAGGAGATCAGTTCTTTTGGGGAAGGTCAAAGATAGAGGACAGGTGTGGAGGCTGGCAGGTCTCAGCTGACTAGAGAGAAGAACTTTCTTAAAAAAGGCAGAGCTGTCGAACAATGGAGGGCTGCCCTACCCTGAGTGTTGAGTGCCTGGTGGCTGGCAGTCTGCAGGGAAAATGATGCCTCTGTGCTGGGCATGGGGGCAGGGGCTCTTGCTGTGGTAGAGGGCTGTACATATGGACTCCAGAGGGCGTAAGTGATAATCCTCTCTTCCTTTCTCAGAACCACCTTTCTACAGGCTTTGGTGTCTCAGCGCGGGAGGCACAGATGGCGAGGTCTGCCTTTGGCCAGGTGTGGGCGCCCAGTGTTGGGGGAGAAGACTGCAGGCACAGAAGACTGAACTCACAGGCAGGTCCGGAGATGCAGAGCTGGTGTTCACTGGGTTTTTCTATGTGCTAGTTACTGGAGCTTCACGTGTGTCATCTCCTTCTCTCCTCACACTCTCTGAGGGTGGACTTCCTCCCATCTCATAGATGAGAAAGAGCCTGGGGCCCAGAGAGGCTAAGCAGGGAACCTGGGGCTGCTTGGGATCCTAGGGCGATCTGACAGCCACCTCAGCTTCCCCACCACGAGGGATGAAGCCGGGAGGCAGCCCCTTCCTGTGCCTGACCCCTACCAGCTGGGAAATGTGGCCCAGGCAGGCAAGGCCTCTGGGGATCCCAAAGTGGCAGCAGGCAGTGGGAGCTGAGCAGAGAGGAGTAGGGGTGGGCTGGGGGGACACTGCCAGACGGAAATGAAAGTGGCCTTGAGAAAAAGGAACGAGGGAAGAAAAGCAGAAACTAAAACAAGTGACAAAGAAAACGAGAGTGTCCAGAGGAAGTGGCTGAGGGGCGCGGCGCCGCCGGAGGAATCCCCCGCAGACCGGTGTTTCCTCTCTTCTCAGAGGCCTCGGGGTGGAGGACTAGCTGACCAACTGCTCCGTCACTTTGGGCCAGAGGCAGCCCGGGTGACTTTGGCAAGCATGGCCTCATCCCGCCAGCCTAGGAAGGAGCACCAGACACAGAGCCCCAAGCCCTGGGCTGGAGTCGTAGTCAGCTACTTCCTGCTGGGTCATTCTGGGACATTTATTAGACCTCTCTAGTACCCAGTTTCCTATCTATAAAATGGGTATAACCATCCTGAGCCCACCACACTGCTGGAAGGATCTCCTGAGCAAATGCCCTCATCCAGGGCCTGACGGGTGCATGTTGGGGTAGGTGGGCTGTGCACACAGCGGCAGGGTGCACCTTCAGGATACCTGGGGAACAGACAGGGAGAGTATCCACCATCTTATTGTTGAACAAGAATGCATCAACGCTTGCTGGTCCTTAATCACCCTAGGCTTTGTCAGGCCTGGGAACAAAGGGCTGAATAAGGGCCAGTCTATTCCCAATTACAGACTCTGCATGCAACTCCAGTTCCTTATCCCAGCTCTCCTACTTGGTAGCTGTGCAACCTTGAGCAAGTGACTTGACCTCTCTGAGTATCTTTCTTCACCCATAAAGCTAGAACAATAAGCATATCTGTCTTCTAGGTTGCAAGGAATAAATGAGACCACACTCAATCCAAAGCCAGGCACAAATTCCTCAGCCCCAGCCCAGGGAGTGCCCAGCCTAGAGGGGAGCTGGAGTCCAAGGACATGAGCAGGCTGTAATGATAGACGGCACCCAGGCCTGGGGCACTCAGTGCTGGGCAGGGGATGCGGGGCTGGTTCTGCCAAGGCGACAGAGCAGGGGGAGTAAGGGGGGGTGAAATGTAATCCCAAGGGGACAGCATGAGCAAATGTGCAGGGGAGGGGCCAAAGGCGATATGCTTGGGATCTGCAGAGGGTGGATGAGGCCAGACTTGTTCTCAATCTACAGCCCCACTGACAGTTCTCAGACTGGCCCTGGAAGTGATACGGGCATGCCACTGGGGATGCTACAGTCAGCTCTTAATGCAGGGCTGGCTTCTAGGGTCAGCTTCTACAGCCAGACTTGCCTAGGCTGCAGTTTGTCTCCAGACAGACACGGGAATTCCCCCAAGGGGTGGGCATGGTTCTTGTGAACTGCTGTGGCCTGGGACTGGGCTTAGAGTACAGGCAGCTGCTGCGGTGAAGGTGTCAGAAGGCACAGGCTAGGGTCCCAGAGAGGTTTAGGAGGGGGTTTCTCTGCTGGGTGTTTGCTCAGTGCTGGATGGTGGGTGCTGAGGGCCTCATTTGCATAGGGAGAGCAGCTGCTGTCCCAGCCACACTGCTGCCCACAATCTCCACGTGGCTGCAATCTCGCTCTCAGTCACCATCTCCCACATGGACTAGGGGTTACCCAGGCTGCCTTGGCCACGTGCTTCCCCCAACACACAGCCATCCAGGAACAACCAGAAATCAGACTACTGTCTCCGCCACCCTCAGGGGTTCCATTCAGGGAGTCCACCTCCCAAGGTGGCTGTGGGAATAAAACGAGATCCTGGGGGAAGCAGAGAGCCCAGTGCACAGGGGTGATCAGTAACCGGCAGCCCCTTTCCCTGCCTTTCCCTCTACTTCCAACATTATGTTGTGAAGAACAGGGCAGACCTGGGCCCATGCTATCTCTCACCCTGGCTCTGTGACTTGAGGCAACTCACTCCAACTCTGTAAATCAACTGCTCATCTGCAAAACTGGCAAGAAACTGAGAAGGCACTGGTTCTCAGATTGGCAAAGCTCATCGTCACTGCCTCACTCCCTCAACTCTATGTCCAGGGACCACGGGTTTCCCAGGGTTCCCAAACTTGCTGTTGGCAAAGGGCCTGATATCCGTCACTGACCTTTTTATTCTGAATGGGTCCCCGTTGACTTTAAAGCTGGAATATTCTTAGAGGAATTCTAAACTCCTCCTTTCCAACTCCCTACTCATTTTACAGAAGGAGAAAGTGAAGAGAAGAGAGGGAGAAGGGCCCTGACCGAGGCCACCAGCTTGTAAGTAGCAGCCCTAGGCTTGGGACCAGGGCCTCCTGAAGGTGACAGTCCTTTCAGCCATGTGTCCTTGTTCCTCTAGTTACCTCCAATTAACTCTAGGTAACCCAGCCCAGTCTTTGATTCTGTGTTGAAAGGTGCGAGGTGCTGGAGCCGGGAAGAGGTGCGTTCTTGCTCTCGACAGGAAGTGTCATGTGAGTTTCCGGTTCCCTCTCCTCCACTACCACTCTGGATCCTCACACCAGCCCACAGAGGGAGACAGGAAGGGAGGCACAAAGGCAGGGCAGGGAATACTGTGCCTGTTTTCCAGATGAAGACACGAAGGCCAAGAGAGGGAAAGTGAGTCGGCCAAGGTCCTCCAGCTAGTCGGGGTTGAGCGTGTTTAACCTTAGGAAACGTGACTGCAGAGCAAGGGGCTTTCATCTTCCTGTGGGAATTCGCCCCCTTTCTCACAGGGGCCCTCAAGAGACTAGGCAGGCTCCTCCTGCAAAGGATTCCTCTTTGTCCATTTGAGAGGCCTCACCCCAGGCTCTAGGAGCTGACATGATTCAGCTCAAGGAAGACTCAGTATGAAGGGAGAACCAGGAACCTGGGCCTCTGCCCCTCACCTGTGGCCTTGAACAGGTCACTTCTCCCCTCAAGCCTTGGTGTCCTCCCCTGTAGAGCTGAGGGGGTGAGGAGTAGATGAGCTGATCCTTCAGTTTGCTGCCCTCTTTGACCCGGAAGTGCTGGGCCTGCACAACCCTGCATCCCTGGCACCAGTGCTCCTAGCCCCACCCTGCTCCAGATGCCCAGTGCCTGAAGAGCCAGCTCCCCATCAGCACTCAGTCCTGGGGCAGAGCCAGGCCTGGCAATGCTGGGGGAGACCCTGGAGGGGAACATCATGGGCCACCAGGGGCACGCTGCAAATGCAGCAACTAATGCACCAGGGGCGCCAGGGTGCAATCTATCTAAGCAGTTCTCTCACGCTCTTTGCACGTTAATAATGCATGGGCAGCCGGTGTGGGGGCCATCACAGGCCCAACGTCAGGTGGCATTAGGAGGCCTCTAATGGTCCTGATTATCCGGTGAAGGCTCCCAGTGGGATGTGGGCAGCATGGGCAGGAAGCCAGGATTCCGGGCACTTAGACCCCACAGGTGGGAGGCTGGGGGGTGGGGCAAGAGGACAGCTTCCATAGGCCAGGGTCCTATTCAGGGGATCTAATGGGACTAGCTGAGGCTTCCTGTGGGGGGTGAATTTGTTTGTGAAGAGGAGCAAGGACGCAACTCCCACAGCCAGATCACAAAGAAAGTGGGAAGTCAGAAACCCAGGGCTGAGTGAAACCTCTTAAAATCTCTCCTCTGTGGCGTCTCTGACCAGTGGCTCTGCAGCAAGTGCCTCTAGGGACAAGGAACTCACTACCTCCTAGAGTGACACATGCCCATTCTTTGAACAAGTGTGACTGCCGGGAAAAAGGTGTACTGCGTACAGCTGTCAAGAATGCAAATGCCACTGAGTGTTGGGGGCATGGGTAAGTTGGATAAAGGGGCTGATTTGAGAGACAGAGGTGCTGGGTTCTAATACTGAGGATTCTCCTTGTCCTCAGGCAGCTCCGGAGCCATCAACCTGGCCAGTCTTCACAGCCTACCCCAGTGGCAGACCCCCTGAATCCACCCCAGGGCCCCAGTAAGCCCCCGTGAACCTGTGAACTTTGCATTTCTATGCTCAACACTCAGGGTGAGCAGTCCAGAAAAAACAACCCATGCACAGCAGGTGCTGGGGGTAGTCAGGCTTCAAGATGCCTCCAAATGGTTCTCATCTCTGAGTATTCACACTGAATGGAACTGACCTATGTAACTAACAGGATGTCGTGGGAATGACAGGCATGACTTCCATGGCTAGGTCATAAAGAGATTGTGGCTTCTACCTTGCTCTCTCTTGGACCCCAGTTGCTGGAGGAAGCCATCTGCCATGTCAAACAGCCTATGGAGATGCCCATGTGGGGAAGAATGGAGGTCCCCTGCCAACAATCAGCTTTGACATGCCAAGCCTGTGAGGGAGCCATCTGGAAAGGGAGTCTTCCAGCCCCAATCAGGCCTTCAGATGACTGCAGCCCTGGCCAGCTCCTTGACTGCAACCTCATGACAGACCTTGAGCAAGAACTGCTCAGCTAAGCTGCTTCTGAATTCTTAACCTACAGAAATGTCTAATGCTTTAAGAAGCAAAGTATGGGGTAATTTACCACATGCAATAGATAACAAAACCATGTGCAATAAATACTGGTTAAACAAGTGAATGATTCCCCTGACCGAGTGTTTCTCTATGGAAGGGTCTGGCATGGAACCAGGCCCTCTGGGGCCTATGGGGGATGGAGAGGAAACAAAAGATGAGGACATGGTCCTCTAGGAAGGCTGTGGCATGTGGTGGGGAATGACAGGTGCAGACCAGAGGGAGCAGTGTGAGAGCTTTGGATGGGCTAGACTATGTGGGGAAGATGAGGAAGGAGTTCTGAGAGAGGGGACCACATGAGCCATGGTGCAGCTTGGGCCGGACGGGGAGCATCAGCAGAGGCGGGTTCTCCAGTGGCTCTCATCTTGACTGCTGTATCCCTAGCCTCCCTGAGACAGCTACTATTATCATCTCAATTTTGTGGATATGGAAACGGAGATTAAGCAACTCGCCCAGGGTCAAAACGCTGGGAAATGATGGAGCCAGGATTTGAACTGAGGAGACCATGGAACAGAAAACTAGCAGAGGGCGGTCTTAACAAGGCCCAAGGAGATGAGGCTCCCCAGCAGGGTGACTGAGGGGAGGGCACACAGGTGCTAGGGAAGGTGGCCAAGGAAAGGCCACTGGGGCTGGTACTATAGGAGCATAGAAAGGCAGGGGAAAGTAGCCTTGGGGTGGGGGGTGACAAAGGCCCTGCCTGAGTTGAGGACTACATGGCTTTGTACCCAAGCCACTCTTACCCCAGCTGGAGCCTCATGTCTCTCCCAGGATGCTCTTGCTGGGCTCTGTGCCTGGGCTGACCAACTCCCTTACACAGCTCTGCCTACTCCCCATCATACAGCACCTGGACCGCGACGCTCTATCCCCGAGGACAAGGCCTGCCTTCCCCCAACAGAACCCCAAACACTTCAAGCTACAGTCTCCAGAGACTCTCTTCTCCAGAGGGCCCTGCAGGGATCAGATGGGACTGGGGGTCGGTAGGAGGGCAGAGGACACCAGGTTTCAGTCCCCATGGGAGGCAGGAGCATCCCCAGCCTGCCTAGTCCCCAGGATCTGGTTCACCCATGTCCCTAGGACCCAGCCCTGGGCCTGGTACACAGCAGGTACTCAATACATGTGCATGGAATAAATAAACCAGCAGATGCAGAACTCCATCCTGCAAACACAAAGCAGTTCAGAGCACACTGGGAAATCACATGGAGGAAATGTTCTGGCCATGAATTTTCATGCTGGTCCCTGATAATCCAGGTCTTTTCTGTCATTGCCCCCAGGGACTGCTGGCATCTTCCCGGCTGCACTGGGCAACACTCCATATGGGGCTGTGCTGAGACATAGTGACAGAGTGGAGGGGGTGGGGAAGATGAGAACACAAGCAGGGGCAGAGCCAAGGGATGGGATGTCCTTGGATTCTGAAACCCGAGTGCTGACAGCCAATGTCCAACTCCCAGGTACCAAGTGGTAATTACTGTGAAAAGCAGACAGCTTGACAATGGAGGATGTAGATTTCACCCAAGGCCTTACCTTGAACCCTCCCCCAGTCACATCACAGGCCATAGGGCTTGTGGGAAGGGTCCTTAGTGGCCATCCAGCCTCTCCCTATATCCAAGAGGAAACTGAGGCCCGGCCAGGAGCCGAGACCCTCAAAGCTCACCTGAGAGTTGGTGGTGGAGTTAGAACTGGAAGCCAGAGCTCCCATCTCCTATTCTGTCGCTCACCAAACATGGCCTGGCTCTTGGGGCGTTGCCCTGGGAGACAAGCCTGTGCTCTGAGGGTCCACTGTGGCTGAGTGACTTAGGGGAATTGGTTCTGCAAAAGAAAGTGCCAGGCAGGGAAGCAGCAACCAAGGGACTGGAAAGAGGAAAGGGATGTGGGGAAGGCTCTGGGACAGGCCTCCCTGGCTCCTCACTCTCTTTGTCCCCCTGCCACCTTCTCAGAAGCACTCTCAGCATCCCAGGCCAGCCTCCAGCCCAGTCCTTCTCCCAGGCTGTTCCTCGGCTCTCAAGGCCTCAGCTCCTCCAGGTGTCCCACTCCTCTCAACCTCCAGCCCCTGCACAGAACTCACACTCCCCGCCCTCTCCCCCAGCACAAGCTCACAGTCCCCACTCCCTGGTCCATTCCCCTTCCTGCCTGGCTGCTGTGCAAGGTGCAACTCAGCCCTCACCCCCTCCTTGCTCTATTCTCCATGCCCCCAAATCTGCTGCTGTTCCCACCTCACCCCTCCTGGCCTCTCCAGTCAGTGAGCAGAGGCTGCACCCACCAGGCCTGGGGTGGGCTCTCTGAGGCTCATGTGCATTGCAGCTGTCTCTGCTGCACTGAGTGGATGGTGCCTTTGGCTTCAGAGCCCCCTGCATCTGAATTGAGTTGCTGCCACCTATTCTAGCTGTGTGGCCTTGGCCAGCCAGTAAACCTCTCTTTTCATCTGAAAAACGGAGCAGACACCTTCTGCACAGGTTAACTAAAGAACCAGCTGGCACGCACATGGCCCAGCGTTTGGCCCAGGGAAGGCGAGAGATAGACATACATTCAGTGACTGGACTAACTCGGCAAATGTTTCCAGCCACCCCCTCCCATGCCCAGGGTCCAGGCTGGTGTTGAACATAGTCAATGGCCACTAAGCATTTCACTGACTGATTCATTCTTGCTGCTGAAAGGTGTTCAGCCAAGGAGCGATGGGCCACTGGGTGATTTAGAAAGGCCCTTTGGGCTGCCATGGCGGAGGGCAGTCTGGGAAGGAGGGGACAGAAGCCAAGAGACCAGAGAGGAGGTGACTGCAGCTCTGTAAAGGAGTGGAGGGCTGGGCAGGTGGGTTGGGCAGTAGGAAGTCCAGCCAGAGACTCAGGAGCAGGACCCACAGCAGCCAGCCCCGGGGCAGGACGGCAGTTGAGGACTGGGGCAGAATAGAGGAAAATATCCACCAACGTGGGTGGCTGCTTGATGCCATTGGGTGAGACATGATCTAAAGAGGAAAGGCAGGTTTAGGGCTGTTGTCTGCAGCAGTGAAAATGATGAAATGAGGAATTGGGTTTTGCAGTGTTAAGAGAGTGCTTACAGGGTATTCAGGGTGTTGTCTGTGGGGTACAATGTTTGCGACACCAAACACATCCCTTCTTCAGTGCCAAGATAGTGCCCCACCAACATGCTCTGCAACAGCAAATCATTTGCCAGTACCATGACTTTTTTCAAGTAATTTATGTGCTTCAACACATTTGTCTTCAACAACCCTTTGCAGAAGGCACTATAATTATCATCTCCATTTCACAGATAAGAAACCTGAGGCTCAGAGAGGTGGAATCATCTTGCCCAACAAATTATCAACAAAGCAGAAATTGGAGTCAGTTGCAAATAATTTCTATTGAGTGCCTGCTGTTTGGGAGATCTCTTCCTACGTAAGGGCACGTAGAACCATGTCTAGCACACAGCATGCATATTAACACTTGCTCTGATGGTGACGATGGTGAAGAAGATGATGACGATGAAGGTGACAGGGATGAGGATGCACTTCTCACATCTGATTGAATCCATTTGACAATTCTAGGAGGAGGGCATGAGTCCCCCTTGTCTGTGGGGAAAATGAGCCACAACAGTGTGGGAGTTTGTGGCAGTATGAGGGCTGAGCTCAGGTCACAGAGGTCAGTGTCACCCAGAGCTCATTCACTGCTCTAAAATAGAACCATCCAGGCTCTGCTCACTCCCTTCCCCCAAATTAGCAACTTTCTACCACTCTGCCTTTCTCCCCTATGGCTGGCAGGCTGGAGATATGTCTCCAGCCTGGAGATTTGGGACTCAGGCATTGCTGGGGAATTAAACCCTGCTCTCCTCCTCCGTCAGCACAGGCAAACTCCATGACAGGCGGATGGAGGATGTCTGCCTGCTCCCTGGCCACCCACGTGCTATCTAAATTCACTGCCAGACAAAGCCGCCTCTCGATCTTGGCGCCTCCCTCCCTCCCTGCCATTCATGCACTGAGAGATTGCATTTCCAGTAAGTGGAGGCTGGAGAGAGAAGGAAGCAAGCAGGAGGGTGGGGGCTCTGGGGGAAGAAGGAAGAGGAGAGAAAAAGGCAAGAACACTGAATCAGGCCCAAGAGTTAGCCCCACCATCAAAGTGACAACCCATTAAAAAAATGATTTGTGGGTGTGCAGGGGAGACACCACCTCTGAAGAGCCACCTTTTCCATGCTCAATGAGGCAGCATCTGCAGCCAGTGCCCGCCCAGGGTGTCTGGGAGCCGATGGTTATCACAACAGCCCTTCACGCTCCCACTTAGGAAGGAATCTCGAGAGTTCCAATGTTCTGATCCCTCCCCACTTTTAGAAGCAAGGAGTGCCCGGGCTTCATGCCTCCATGGCATTCGTTCTGGGGGAAACCTGAACGAATTTCCAATTGCATCCCCCGTGGTGTTCAGATCTCTCCCTCCTGCAGAGCCTTGGCAGGTGCATTCTCTGTCCATAAGAAAACAGACCAAGCTCCTTTGACAAGCTACAGATGCTCAGCTCCCCGTGGAAGGGGTTGAGGGGCCAAGAAGGGTGGGTCCTGGGGCCCTGACAAGGCTTCCTGGCTTTGGGAGAAGGAAGGTAGGGCCACTGCTCCCCCAGCTCCTTCTGCCACAGAAAACAGCCTCCCCAGGTAACCTAAGCAGGGGTCTTGAGAAAAGTAGCCATCCTGGGTCCTGGCTGTCTTGTCTGTTAACTGAGAGGGCTGCACCACATGCCACCCTTCCATGCCCCAGATGCAGGATGAGCATTCACTGTGGGCAGATGCAGGCCAAGGAACCAGGGCGTGCATTTCTGGCTTCCCTCCGCAAACTTTCACTGCCTTCCAGACTCTGTACTGGATGCCTGGGGATTAAGGCACAAGGATGATCACATGTGTGTCCTTGGGTGGCTCAGAGTCCCAAGGAAGAAACAGATGGAGAGCAGAGGCCCCATCATGACCGGGGCAGGATGGTGGCCTGTCAGAGGGATGTGGCCTGAAGGAAGTGTTGAAGGACCAGGAGGAGTTCTGGCTCTTTTTCTACCCAGAGAAGCTGACACGGTTGGCCAGGGCACTATAGTCACTCCAGGGCTGACTCTTCAGGCTCCAGCCACCACCTACCCCTTCTTAGACCCTGGTGCCTACTACTCCTGCCCCACCTCCAGGCACCAGCCACAAATAATGTTCGAGGTCTTCTCCGCCCTTTCCTTTATCTGCTGAGAAACATGGCTCCCCTCGTTCCCCGCTCACCAGTGGGAGTGCCCACTCATGAACATAGACTTTTGGATCTAATTGGCCAGGGTTTGAAGACCAGCTGAGCCACTTACAAGCTACGTGGGCTCAGAAAAGCTGCTTAACGTATCTCAGCCTGGTTTCCTCATCTGCAAACTGGGATGAATAGTACTACTGGCAGGGTTGTCTGGGGGACTGATTAAGATACTGTGTGTGTAAGCAGGCACTTGACCGATACTCTTGCCGTTCCCACTGCCCACAGTGCCTCCAACCCCTGCAGTCCCATTTTTTTGTGTCTGGCTGTGGTCAACCGTCATATCTGAGATGAGACCTCTATCTCTGCCATGAAGGGTCCCTGACTCTCCAAGACTACAGGTTCAAAGGATCTGCTTCCCCAAAAGGCTGAGCATACCCCTGTCATTGGGTTTAGTGTCCTGGGCTACCATGGCCCATTGAATCATCTGTTGTCCCACCAGCTGCTAAACACCTGAAAAAGAGTCTTATTTGCAGTAACTCATTTGCTCCTTAGCATCCTTGGTTTACAGATGAAGGAATAAAGGCTCAGAGAAGAGAAATGACTTATCAAGGTCACGTGGTTAATTAAATAGAAGGTGGGGCGGGGAACTCAGTCTGGCACTTTATGTAAGAACTGTGTTTTAATAAGGGTCATCAACCCAAGGCCTTGGTGATGATGAGGACCTCAGGCTCATGACAAAACTGGGCAGGGAGATATATTTGGAAAGGGAGATTTTAATGTGGAAACGGCTTACAGATTTGTGAGGCTCTGAGGCCCTAAAATACAGCAGGTGTCACTTAACCTGTTCTGGCACATCCTACTTGCCAGGCCCTGTGCTGGGGCCTTTGCTGTACCTGTTCTGTTCTGTGTCACTGAAATTCTGAAGAAGGATATGGATCCATGCCATGTCTATAGAGGACCATGAAGCTCAGCCATGTGATCTGTCCAAGGCCAGAGCTGGTAGCACTGAAACTCAAATTCAGCATTGGCCACCTCTGGGAGGGCAGGGTCCTCTTCCATCCTGCTCTGGCCAGTGGGAGGGACACCCCATGTGGAGAAGGCCTGCCCCAGGCCTTGGCCTCTAGGAAGGACGAGCGGGAAGCAGCGTCCCCAGAGACATATAGACAAGCAGCTGGGTCTCACAAACTCTGGCCAAGCCCTTGTACTGCGCAGAAATCGCAGGCACTGTCGCTGAACCAGTCCTCAGAAATCAGTAAAGCCCTGGGTTTCTCAATCCAGGTGGCGGCCTCAGCACGGAGCCATGGGGTAGCGGGGCATCTTCTCAGACCATCAATTCTACTTGGAGATGTAGGGAAGAAAACAATTTAAAAATTCCTAAAGTAAGTTCTGATACATGCTATAGCATAAGAATGTTTAAAACTCAAAGAAATTCATTGACTCTTCTCTGTGGAAAAGCTTAAGAAGTTTTGAGTTAATCCAACCCTCCCACAAAGCAGAAAGATAGTAGAGTCTGAGGCATCAGGTGACTTGCTCAAGTTCCCATGATCCATCAGCTCACAGGACCTGGACTCAGGCTTGGAAACCAGCGGCTTTGTGGTCAGGAAGCCCTGGATTCCAGTCCAAGCTCTGCTGCTGTGTAACTGTGCTGTTTTGGCTTGATCAATTCCTTTCTCCATGCCTTAGCTTCTTCACCAGTAAAATGGGGCAGCTGTCTTGGCAGCTATAGGGATTCCTGGGCCCACCATAAATGCCCGCCTCCCTGTCTGCCTCTTTCCCTACAAACAGGGTAAAGAAACCTATGGAGAGAAAACTCCCACATCAGCACTCACATCCCCAAGAGGGTAGATTCTAAAATCTTTTCTCCGTTGGTAATGAACCATGGCGCCATTAGACCACAACATTTCACGTAGTTTCTGAAATCATCATCCATATGAAGATATTGTGCTTGGAATCATCTCACAGTCACCGGAAGGCTGAATTCCCTCGGCCACCCACTGCTTTTTGCGGAGGAAACAGAAATGTCTGAAAATAGAACGTGAATCGATGCCCCCGACTTGCTGCCGCAAAGTGTGGCAAAGCCCAAGGAGCCCGCGCCGCCTCTGCCCCTGCATGGCCCCAGACGGCTGGGGGTTTCCGGGCAGCCTGGAGTAGGATTTCAACATCTCAAGCTGGAGGTCACGTGCACAGAGCAGCCGGTGGCAAACGGGGAACTCCAGGAAGCCAGGCTGTTTCAGAGAAGTACTTGGAGCTGGGGGGCATTTAGGCAGGAGCCGAGTGAGGTCAGAGGGTCGGTGGCAGCCGTAGGCCTAACTTGCCAGAGAGGGAGGCCCAGTCTCAGTGGGTCACTCCTTCCAGGAGCAGAGGAACAGCGTGACAGCCCAGTGGCGGCCAAGTGACCGCCCACAGAGCACTGGGCACCCACAACTCTCTTTGCAGATGGGAACACCGAGACTCAGGGAGGGTGAGTAATGTGCCCCCAGGAGTTACCCAGCTCAGCAGAGAAAAAATTGGGGTTGCCCCCACCCCCTCTGCCTCTCTTGGAAGGAAGTCTTGGCTTCCTCAGGCGCTCCTTCCACTCCACCCACTGTACCCACCCACCTAACATCTACCAAGCATGTCTCAACCCCAGACTCCCAGTATCATCTTGTCTGCTTCCAGATAACCCTGTAAGACAGGCAGGGTAATCATGCCCACTTCACAGATGAGAAAAACTGAGGCTCTCAGAGACCATGTGACTTGTTTAAGGCAGAGGCTCAAGTCCAGGCTGTCTGGCCCACCTCCCCAGTGTGCTTCAGAAGAGAGCACTAGTAACAGCACAGTGGCCATGACATTCCTACATGACAGCATCTCAGCATTTCCAAAGTGTTTTCACTGCCACCCTAGCACCCAGCCACAAACAGCCCTTTCCTACCCACAACCACGGCATAACCAGGAAGTTGTCTATCCCCATTTTAGAGATGAGAAAATGGGATGAGAGGGTTGAAGTAACTTGCCCAAAGTCACACAGCTAAGAAGTGGCAGATCCAGGACTCAAACCTAAGTCCTCCAGGTCTCCCCATACTCAACCTACCCATCCACATTGCTGGCCAGTGGACGGGATGAAGATGTGGGCGCTGGCAATGGTGTGGCCACTGCCTCCCCGGCCACCACCAATGCTCTGGGCCCTAAGGCCCTGCACCCCTTTTCTCTGATGACCACTCAGTCTCCAAGGCCATCCTGAAAGCAGCTTATTGCAAGACCTGCTGGAGGCTGGGCAGCCAGAGAGTGGATGAGTTAATGTAGGTGGGACAGGACACCCCTGGCTTCTCTGCCGCTCTTCTATTGCCTATACACAGCTGCACCATGCAAACCTGGTGTGATTGGGCGAGGAGGGAACAGACACTGGGAAGCCCAAAGGTTCTGGAATGACATTGCCTGCTTTTCTCTCCAGTGCTGTCAGGGCAAGCCCATGACAGCAGTTTTGGGTGCAAAGAGTGGGGAAGAAGGTAAAAACTGCCATATACAGAGAGGCTGGCTCTGGGGCATGTGTCCTTCATATTTATTCTACAAACGTTTAATAAACACCCACCACTACACAGGCCCTGGCTAGGAGCTCTCACACTTCCTCCTTCACTCATCCTGACAACCAACGTGTGGGGGGACCCCACTCTGTGCCCCACCACCATGGCAGACAGGCAAGCAAAATGGGAACAGGAGCACTGCACAAGGAGTCTGCAGTCATGGGTACCAGCCCTGGCTCTACCATTCATCCACAGATGTGTGACCCAAGCAACCCCCTGCCCTCAGTGGGCAGAAGCATGGCTGGGGAGGACAGCCAGGCCTATACGAGGCAGGGAGGAACAGGGACAGCTGGCAGGGGGTGGGGGCTCAGTTTCCTGTGTCTGGCCAGAGGCTGGTGCTTTTCTGTCCTCTCATCAGACCTACCCAGAGACGGTAGGGCAGGAAGAGAACGATTTCCTGGACTCCTACCATGTGCCAGCCCTGGCCAAACATTTTCACATGTGGTATCTTGTCTAATTTCTGTAACATCCAAGTGAGGCAAAAACAGGCTCAGAGAAGGGAAATGACTTGCCCCAGATCACACAGCTAGAGCAGGGAGGAACTGCAAGAGGATAGAAACACAGATCTGTTTGCTTTCAAAAAAGGAGGGGAAGCTTCCCCTTCCTTTTTCTTCTCCCGGGTCCCCTAGCACCTTTGTCTTCCTCCTCCGCTTAGCTAGAATGTGTTAGCACTGGAGGAGCAATGGAACCAAGAGGCAGGTGTGGAGGAACTCATCTGCTTCCCACCTTTGCATTCTCCTAGCAGGGCCGGGGTCCCAAGCTGTCTTTCCATGGTGGGAGTGGGAGGTGCTCTCCTGCGGAGTCCTGACCCATCCCCACTCTCCCACCCACCCTATCTCAGTGACTAATGGGCCGTGCCGCTGACTAAGCTGCCCTCGCAGGGTGCACAGTGGAAACAAACCCAGGTTCCTTCCTCTCTAATCCTCACCCCCATCCTTGGCCTGGGGTCTCTAGCCAGGCCCTGTGTTACACAGAGAGGTAGCCCATGATACAGGTGAGTCACGCTGAGGCTGCAGCCACCTGGATCTGCTGCCTAAAGAAGTGCTGCCCTATCCATCTGATTTCCCATGGGGCGTCGGGATGAGAAGGGGCTGTGGAAACGAACAGCCTGAATTTTCATTTCTGGCTCAACCACTGATTGTGTGACCTTGTGTCTGCTGCTTCACCTATTGGAGCAGCCTAAACATCCCGATTTGTCAAACACAGGGCTGTTTTGAAAACTAGAAGCCATCCTATCTGTAGGATGCCAGAAACATAGTAGGTACTCAGCAAATCTGAGCTTTTCCCTTCAACTGTCTAAGATAGACTGAGGGCTGAAGGCCAAGGCATTTGTTTACATTGATTGTCCAATGAAATGAAATGTTTTCCTATTCCTGACTTGATTTGTGGCAAGATAATGCTTTTTAGAATTGATTCTGACTTGTAGTTTAGCCCTGAATTCTACACCATTGTGAATTGGACCCTGAATATATCCAGCCTCTACAGCCAGAAGTTCGAGGTGGGGCTGGTACCAAATCTTATCCACCCAACCATCTGTCCATCCATCCATCCACCCATCCACCTGTCCATCCATACGCTCATCTTTTCTTCCATTCTGCCATCTATCTGTCCAACCGTCTATCCATCCATCTGTCCATTATTCCATCCACCCATCCTTTCATTCATCCACTCATCCACTCAATGATTGAATCCCCAGCATATGCCAGCCACAGCAAGGGCTCCAAACAAAAAAGAGCTTCAACAGCTTCCGCATACTCTGCTGCTGTTGACTCAGACACACATCACAGGCAGCTAATAATTACTTTTCCATTGGTCGGATGTGGAGAGGAAGAGCACTGCCTCCCTCCCAGCATCTGGCTTGCTCGACATTGCCTTTCTCTGTTCCACATGCAAGTCTCCCAGTGACTATCTTTCTCGTGAATACTTATTCCTTGATGAACAGGGTATTCCCCATAAGAGCAGAGGTTTTCACTAAGGTACATATCCCTAATGTGCACATGTATATACTGCCTGCCTCATAGTTCTAATGGGGATTTAGGGCCTGTGTGGGGCTTGCAGTTGATTGTACTGTGTCTATCTGCCCACTGGGTCAGCATAAGGCTTTACACACAGGACACACTTCCCACTTTAGCTTCTCTCCCTCTGTCGCATCATCTTGATCCATTTTCACCATCACTCCCCTCACTGTCTAGAATTTGCAGTCTGTGTTGGTTTGAGAATCTGTGTAACAGGGGAGTGAGGAGTGCAGTCTCTAAAGCTGGGCCCCTAGGTTTCATATCCATCACTCTAACTGTGTGGTGTGGAACGAGTTGCTAAACATCTCTGTGTCTGTTTCACATCTGTAAAATGGGGATCGTAACAGAACTAATTTCATGGGGCTGTTGTGAGGATTAAATGAGATCATGTTGTTTTTCTAATGGTGGGCAATACCACATCATGAGGGGGCATTTTTAACTGTAAGTGGATATTAGGGGATGTTCCAAAGGCTGCGGTGGGGTATGGGGTATGGGGTATGGGGTATGGGTATGCCACTGACAGCATGAGGCAGGAACCAGAGGTGCTAAATCTTGCAACATGCCACACAGCCTGCACAACAAAAAACTTTCCCCTCAAAATACTAACTGCACCCCTAGTGAGAACTCCTGTGAAAAGGGCCTCAGCAGGGCCTGGTACAAGGTAGACACCCACCAACTGTGAGCTTGCCACCACGTAAGCTTTGTAAGTAAAGGAAAGAACCTTGTCTGTCTCTTTCAGTGCTACCAAATCCCCAGCACTTAGGACAGAGCCTGACATCTGGCAGACACTAGGTGAATGAATGAATGAATGAATGTTACATGTTCAGTCAATGACTGGTGAGTAGCTGTTTGGTGAAACATGTCAAATTTAATCACTACTAGTGTTTGCTATGCAGCTCCAAACCACAGGATAAGGAGATGGTGGGGGAACAGCTGCCCCTTTCTGAATGTCCCGTCCTATCCTTCCTTCAAGGCCTGAGACCCCTGGAGATGACGCTCAGGGACTCGTCATTTGTCCTTCACTGGTGAATACTATCTGACTCATAAAAGCTTCTCTCTTCTCCATGACTAGAATGTGGGGGTAGGATCTGCCTCTCTTCCCTCTCTGGTCCTGGGTATAGGGGACTTGGTCCCTAGCAGGCTCAGTAGACTTGTGAGTGGTTGCATTGAATGCCGGCCATCAGGCACCTTTGCGTAAATGTGGGCAAACCTGGTCAAGCAGAGTAATTGGGAAATGGAAGGGAAATGGGGGAGGGAGGGACTCCCTGGATATTCTGAGAAGAGGATTCACCAGAAATCTCGATTTCTACCCGTGTCAAAAATTCTTCCATCCTTAGGCACCTCCCCTCCTTGGTAACACATAGAATCTTTCCCTTCTGACTTGAGTTCAGAAGCCAGCCAGCATTTTTTTGTTTTTTTTTTGAGACGGAGTCTCACTCTGTCGCCGATGCTGGAGTGCAGTGATGCGATCTTGACTCACTGCAACCTCCGCCTCCAGGTTCAAGCGATTCTCCTGCCTCAACCTCCCAAGTAGCTGGGACTACAGGCGCCTGCCACCACGCCCGGCTAATTTTTTTGTATTTTTAGTAGAGATGGGGTTTCACCATGTTAGCCAGGATGGTCTCGATCTCCTGACCTCGTGATCCACCCACCTCAGCCTCCCAAAGTGCTGGGATTACAGGTGTGAGCCATCACGCCTGGCCCAGCCAGCCTTTTAAAATTTATGTCACTGAACTTTTGCTAAGTGCCTACTGCATGCAGTGGAAGAGCTGAATCAAACTAGTTCCTGCATGCTGGAGGTGCCAGTCTTTGGCGGGTGCCAGTCTTTGGCCATGATCAGGGTGTGCTGGCCAGATGGGAGACTTAGGAGTTTATGTCAAATGGGGTTGAGTTCCTGATACTCCTCAGAAGCTATGTTTTGGTATTTAATGTCTAACGGAAGCTCATGTTCTTGCTGGATTTTCTTGTTTGATTTGCTTTTGTTTTTCTGAAAATTCTACTCAGTCGATGTATTGATCAGTGAGATTGCGGCTAAGCGTGGTTTTATAGGGTGGGCTCATTCAAGGGGTGAACAAGAAGACAGTTCACCTTCTCATGGAACTTACATTCCAACACATACATATCTAACATATTACATTCCAACACATACATATCTAACATATTACATTCCAACACATACATATCTAACCTGCCAGGTGCTTCCAAGTGCTGAGAAGCAAACCAAGCCATGTTTGAGGATAACAGGAGTAGAAGGCAGGGGGCAGGGGGAAGGGTGGGAGAGGAAGGTCTCTGATTAGGTGCCATGTGAACAGAGGCTGAGGAAGTCAAGAAGCCAGTGGCGTGGATCTCAGAAGAGCTTGGATGTCAGCCAGTCTCAGGATTGTGGTTCTGGAAGGTGTAAGCTCCAGCCAGAACCTGGGGGTCCCAGCACTATCAAGGGAGAGAGATGGTTCCTTTCCCTCAGTTTCTTCTCTCTGGACTTTGGGCCCAAATGACTCAGAGATGGTGACTTTCTCTAACCCTCTCAAAACCCATACTCAAGACATTTCCCCTTTCTCTAACCTAAGTCTGCCGTGTCCTTTCTCACCCCACTGGGCAGGTGGAGCACAGGAGGTCACTGCCCCCACAGATCACATGGTGAAAAAGCAGCCCTAAGGTGGGAGGATGCTGAAAGATGTCCCTCAGGGAACTCCAGGGACATCCCCAAAGCAGTCCCCATAAGCCAAAAGGGCTTTAGTCTCCTGTTTGATCGTTAAAAGCCATGCATGTATAAAATTCTGCTTTGCAATCTATGCATGTATCTACCCATGTGGTAAAATATACATGTATTCAATTATTCACCTGAAAGATGGGCCAGGTCTACACTGAAGATCCACTAGGCCTCCAACACTCTGCTCTGACCCTGGAGACAAGGGCATCCACAGTCGAGAGCACAGGGCAGAGGAGACCCCTGGAATTCTAATCGTGACTTGCTATAGACATACCACGTGTCTTTCCTCGACAGAGGGAGGGGTCCCTGTGGCTCTTGGGCCCCCTTTCCAGGCAGCTGATGTCTCTGAGGACCCCAGTGAAGGGCAGGATGACGTGGATGATAAAAGCCTGAATTAGAGCAGGGTTGTGGGGGTGGGAATATGGGAGGAATGTTCTGGCCAGAGGCTCTCCTCTTTCCACCGGAGGGAATATAACACATCCCCTGAGAAAGCAGATGCGGCTGTTTCACAGGCCTCCTTGCTGAGGCTTCAGGGCCTGTCAGTGAATCCTAGCAGATCTGGTCCCTACCATGATGCCTGGCATCAAGAATCCTCAATCAGTATCTGTTAAATGAATAAATGAAGGAATGGTCAACGAATGAATGGCTAAGTCACAAAGCACCAGCAGCCAGCCCCTGGCTGAGATGATTCTGGGGCACTTCTGGCCCTAATCATGCATTGGCAGTGCCTCCACCACCCTTTTGTTCCACTCTGAAGCAATCATTTGATGGACTGCCTGCTGCCCCCATGGTTTCCCTCTGTGGCTAATGCAGTAAAAAGAGCCATAGATTATAAACCACTAATTGTATTTAGAGAAAAAAAAATCTTGCCATAATAATGGGTACCAAATGACTGGGTCTCTGCTAATCACCTCGCATTTATTATCTGTTTACTTCTCACACCAACTTTCCATCAACCCCGTTTGCTTCAGATTAGAAACCAAGGGCTTCAAAAGGTGACATGTTTGCTGGGGAAATGGGACTGGCTGTGAAGTCCTCTCTCTTCTTTGCTTGGCACAGGAAGAAAGAGCATTGGGGACTTGCTCCCCTCCCCATTTCAACTTCCCAGTCACATTCCTTCCAATAAGAAGAATCTAAGGCACTTAAATGCTATTTATTTATGCCTATGAGCATGGGGTGCAAGAGCTTCTGTCCAGGGAAGCTATGCATGGGGATGGCAGGTCCCAATTGGGCTTCGGTGGCTCCTGACTCAAGGCACTTGTTTCTAGGCTGCTGTAACCTATGAGTGGTCTGGTGTGGGGAGACACATGGCATGGGGCAATGGCACTTAGCTAAGCCAAACTGCCCAGGTCTGCAGCAGACACTGTTGGAGCTTGGCCCCTTCCCCTGTCTCTTGTCATTTCCTTGCACTCCAGCCTGACCTCTTGGCCTCAATTTTGCATGCACAGAGGACTGGAAGTTCTTGGGAATTAATGGCTGCCACTATCACTATCTCAGCCGTGGGCCAGCCCTCAGGTAACGGCTGCTGGGTGCAGGGTATAAATGCCCTGGTTCCCTCGCAGGTGCACAGAGTAGAGAATGAGCAAGTCAGGAGGGCCAGCATGTGACCTGGTGTAACAGCATCACCCCCGGCTCGAGGATCCATGGGTCAGGGAGCATGAAATCACCCTGGGGTCCTACAAAGTGGGCACTATGACTCCCATTTTGCAGATGAGGAAACTGAGGATTCCCACCTGTGAGAGGCAGCAGCAGGATAGGAATTCAGGCCTGTCAGATTTAAAGGCCAAACACCTGCTGCAGGAGAGAGGCAGGGGAGAGGGTAAGAAGCTAAGTGCCAATAGGCAGACCTCAGGGCTAGGAAGAAGGGCAGTGAGGGTGAGGGGTGGTACGCTGGGCCAGCACAGGCATTTTATTCTGAGAACATGTTGGGGCTGGTCAGTACCTAGAGAGGAGTGCTGCAGGACACCCCCAGCTCCCAACTGATCCTGCCAGTTCTTGCCATGCACCCATGGCAGTGCCAGTCACCCAGGACCCAATCTGGCAGCTGCCTACCTCCAAAGCTACTGGCAACTCTCACCTGCATTTCTGGCAGGGGGATGAGGAAAGTGGAAAGAATCCATTTTTTCCTGATTATAAAAATAGTACATACTGTGAAAATTTCAGAAAGTATAAAAAGAAAATAAAAATGACTTATGATCCCATCCTAGAGATCACCACCATTCACATGTGAGTGTCCTTCTGGTAGACCTTTTTCTAGACACATATGCAGTTTGATTTTAGTTTTTACATCTATCAGCTATACTACTTTTTTCTTTTATTGATATATTATCTGTATCTTTCAAGTCATTGAATATACACCTATGTCACCATCTTTAATAGCTGCATAGTATTGTGTTGTGTAGATGGCTCCCATTTTATGTAAATCAACCTTACTGATAGACTATTGCTGGTTTTACAGTAAACAATGCTGCTATGAGCATCTTTAAAATAGTGTCTTTCTGGGGTCAATTAAGAACATGGATCAAAAGGCTTAAAAGGATACCATTCCCTTTGACCCAGTGATTCCACTCGGAAGCACTTGATGGTCTTAAGGCAGTAATCAGATGGAAGAAGGCCACCAGCACGGATGATCCAGAGAATCCAGAGAATAGGAACCAGACAGCAATGGAAGGATCCCCCATTCTTGAGTTAAGGCCAGGGCAGGCACATGGTTCATATATAAACATTATATGTCTTTCAGTCTTGAGTGCCTGGTGTGGACTAAGCACCTAATAAATGAAAGGTGAGACTGGTCACAAATGCAAGGTGGGAAGCCCGTCAGAAGTCACGGCAGGGCCTTTCCACAAGCTGGATTGGTGCTACAACCCTGGAATACTGGCTTTAGGTTCCTCTGGGTGAGGAACTTGTCCCTCTCTTGTCCACCCTTGTTACTTTCCCTCAGCTTCAGGGAGAGTAAATGAAGAAGCCAGGGGCTAGGAAGGTGACCAGAAACCCTAGTTTCATGGAACAATGACATACCAAAGCCACACATATCTTTGTTCTGTTCATGACCATGGAGAGGTCATTTCCTCATCTCTGCCCCACCTCCTTCAACTATTGAATGGGAAACTGTGGTCCACTCACCTGCACAAAGCAATCAGGGGGCAGCGCTGTGAACAGAGACTTTAGAGTAACATCATCATGACTGTCATCACCATCATGGCAACAATAAGGGCGGTTAACATTTACTGAGCACTTGTCACCTGCCAGGTACTGTTCTAAGTGCTTAGGCTATGCTAATCTTCATGCTAGCTCTATGGCGTTGATACTATCACAGTCACCATTGCATGATGGAGGCAGGAGGCTCAGAGAGGTCACCCAGCTGGCTTGCTGAATTGTTGGGGTCTGAACTTAGCAGCCTTCTTCTAAGACACAGATATTGGTCAGAATGCCACAGACCCCCTGCCGCCCACCAGCGGGGTCCTTCAGGCTTCTTATTTGGCCTCTTTGAGGCTTGAGTTTCCTTGTCTGTAAAATGGGGATACCACTTTCCATCTCATTGGCTTTGAGGACTCTCAGGGGAGCAGTGCACACAGGAGGACCACCACTCAGCTGGGCTCAGAGTGTGTGTGCCTTCCGCAAGCATCTGAGACAGGTGCCACAAATGAGGGCTGCTTGCTGCCCACACAAAGATGATCTGCCCCCAGTCAATATACACTTGTCTCTCTCTTGTCCACCCTGTTAGAGACAGAACAAGGGGTCTCTATTTTCAGTCATGACAGGGATTCCTTCTAACCCTCCAATAGGCTGCAGACAGTGAATGTCACCCACTAGAAGGTATAAAGGCATAAAAAGGTATGATGGGTGTAAAAAGAGGTTTGTTTGAAATTTGTGACTTCACACTTGGCACTCCTGGTAGGGATGGGTCACCCTCTGGCATCCATGACCATTTACCCATGAGCCCCTCTCACTTCCCCTGGGTGGGTTTCAGCAAAGGCAAAAAATGCATATGATTCCTGACCTGAGGGTTTCTTCCAGGATTCAAAGGCTCTCTGGACTCTCTGAAACCTTAGAAAAAATTGTGTGTGTGTGTGTGTGTGTGTGTGTGATGGAGAGACAGAGAGAAGGAGACAGAGAGAATGAGAATAATTCTAGAGAGAGGGCCTGTAGCTGTCAAGCTGTCAACATAGTTTCACTGAGGCTCCTTCATTCCTAAGAAAATTTAGAAATGCTATGACAAAGGGTTTTCCCTGTGAAATGTCATTACATAGATCAGCCGTGTGCTCTCTGGCGCGAAATCCTCCCATCCCCTCACCCCACGGAACAGAGCTCACCTGGGGCTCACATAGCCCTAACTAATTTGGTCTTCATTAGCTATGTGATCTTGGATAAGACATCTCGCTTTCTAGCCCCTGTTCTTCCCATCTGCAAAACAAATAAGTTGGACTTGTGAGTGGCTTCAGCATGTGCTCTACGGAGCTCCGGGGGCACAGGGGAGAGTGGTGTGGCCTTGGGGGTGAAATGTATGTGGGGGTCACCTCTGTCCAACAACAGCAGCTCTAGCTCTCACAGAATCTGCATGAAATGTTACATGAGCAAATGGCTCTGTAGCCTAAAGCCAAAATTGAAACAAAACCCTGGCCCAGTTGATCACTTGGAACCTTTCTGGCTTGTGAGGTCTGAGCCCTGAGCAGCACCAAGCTGCTCTGGTTCTGTAATCCTTAGAGGCGGTGGAGCCTCCTGGTTAAGAGTCAGAACCTGGGTGGAATCTTGGCTCTGCCACTCATTAAGCGCCATGACCTTAAGCACGTTGCCTAAAACTCTCTAGCCTGCTTCCTCTTCTACAAACTGCACACACCTACCCCACAGGGTCTCTGTAATGATTAAACAAATTAATAAACCTACAACACCTCGCCAGATCCACAGCAAGCACTTGTAAGTGTTAGCAGCTATCTTCTGTCACAACTTCTAACATGAGTCCACAAACATGGAATTCATCAACAAATGGCAGCTGAATAAACGAGGGAGTGAAGGAATGAATGACTGGAGTCCAAAATTCCATTAGTTGATTCTCTAAGTGAGCCCACTCAAAGCATTAATCCAAGGCTTCCTAAGCTCCAGTGTGTGCATCATCTGGGAACCTTGTTACAAGGCAGAATCAGATTCTGCAGGTCTGGGCTGGGGCTGGGCCTTGGCATTTCCAGGTTCCAAGGCGAGGCCATTGCTGCTGGACTGAGTAGCCGGGCCTTGGTTCATTGCCACTCATATTCATTAGCTTGTAGGCTTCCCACCTGCAGTTACCAAACCACTCAAGACCCTTGAAAATCTCTGTAGATTGGGCACTCTTTATCACCTACTGAGCTACCAAGCCCAGTGCACTTTTTTTTTTTTTTGACACGCGTCTCGCTCTGTCGCCCAGGCTGGAGTGCAATGGTGCGATCTCAGCTCACTGCAACCTCTGCCTCCTGGATTCAAGTGATTCTCCTGCCTCAGCCTCCCAAGTAGCTGGGATTACAGGTGTGTAGGATTACAGGTATGCACCACCACGCCTGGCTAATTTTGTATTTTTAGTAGTGATGGGGTTTCACCATGTTGGTCAGGCTGGTCTGGAACTTCTGACTTCAAGTGATCCATCCATCTCGGCCTCCCAAAGTGCTGGGATTACAGGTGTGAGACACCGCACCGCACCCGGCCCCCAGTGCACCCTTGGACTAGGTTCGTAAGAACGGACATGGGCATCCGTGTTAAACCCGAAGTTCATGTCTAGGCTCTACCATGCAATGACCGGCCAAGTCCCTGGTTTCTCTGGGGCTCAGCATCCTCACTTGTAAAGCAAGATCAGCAACACCCTCCCTGCCCAGCCCATAGAACTGCTCTGAGGATAAAAAGTGACAACAGATGGGACCATCCAGGGGCCAGAGGTCGTGATTAACTGGCAGGCTTTATTTCCAACTTCTCCTCTTCACCCTTTGAATTCATCCCGAGGGAAACTGACACACATTTTTTTTTTTTTTTTTTTTGCATAATGGCATGCAAGGGAAGAGGAGAGGAAGTCAGCCTGCTAAATTTAGCAGATGCTTACGCCCCCTCACCCAGGGCTCAGCCCACGCATTTCACCATGAGTAGGTGCCTTTCTATATTTAACTTCTGCCTGCACCTTCCCCTTGAGCTCTGACACCAAAAACCCCAGGAGGATGTGGTGAGGAGGGAAGGGAAGTTCACGAAATGAGCAGGGTTGACATCACATGAGGCCCCACCTGCACCTTCAGGTGTGCGTTCTTCAACCTTTCCCCTGTCCTTCTCTTGGAGCTTAAGACTCACCCAGCCAAAGTGTGACCAGAGATGCTACTGCCCTTTGGGACAACAGCACTCAGTGGTGGGCAAGGGACCATGAAAAGCCCAACAGAAGTCATGGCGAGGCAGGAGAGTGTCTAATGCTTCCCATAGGCACAGCACTAGGCCCATCTGCACAAGTGACCAAAGTGAATCCACACAAAAGCATCACACAGATGGTATCATACTCAGGCTGCCGATGAGCAAGTGGGGGCCCCAAGAGAGGGAGTTGTCCAAAGCCTGTGATGGGTGGAGGGTCCAAAGCCTGTGGTGGGTGGAGGATCCAGGCCTGTTCTCCAACATGACCCTGTCCATATCACATTTGTCTTCTCACTCCACCTTCTTTATAGAAGACTGCTGGGGAGGTGATGGGTTCAAGTCTTACCTATGTCATCACTCAGGGGTGTGACTTTGAGTTAGTCCCTCTCCTTCTCTGGTTCCTCACTGCACAACAAGTCCACTGGACTGCCTTTCTGTTTGATTTCCGAAAATCTTCTTGATGACATCAGAATCCAACGATCAGAGGAAGTGAGAATGAATCCGGATGACTGACTTTCAAAACCACAGGGTGACCTCTGTGCTGCACCTCCCTGGTCAGCACACATGGAGTCTGTGGCAGTCACCCACGGAGGCTCCGCAATAGCTCCTCACCCTTCTGGGGAGCCCTCACTGAATGCCTCTGTGCCAAGCAGCTCAGCAGGCTCTGGGTGGACTGAGATGAACCAGGGGCCTAGACCAGGGTCCACCTCCAAAGAGGGGAAAAAGACCAGGGAAGACTGCGGCTCTGACTGTGATGTGGTCAGCACGGCGATGGAGCTCCCATGGGGCACAGGGGCTGGTGCCTAACCCAGCCTAGGGGGCTGAGGGAAAGACCCAGTGGGAGGCAGACAAAATACATCCAACACTCCAGGCCAGCAGTTCTCAAAGTATGGTTCCTGAACCCGGAGCATCAGCGTCATCTGGGAACTTGTTAAAAATGCAAATCCCTGGGCCTGTCCCAGACCGACAGAACCAGCAGTCTGTGTTTGAACAAGCCCAGGCCCTCCAGGTGATTCTGAGGCACTCTCAGTTTGAGAACCCTTGGCTTAGGGCAGGCCTTAGAAGACAGCAAAACCTTGAACTCTGACCTCTCTGGGTTCTATTCAAAGCTTGGCTAGGAAAAGTAACAATTCAGGAAAGTGTTCTAAATAATCTGGCGTCCCTTCTCTCCGCTGGACAATCTCAGTGCTCACTTTACAAAGTGTTAGGCTCAGGGAAAGATCCACATCTGAGTCTGGCTACTAGCCTGGCTGCTGCTCCACTGGCTACATCGCTGGGCACTGCCTTTGGGTTTTATTGAGCGTGTTTACAACCACAGAAAGACTGTCTCTGAGTTGCTGTAAAGCGGTTGTATTCTATCAAGTTACACAAAACTCCTTCTGTAAAAACTCACGTGAGAACAGTGGCAGGTAACTTGGCAAAGACTTTCTAAAAATGACAAGACCCAGCATTGGTGGGAGTGTAGGGAAAAAGACACAGTCACACATTTCTGGTAAGTATGGAAATTGATACTGCCTTTCTGGAGAAATACCTGTCAAAAGTGTTTTTTTAATGTGCATCCCCTTGACCTAGCAATTCAATCTTAGAAATTAATCCTAAGGAAATAATCATGACTGTGTATGAGTAATTCACTCCAAGGATATTCATGTTAGCATTGTTTGTTTTAAAAATTGGAAGCAATGGGCCGGGCACGGTGGCTCACGCCTGTAATCCCAGCACTTTGGACTTTGGGAGGCCGAGGTAGGAGGATCACTTGAGGTCAGGAGTTCAAGACCAGCCTGGCCAACATGGTGAAATCCCGTCTCTACTAAAAATACAAAAATTATCCGGGTGTGGTGGCATGTGCCTGTAATCCCAACTACTTGGAAGGCTGAGGCAGGAGAATCACTTGAACTCGGGAGGCGGAGGTTGCAGTGAGCCGAGATCACGTCATCGCACTCCAGCCTGGGACACAGGAGAGAAACGCCGTCTCAAAAATAAATAAATAAATAAATAAATAAATAAATAAATAAAAATAGAAAACAATGGAAGCGTTTCTAATGAGGGGCTGTTTACTAGGTGGCCGTTCATTTTCATTCATTCAGGTATTTATTGAGCAGGCATCATGTGCCAGGCAGTGTATTAGACATTAGGCATACAGCAGCCGGTGAATGAATGAACAAAATCTCTGTCCTCTGGGAGGGGAGACAACCAGGGAACCAGTAAGCAAGTGCAATATCCGTTGTGGGTCAGCGGGTGGTGGGGGTAAGAGGAGAAGGCAGCAAAGGCAATGCTGGAGGTGAGTGCCGATGGAGACTAGAGGGAAGGTGAGGAAGTGAGTGAGCTCTGTGGACAGCTGAGGAAGACATTCTGGGCAGAGAGAACTGTCTTCCAGACAGAAGGAAACAGCAAAAGAGCAAGAGCACGCGGCATTCTGGGTGGGTCTGAGGAACAGCAAAGACACCATAGCGGCTGCCGCAGGGTGACCCAGCAAGGAGAGTGGGACCTGGCCATCAGGGTCGTGCAGGACCTTGCAGGCCACCCAGGACCTTTGGCTTTCACTCTGGGTGAGAAGGGAGGATTTTGAGCAGAGGAGGACCCCTGATTTGTGTTTTAGAGGCAACCCTCTGGCTTCTGGGTGGTGAAGAGACTCCACTGCCCTTTGAGACAAGAGCACAGGAGACAAGGATCAGATTGCAATGCTGTTGGGAGGCTATCACAACAATAGTCTTTGCATGCTAGAGATAGCAGCAAGTGAGCCAAGGTAATGGCAATGGAGGTGAGAAGTGGTCAACTTTTGAGTACAATTTGAAAATACGTTTGGGCTTTTCTGCAGAGCGATGCCTGCCTGCCGTACGTGTGGCTGCCTGGACAGACGACTTAGTCTCCAGAAGCTGAGATGAGCGACAATAAGCAAGGAAGAGAGGGTGCAATATACCTTCAGAGGGAAAAAGGAGTCAGCAGGGGTCGCCACACAAACCTGCCTGCTCACTCTGTTGGACATTTCTGAAACCTCAAATGTGAATCTTGATATCACCAAGGTACCAAACTCTTCTACTCAGATCTGGGGGCACTGGCTGCCTGCTTAGGTTCAAAGGCAACCAAAGAAATGCAATTTAAAATAAGGATGTGAATAATTTTTCAGTTATCAGATAGGCAAAGATTTTTTAAAATGATAACAGCCGGGGTTGGTGTGGGTGTATGGAAACAAGCGCCCCTACACTGCAGCGGAAGTTTAAATTAGTACCACCTTTCAGGAGCAGTTTGGTAATACGTTATCACAAGCCTTGAAAAAGTACATGCCAAAGGAACCAGAACACTGAAACAATTTTGAAAAAAGAAAAATAAGGTGAGAAGCATCACTTTACCTGATGTTAAGACATGATATAGCTACAGTAATCAAGAATGTGTGGTATTGGCAGGACAGATACATAGGTCACTGGAAACAAATAGCGAACCCAGAAATAGTTCCACATGGCTACAGCCAACCGAGTTTGGACAAAGGCAAAAAAGCAATTCAATGAAGGAAGCATAGTTTTTTTTTAACAAGCGGTGCTAGAAATATTAGCTATCCATAAGGAAAACATGGACCTCAATGCAAACCTTCCACTTTATACAAAATTTCATCCAAAAGAGGTAATAGATTTAAACATAAAATGCAAAACCATAAAACATTCAGAGATAACACAGGAGAAGATTTTCAGGACCTAGAGCCCAGTGAAGAGTCTTTAGGTGTGATATCAAAAGCACAATCCATAAAAGAAAAAAAATCCACAAAATTGAATTTCAT
This sequence comes from Homo sapiens, assembly GCF_000001405.40. Taxonomy (NCBI): domain Eukaryota; kingdom Metazoa; phylum Chordata; class Mammalia; order Primates; family Hominidae; genus Homo; species Homo sapiens. The sequence continues at coordinate 41,755,466 of NC_000001.11, forward strand.
CAAAATTAAAAACTGCTTCGCATAAGACCCTGTTAAGAGAATGAAAAGGCAAGCTATGGACTAGGAGAAGATATCTGCAAACAACAAATCTGACAAAGGACTCATATCTAGAACATACAAAGAACTCTCAAAACACAGCAGTCAAAAAAAAAAAAACACCCAAAACAATAAACAATCTAATTAGAAAATGGGCTAAAGACATGAATGAACACTTCACCGAAGAGGATATACAGATGGCAAATAAGCACGTAAAAAGATGTTCAATGTCATTAGCCATTAGGGAAATACAAATTAAAACTACAATAAAATACCCCTACATGGCTATTAAAACAGCTAAAATTAAAAATACTGACAATACCAAATGCTGGAAAGAATGCGGAGAAATTGCATCCCTTGTCCATTGCCGGTGGGAATATAAAATGATATAGCTACACTGAAAAATATTAATAGTTTCTCAGTTTCTTTAAAAAAACTAAACATACAGTTAGCATAAGACCTGACAGTAATACTCCTGGGCATTTATCTCAAACAAATACAAATTGTGTGCACGTAATCTGTACTTGAATGCTCACAGCAGCCTTGTTTGTAAAAGCCAACAACTGGCCTACAATAGGTGATTAGTTAAACAAATTGTACACCCATACCAGGGAATACTACTCAGTGATTAAAAGGAACAGACTGTTGTTATACAGATCTCGGATAAATATTAAGGGCAATATGCTGAGTTTTAAAAGCCGATCTCAAAAGGTCATCTAATGTATGATTATAGAGATAGAGGACAAACCAGTGGTTGCCAACAGTCAGGGATGACTGGGGGATGGGAAAAGTATGACTATAAAGAGGAGCAGTAAGAAGATCTTTCAGGTGATGGAATAGTTCTGTATCTTGATTTTGGTGAATCTACACATGTGATGAAGTAACGTGATAAAATGACATAGACCTGTATGCCTACTACAATACAGTATCAAAACCACGGATTGATTCCTGGTTCTTTTTCCAAATTCCACTTTTACAAACTTATCCTAAGGTAATATTAAAAAGGCACCAAAGAGCCCTAGATCCCTGGATAAACAGGATCATTTCAAAGTTGTTTATAACAGTGGGAACTTAGAACAAACCTCTTCATGCCAATAATTGGTTAAATAGACTAGGATAAATATATCCAATGGAATATTATACAATCATTGAAATGATGATGTAGTTCTACATTCGTTGATATGGAAAGACTTTCTCAATATACTCTTAAAGGGAAAAGATTACTTAAAAGCACCATATGGTTCTTTAAAAAATAAAAAGTTATATGAATATATAGACTGCAAGCTCCCTGAGGGCAAGGATTTTTGTCCGTATCATTTACTCCAGAATCCCTGGATCTCAGTATAGTGCCTGACAGAAAGTAGGCACTCAATAAATATTTGTTGAATAAACAAATAATATACACACACATTTGCAAAGTCTAGAAAGTTATTCTGCAATAAAATATTAGCAATGGTTGGCTGGGGTCAGTGGCTCATGCCTGTAATCCCAGCACTATAGAGGGCAGGATCTCAAAGAGGAGGGCGGATCACTTGAGGCCAGGAGTATGAGGCCAGCCTGGGCAACATAGCAAGACCTTGTCTCTAAAAAATTATTATTATTATTATTATTATTATTATTATTATTATTTTGGAGATGGAATCTCGCTCTGTGGCCCAGGCTGGAGCGCAGTGGCGTGATCTCGGCTCACTGCAAGCTCTGCCTCCCAGGTTCACGCCATTCTCCTGCCTCAGCCTCCCGAGTAGCTGGGACTACAGGCGCCTGCCACCATGCCCGGCTAATTTTTTTTGTATTTTTAGTAGAGACGGAGTTTCACCATGTTAGCCAGGATGGTCTCGATCTCCTGACGTCGTGATCCACCCGTCTCGGCCTCCCAAAGTGCTGGGATTACAGGCGTGAGCCACCGTGCCCGGCCCAAAAAAATATTTTTTTAATTAGCTGAGAGTGGTGGTTTCACCTGTAGTACCAAGGAGGATCACTTGAGCCAAGGAGTTTGAGGCTGTAGTGAGCTATGCTCATGCCACTGCGCTCCAGCCTGGGCAACAGATTGAGACTGTGTCTCAAAAAACAAATAAACAAAAAACAACAACAAAACCCAAAACAATGGTTATCTCAGAATAGGGGAATGGAGGAATTTTGGTTGATTTGGTTGATTAATTACAGCCCCTTCAGTCTGTTTATATTTTCTACTTTGTATTTATTTATTTATTTATTTATTTATTTATTTTTGAGACGGAGTTTCACTCCTGTTGCCCTGGCTGGAGTGCAATGGTGCGATCTCAGCTCACTGCAACCTTTGCCTCCTGGGTTCAAACTAACCTCCTGCCTCAGCTTCCAGAGTAGTTGGGATTACAGGGATGCGCCACCACACCCACTAATTTTGTATTTTCAGTAGAGACAGGGTTTCTCCACATTTGTCAGGCTGGTCTTGAACTCCCGACCTCAGGTCATCCACCTGCCTCGGCCTCCCAAAGTGCTGAGATTACAGGTGTGAGCCACCGCTCCCAGCCTACTTTCTACTTTTTAATAACAATTATATATTCTTTATGGAATATATATTTTTGAAGTACACAATCACAAACAAAGTGGAGAATGTGCTGTGGAGATCTCTGGCCTGATTGGGCAAAGGTGGGGGTGGTGCAGTTGGATGACATCCAACCAAGGCTGCCTTCCCCGGACAGGTTTTGGTGGGGTCTGAAGACCATTCCCAGGGCTCTGGTGTGAGGGACACTATGTCTGGAGTGAGAACCCTCATAAGAGATCTTCACAATAGTGAGGCCCCCTATAAGCCAGAGAGATGATAGAATGATGAGCCAGGTACACAGGGAATGGGGAGAGAAGGCATCAGTCCTGGTCCAAATCTCCTCTGGAGAGGGGCTGGGGGAGGACACAGGACAGAAACCTGCAGACACATCTATCCACCAGGGCCTATCTTATGCACAGCCTTCCACGCTTCAATGGACCAAGGTAGTGGTTCCCAAAAGACCTGTCTGAAGACAGGCTGCATCACAATTCCTAGGAAGCTTTATAAAATATAGATTTCCGACCTTGGAACCCAAGTCTCTGGGGACCAGAACCCAAGTTCTAGAGACCATTGAACCCAAGTCTCTGGGCCGAGGCCCAGGAATGTCATTTTACAAATTCCTTGGGTGATTGTGATACATTGTGGGGTTTGGGAACCTCCAGGCAGTGGGCATAAAGCCAAAACAGCATCATGTTGGACAAACTGGTAGTAGTTATGCCATTTGTGATGAAAGGATATGGGAACTAGCAGTGATTGATTTGTAAGATTTTCTCTGAAGCACTCAGAAAAATTTAAAGACATTGCTAGAATCTTAGACACCTCCCTTTTAGGAGAATGGGGGGTACTGGCCCCACTGCTCCCCCATAGTGTACTGTGACCAATGACTCCCTCACTCCCATCTTTTTTAAATTGTCGTAAAAGATACATAACATTTGCCATTTTAACCATTTTAAAGTATAAAATTCAGTGGCATTAAGTGCTTTCGCAGTGTTGTGCAACCATCACCACTATCAAGGTCCAGAACTTTTTGATGACTCAAATGGAAATTCCATAATCATTAGCAGTAACTCCCCATTTCCCCCTTTCCAGCTCCTGGCAACCACCAGTCTGCTTTCTATTAGGTTGGTGCAAAAGTAATTGCGGTTTTTGCCATTACTTTTAAGGTCAAAAACTGCAATTACTTTTGCACCAACCTAATATCTCTGTAGATTTGCTCATTTTGGGTATTTCATATAAGTGGAATCACACAATATATGGCCTTTTGTATCCAGCTTCTTTCACTTAGCATGTTTTCAAGGTTCATCCATGTTGTAGCAGGTATCAGAATTTCATCCATTTTTATGGCTGAATAATATTCCATTGCATGGATATATTCTATTTTGTTTATCCACTCATCTGTTGATGGAGATTTGGGTTATTTCCACCTTTTGGCTATTGTGAATAGTGCTGATATTGTGAATAGTGCAGATATGAGCATTCATGTACAAGTTTTTCTTTGAATATCTATTTTCAAATCTTTGGGGTATAGACCTAGGAGTGGAATTGCTGGGTCATATGGTAACTCTATGTTTAACTTATTCAGGAACCTCCAAAAGGTTTTCCACCCACACTCACTCTTATAAGGCATCTGATACCTCAGTCTGTGCTCTGGCACAGGCACCCAAGGCATCCCAGTCTGTGCCTTGGAAGCCTGTAGCAGAGTCTTAGGGTTTAAAAGATCTGGGTGTAGGTCAGACTGTGATTCTACAAGCTGTGACACCATGGGTTGGTCATTTCTTTGTACTTTGGTCATCTTTGTGCTTTGGTTTCCACATAGGACCTCACAGGGTGGTCTAAATATTGAATCAGATAATAAGTGAGACTATGGATAAAACGAGAGGTGCCATATTAGAGTAGTAGGGGGTAAGGGCTCTACCTGGCCCTATTGTTCAGTGATGGTAAAACCTTGGTCAATTTCTTATAGCCTATGCTTCAGTCTCATCTATAAAATGGGGTGAATAAGCTGGGCATAGTGGTGCAAGCCTGTGGTTCTAGCTACTGGGGAGGCTGAGGCAGTAGGATTGCTTGAGCCCAAGAGCTGGAGGCTGCAGTACCCCATGATCACACCTGTGAATAGCCACTCCATAGCTCTAGCCTGGGCAACATAGTGAGGCCCTGTATTTTTAAAAATGGGATGAATAAGAGTACCTGCCTCATAGGACTCTAGTGTTAAAACAGTCAATTCATGGAAAGCATTCACTGGAAAGTGGTACCAACTTAGCTACTGCTAGAAAATGCTTAGCAATACTGGTGGGGGCCGGGGGACTGGTGCTCACATTTTCAGCTTGCACCTGGGTTCCTGCCCTCCCTTTCTCAACTTCTCTACTTCTGTCTCTGGGCTTCTCTGCTGGGACCCTTCTCTCTCACGTCCACAGGTCAATGCCCAGCCTGACCCCTTGGTTAATCCCTCTTCTGTGCTCCATGCCCTGCAGAGCTTACTTTGCTGAGTTTGACTTGAGTGTAGACTCTGGCTTGTTCATTTTATGGATCTTCTCTAGGGCCTATTATACAGTAGATACTCAATAGATACTTGCTGATTGAATAAATGAAAGAAAACATTTCTCTTCAACTGGGGAATTGGCTCATGGGGCTGATCACAGTACAGGGCCCTGGGGCTTGGGGGCCCTCTCCACAACTAAGCCAGGAGCATGCCCAAATGCTCCACAATGCCTCTCCCCAGTTTCACAGTCTGCCAAACAGCACAGTGAGAGGTCACTTCAGGATCTAGGAGTGAGTGGGGCAGAGCAGTGACAAGGCCCAGCCACCTGGTCTCCCCAGCCTTCCTCAGCTATCTTGGGCTCAGAAAGTGGTGATGGGTAGGCATGGACTCTCCTCCCATGACCCTCAAACATGTCCCGTCTGTCTCCCCACTTTACCTGTCCTCTCAAATGTAGGCCATTTGAGCCTACACTCAGCTCCCTTCTCTTTTTTGGAAATAAAAGATGCTCTGAGAAGAAGTGTACATTGCCAGACATGGAGGCACTGAGGCCTGCCAGTCTGGTGAGAGAGACTACAGGGCAGAGAGATTACAGGGACATTTGGAAGGAACATTGCTGGTGAAGGGGTTCTAACCAAGAGCAGTCCTTGAGCTAGGTGTATGCGCATGCATGTGCATATGTGTATGCACCTATGTGAGTGCCCAGGTGTGTATGCATATGTGTGTGTGCACATGTGAGTACATGTGTATGTATGCATGTGCATGTGTATGCCTGTGTGTGTATACACCTACGTGAGTGTGTGAGTGTATGGTTGTGTATGTGTATGCATGTATGTACCTGTGTGAGTGTATGAGTGTGTATGCATGTGTGTGTGCATGTGTGAGTGCATAGGTATGTGTGCACATGCATGTGCATGTATAAGCATGTGTCTCTGTGTGTATACACCTGAGTGTGAGTGCATGGGTGTGAATGTGTATGCATGTGTATGTGCATGTATGCTTGTATATGCATGCACCTGTGTGAGTGTATGAGTTCACAGGTGTGTATGCATAAGTATGTGTGCCTGTATATACATGTGTGCATGTATGTGTGCATGTGTGTGTTATGCTTATGTAAGTGCATGGATGTGGCTGTGTATGCACATGAATGTGCATGTACACATGTGTATACATAAGTGTATGAGTAAATAAGTGTGTGTGTGCATGTATATGCATGTGTTCATGTGTGTGTTATGCCTATGTGAGTGCATGGGTGTATATGTGTAGGCACATGTATGTGCATTTGTGCATGTGCACTTATGCACCCATGTGAGTGTATGAGTGGATATGATAATGGCAGGAGGCAGACAAATCCCAAGGCAGACAGGGGCAGATCCCTAGTGAAAAACTGACTTTCAAACCAAAGACAGTTTAAAGCCTGAAAGCCGAGTTACAAGTCCCAGGTAAATCCATGGACTGGATTGAGAACCTCTCTTTCCATTTGGCGTGCTTTCCTCTGATTGATCCCCACTCCTCACCTATTTTACACATACCTACCCTTCCCTAATTGGTTTTTTACACTGTCATGCTCACCTTTGAGTGGTGCCTTTGTTTTAGCCTTTTTTGCATACCCACAAACCAATCAGCATGCACTGCTCCATTCTGAGCCCATAAAAGCCCCGGACCCAGCCACATTGAGGGAGAGAGACCACCCAACTTCAGATGGGGGACCAACCTCACATCCCCTCTCTGCTGAGAGCTATTTTGTAGCTTAATAAAACTCTTATATGCCCTTCTCACCCTTCAACTGTCAGTGTAATCTCATTCTTCTTGGATGTGGGACAAGAACTTGGGACCCACTGAAGGTAAGTATGAAGAAAGCTGTAACACTGTAACCCTCCCATTCTCCATCAGCAGAGGGCAGCCACCCCATGCAGCAGGAAGCAGTGTCAGGGTCAGGCCAGCCCTGGATCCGCAGGCTGGAGCAGGGCAGTGGACTAAAGGAGCTGTTAGCATGCTCTAACACCTGCTCTGGGGCTTCAGGGTTGTGGGCATCCCCGTTTGGGTGCCACCGCATTCCCCTCATCTGGAGGCCAGAGTCCACCACAGCAGTCGGTCATGACATGCCTGGTCCAAATGCAAGCCCCACACAAAGCCTGCTCCTGTGCTGGCACTTGGAGCAGCTAGCCGGACCCCACACTTGCTTGCTCACACACCCACTTCTGCCATGGGCTGAGTGCGCTGTCCTTGTGGCCATGGGATCTGCGCTGGAGTGCAAGCCAGGCACAGCCTGGTGGTTTGAGTGAGCAGGGGCATCACCAGCCATGAAGGTCTCTGGCTGGCAAAGCGGCACTGAAAATATCCTGCATTAGATAGGCATGTATGTGTATGCATGTGCTTGCATGTTAGGGGGCTGAGCTAGGGGAATAGGTGGAATTGGCCACTCCTTCCTGGATGCCCACCAGCTTAATTTCACATGTGCAGCCAGGTCTGGGCAGCTGAGCCTGCAGGCCTGCCAAGGTGACTGGGGAATGCCTGAGAGTGTGAACACTAATACAAAAGCCAGATGCCAAGTGAGAGGAGAGTTCACACATCAGAGTGTCATGGTCACCTTGGGCAAGTCTCTTCTCTGGGGCTTTAATTTCCTGCCCATCAAATAACAAAGGGGTCAGAGACCCTCTTTTTCACATTGCATTAACATCTCTGCTAAGAGCTGCTCCAGCATGCTCAAGGAGACATGCTGCTGACAGTCCACCCCTCTCTCCCGAGGCTCTGTTTGCTGAGGACATGGGCTGGCAACTGAAGAGAGCCTGGAATCCTGGGGCAAGCACTATGCCCAGCTGCCGTCCCCCTCCTGCCCTCCTGCACAGGGGTCCCCAAACCTTTCCCCAACTGCCACACTCCATCTGGCTGCAGCAGCAGCCATCCAGGGAGTGCTCGTCCTCTCTGAGACCTGCCTGGCTCTCATGCTTGCTTCCATTCAAGTTGGATGCCCCACCCCTGGGAACAGCCCTGACTTCATGTCCCCTACAGCCTAAGCACCGTTCATTCACTAGACTGGTAGTCTCCAAAGTATAGTATACACCATTATTGAGCATAGGAGGAAAATACCAGGGCTACTATTTCTACTTATCACATCCTTCTGCAAATTCCTAATTTATATGTGTATGTGTTAGTATGTACAAAATATATCATATAGTAATGCTGGAGTACGTTCTCAAAAATACTTTTACTGGAAGAGTATGCAATTAATAAAGTTTGGAGATTGTGTTAGTGGAGGTAAAATACACAGAATGACGATAACTACAATTTGGTGTTTGGTGACAAATGTCACAATAGAGGTGAAGGTTAAATGCTGTGAAAGTTCAAGAAAGGATGTAATTGCTACTAACTAAAGTGCAGGAGAAGAATCAGTGAAGACTTCATCAGAGGATTGAGTTTGGGGCTGAATCTTAAAAGATAGGATGTGGCCATGTGGCCATGGGAAGGAAGGGCTCTCCCAGCAGAGGTCATCACATAAGCAAAAGCACAGGGCTGGAGAGCAGACAAGCACAGGACAGATGCGGGGCCCAGAGCCCTGGTGTCCCAGCTATAGATGGGAAAAGCAGTCGGATATGAGATGGGAAGGGTGGGTTGGGGACAAATGATAGAGAAGGGACTCTGAATACCCCAGGGATGTGTGGGGAATGTGCACAAAACTGAAAAAAAATGAGGGGAGCCAATGAGGATTGCTTAGGAGGGAAGAGACATGGCCCAACTGTGTTTGGAGACTTTTAATCTAGGAGGGGAGTGTAAGATTGGAAAATGGAAGGTGACCATCATAGCCCAGGCAGGAGGGCCTGAAATCAATCAGAAAAGAAAGGGAAAGAAGGAGGCAGGTGTAAGAAACATCGTAGGAGCGGATTTAACTGAGTGCCTTCACTGATGGGACAAGGTGCGGGTGGGGGGCATGAGGACAGGAGAAGCGAAAGATAAGTCAACCTTCAATGCTCAGTGACCAGAGGGACAGCTGCAGAGGGAAACCTGCAAGGAAAGTTCAGGTTGTGAGGTCTGTCTCCATTGTCTAGAAGTGACAATTAAAGGATAAGAGTCTGGGTGGTTGGTTGATTTTACAAAAAAGATGAATTCGCCAAGGGCTAAACCTGTCTGCACTTTTGATGGAAACAGGTCTTTATCTTCATTTGACAAACATTTTTGCATCCCTCCTACGGGGAAGGCATCATGCCAGGCACTGGGAATGTAGAGAGGAACCAGAAATACTGCCCCTGTCCTCAGGGGCCCTCAGTAGAGAAGGGAAACTACCACACAAAGAAGTTTTTGACAATCCGTCAGCTGAGTGCTCCAACAAGAGGCCAGAGGAGGGTTCATGGCAGTGACGCTCTCCCTGGCTCGGCAGCCAGAGCCATCTCCTGAGAGGAATTCCAACCTTTCTTCACAACTCAGGGCCATCATCACAGGTGGGGGTGGCATGGGATAGATGCTAGGTGCCCATCACCTTGCATTTTTAGAGAAAACTGTCATGTCAACTGTGTCACCCTTTACCAAGCAAGCCAACCTCAGAGTGCACAGCACCATGAATTTGGATCTTGCAATCTCTTTTATTCTTGCCTCTTGAGCTTCTTTGACCTCCCTTTATTTTTGGATTTAGGGGGCTCCCAGAAATTTGGTGGAGAGGAGAGCTCTAGATTTCTGAGTGTACTTTGGCTTATTTTAATTAATTAACGTTTTCCCTCCTGGCCCCATCAGCCTTGTTCCTTTTTCAGACTTCCTCATCTCCCCAGCTATTTATAAACCCCTGTTCCCTTGGCCTATGACTTTGTTCCTTTCTCACTGTTGAATATTCATGCTGTAAGGTCTCCCCAGAGAGGGAGGTCCCCATTATCTACCCAGGCTCGTCTGATGTTGTTTAACCCCGATGTGTCCTGAAACTTGGCAGAGTAGAAACAGCACAAGCTCTCAAGTCAGCCAGATGTCAACATCTGGCTCCTCCCCTGTTGTTTGAGTGTCTTTGGGCAGGTCTCCAAGGATCAGCATCCTTAAGAATAGGATGGTTCACCATACTGTTCCCTCTTTGTTTGGAAGTTAACCTTTAGTGTTGATTTATTTTGTATTTGAGTCTCAAATACTGTATTGGTAAATTTAAGGAAAGAAGAAAACAGAAATTAGCCTGTAAGCTGTAAGCCTTAGACCTTCTAAGCAAGGTCTACCCTATATATTATCACACCACCTTCCCAATCCCCTGGTACAACACTTGGCATACAGTAGGTGCTCAATAATGTCACCCCCTCCATCTTTCCTATCCCATTGACTTTCCCCCCACCTGTTTGATGGTTTTCATGGGGTCCATATGTCACAGAATGTCCCTGCCCTCAGGCAGTAGGGACTTCATGTTGTGGCCTCTCTTTGCGGGGAGCACCCCTGTCTGGGGTGTGCCTGCTCCTTCTTTCTCTCCAGCTGTCTCTCTGAGCCTGCCCTGGCCCACGCTGGCTGACATACACCTCCTGCACTGATAACTATTTGCTGCTGCACTTGCCCCTAGCTGGGCTTGGCCGCTGCTGCAGAGGGCCATCCTCTGCCTCACATCCTCTGATGAGTCCTGGGCAGGTTCAGGTGGGCCCTGGGCCTGAGCCATGGTATGTACTCTCTGGCTGCAGCCCCACCAGAAAAATACTCACTGTCTGAAGACCAGCACCTGGAGGCTCTGGAGTTAGTGCAGTGCTTTCAACTGGGGGTGTCTTGCTTCCTCTGATTCCCAGGGGATATCTGGCAATGTCTGGAAACATTTTTGGTTTTCACAACTAGAGGTTACTACTGGCATCTAGTGGGTAAAGGCCAGGGATGTTGTTAACTATCATACAAGGCACAGGACAGCCACCCCACATCAAAGAATTATTCAGCCAAAAATGTCAATAGTGCTGAGATTTAAAAGCTTTGGGCAGTGTCATTAAACATAACAATACCTGCCATTAATTGAGCACTTGCTGTGTGTCAGAGGCTGTGCTAAGTACTTTACATGCACTTTCTCATTTAATCCTCACCACCACGGTATGAGACAGGCAGTGCCATTTTCCCATTGTACAAATGAGGAAATAGAGAGACTGAAGGTGAACTCACTTGCACAATGATGCACAGCTAATCAATGGTGTAGGCAGGGTTTGCTCTTGTGTGCCGCTGGGCACATCTGGACAGCACCTGCATCACCAACTCCCTCTCTGCTGTGTTGGCTCAGTCCAGTGGGCAGTGCATCTACTTTGGTTTTCCTGATGAGCACTCCATTCTCCACTAGGCTTGGAGTCTGGCCAGATCCACTTAATGGACTCCAACATACCTCCAAACACTCTCAGCCTTGTGGAAGCCATGTCAAGAATGAACAGTCTCTTGGAAGTGTCACAGAGCTCCCCATCTGTCTGGCCTCCTTCCTGCTGCTAAGCAGTGCCCCAACCAACCCCGCAGGAGGAAAGACTCCCCAAAATTGTCCTACCCAATGGATACTCTACACCAACCCGCACTAGACTACAGCTTTGGCAGCTGGCTGAGATCCCAGCCACAGTTCCACTCAGCCCCAGATCCCACTTCCTCTGCCCCATCTGGGTCCTGTGTGGTCCACAATGGTTCTTACTCAGGTCCTGAACCTCTCATCTTCTGTCTGACACCCACATCTCATCAAATGCATCATCTGGGCATCCTTATGCACCCTGATTCCATCTCCTATTTGGACTCCTCCCTCTGGGCCCCAAGATTCCTTCCACATTTTATACTCAGTTCCACTCAAATTCTGCCAAGCTTTCACTAGGAAGGAAGCACTGTGCTGGGGATTAAAGAGGACACAGAATCAAAGCAGATACAGCTCCCCCAACCGCTAGAGCTCTGGTTTCATGGCGGGAGTGAATTTTCCACAATGGGATCACAGTAAGGTAGGCTCCCCTCCTTTAGGGACATGCACAGAGGCAGAGGTGTGGTTGACCTGTGAGCAGCTGAGGCTTCCCAGAGGAGGCAACACTGGGAAGAATGAGGGTGTGGGCCCCACCAGTTCTGATACTGGAGAGTTCCAGGGTCCTTCTGCAGCCCTGCCTTTGTCCTGAGGGCCTGGCTGTCACCTGGCTCTGTATCAGGACTCATGGAATCTTAGCCTGCATTTTTGCTGTGCTTCCCAGAGCTGAAGGACTCTCCCTTCCAAATACCCGCGAACAAGCACACTGCTTGACCTGCTTCTCCCTCACTCAGTTCATGCAGTTGACTTATCTGCATATAGTGCCTGTTTTATGTCAGGAACCCAGCAGCAGCTGGAGTCACAGATTCTCTGAGCTGGCAGGGCTTTTGTTCATCTGGCCCAAACTTGTCCATCCTTAGTACAGTTTCTTTCCACTGGATCGTGTTTGTCAGGAAATGAACAAGAAGCCTCAGGCTGAGTTTGCTCAGGATTCATTTTTACCTCGTTCTTCCTAGTTCTGCATTTGTTCCTTATAACAATCCTTCATGCTCATGAAGCCATGATGGATTGTAGATGTAGATGGCAGACATCATTCATTGTCATTTACAGATGAAGAAACGGAGGCCAAAACACTAAAAGCACTGCATTCCAGGCCTAGCTCTGTGGCTGGCTGCTCTTTCCCCTCAAGCTGACACCATCTGTATTAGTTCATTTTCACGCTGCTGATAGACATAACTGAGACTCGGAAGAAAAAGAGGTTTAATGGACTTACAGTTCCACATGACTAGGGAGGCCTCACAATCATGGCAGAAGGCAAGGAGGTGCAAATCACATCTTACATGGATGACAGCGGACAAGGAGAGAAAGCTTGTATGGGGAACTCCTCTTTTTAAAACCATCAGATCTCATGAGACTTATTCACTATCGCAAGAAGAGCAGGAGAAAGACCTGACCCCGTGATTCAATTACCTCCCACCAGGTTCCTCCCATGACACATGGGAATTGTGGGAATTATAATTCAAGATGATATTTGGGTGGGGACACAGCCGAACCATATCTCCATCTAAGGTAAGCTTCTTTTGGAGACCCAGTTAGATAGTTCTACCAATCTGTAAATTTGTGGAATTATAAAAAGGTGCTGGAATTGATCTTAGCAGTACAGCAGCTAGCTCCTTTGACGTATATAGACCCTTGTTAACCAGCTTCCCTTGTTGGGGTGTGAAACCCCCTTCGTGGGGATAAGAGGAACTCTTCTCGCAGGCTGGGAGGAAATCTACCAGTCCAGAAGAGGAACTGCCTTCACCTCCTCTACACTGAGGAGTTGCTGCTTCTGGTCATTCACAGAGAGGAAGCTGAGGGTTTTTTGCCTATGCTATTCCAAATTTAATGTAAATATTTCACTGCAAGTCTAAAACCCGCCCTGTTGGCTTTGCTTGGCCTAACCAGAAGTATTTCAGTGCAATCTGATCTCTGAGCTCAGGGCTGTTCCTCAGGACCTCAGGCCGCATCCGGCAGGTCTCCCCACAAGGCTTCCATTCCAACCCTTACAGAAAAGAGTGGCCTTGTGATATTATGAAGCCTGCCAATCTCATGTCCCTTGTGCTGCAGAAGCACTTGGCCAGCGTGTTGCAATGCAAGCGCTTTCTGATCAATATCTGTTAGCATCATGGCCCTAAGCAGCTAAAAATCACACACCAAATGGTTCCCTTTTGTAGCAAGAATCATTTCATTTGCTCCTTGACTTTCAGGTACCTTGGACACTAAAACAACAGTGTATCAAAAGCCAGCCACAGAAATCAGCCTTTACACTTGCAAAGCATTGTCCACTTTCCAAAGCACGTGCACCTCCCTCAGCCCATCTGGCCAACCCTACGGGGGGTTAGTGACTCAGGGTTACTGCTACATTAAGCAAAGGGTCATGTAGTATACAATCAAAAAGTAACTTCACTTTTATCTCCCCCTGTCCCACTAAATGTGTCCAGAAGAGCTGGCTGTTCTCTGCCCTTTGGAAGAAATCTAGGGCACATCCCATGATGTTTTCCATCCCTCTTTAGGTAATTAAAAGTCTTCTAGGAACCAAGATTCCTTAGAGAAAGCACTGATTCTAAGGCTAGGGCTCAGAAAATACAAGACCAGCCTGGAGAAACTTGTAGTGCCAGAAAATAAGAAAGAAGTAAAAAAAGAAGTTAAGAAGGAAGAAAGGAACAAAGGAAGGAAGTAAAAAGGATAAAACCTCTAACCTGAAAAAGCTTCCAATGATCAAAACATCCAATGACTGATATTCCAAAGGTAGAACAATTTGAGTAACAAAATAAACAACAATAGCATTGTATTATGACTCAAAGAATAAAAATCTTTGGGTCAATACTAATGTAAATAATGTATTGAATAAATAAATAAATGGATAAATGGGGAGAAGGGACAACTCTTTCTTACAAAAGAATTCTAAGTAATAAATGAAAAATTGAGGAAAGTAGAAAAATCACTCTTAGAATACCACAGTAAAAATGGCAGCAGGCAAGATTCACTGATAAATGCTAAAATTGTTTTTTGTTTGTTTGTTTGTTTGTTTTTTGAGACAGAGTCTCCCTCTGTTGCCCAGGCTGGAGTGCAGTGGCACGATCTTGGCTCACTGCAAGCTCTGCCTCCCGGGTTCACACCATTCTCCTGCCTCAGCCTCCTGAGTAGCTGGGACTACAGGCGCCCACCACCACGCCCGGCTAATTTTTTTTTTTGTATTTTTAGTAGAGATGGGGTTTCACCATGTTAGCCAGGATGGTCTCGATCTCCTGACCTTGTGATCTGCCCACCTCGGCCTCCCAAAGTGCTGGGATTACAGATGAATGCTAAAATTAAAAGGTAAAGCTTTAAGGAGAAACAGGATATCTGCATAGCCTCAACGTATCTCCCCCAGAATATTTTCTAATGACTGTGGTAGTTTTAACACGTGTCCGAAAATGATTTGATATTCCTCCCTGCAGCAGGTGGAGCTTCGTTCCCCTGCTTGAGCATGGGCCGGATGTATTGACTGGCTTCTAATGACAGATTATGGAGAGGGGACAATAGTGACTTCGCAATGAACCCGGCAGATACCACCTTAGCCAAGTGATTAACATAATGAGCAATAAATATTATTGTTGTCATGCGCCCCCCAATATAATGCAATGAGAAGGGGACAGCACTTCTACCATATTTTCCCTCAAAGTCCATAACCTCAGTCTGCTCATAAGAAAACATTACGCAAACCCAAGGTGAGGAATGAACATTCTATAGTATGCCCGATCAGTATGTTCCAAAAGTGTCAAGGTCATGAAAAGACAAGAAAAGACTAACTGTCACAGAATGCAGGACACTAAGGAGGTATGACCCCCACCCCCAAATGCAATGTGCAATCCTGGATTGGATCCTGTTCCGGGATGCTGTTGTGCTAATGTTAATTTCTTAGTTCTGACACACCTACCACAGTAGCTTTGTAAGATGGCTACATTAGGGGAGACAGGGTGAAAGGTACACCAGAACTCTCTAGAGCATGCATTGTCAACGGGGCATTTCTCCCCCAAGGGGAGAAAATTGTCTGTTGGGTAGAAAAAAAAAATCACAATGGTTTGTGGCCCTCTAAAGGGCCACAGTACATAAATAGATATCCAGCATATCTGTGGGACTAAAATTTTATGGGAGAAAAATCATAGAAATAAACACCTAAACAGACTCCTGGGGTGGGAGTGGAGCAATGATGAAAATAAAATTGGTTGAGAAATCCTGCTCTAGAGGTACCATCTTTGCACCTCCCTTATAAATAGAAGATTATTTCAAAAAATAATTTCAATTGCTGTTTCTAAAAGTTGGTCTGTGAAGACCTTACCTCCCCACCTCCCCCCACCCCCAAAAAATTAATTTACTAAAAAATAATCCTCTGGTCACTTGTACCTGTAAAACAGTTTCAATTTAGTAATTAATAAGGCTGACCTGGAGTAATAATAATAGGAGAAAAGAAGTTAAACTTTAGCCAAATTAAAGCTTCTCTCCTCCGGAGCTCAGGCCTGCCTCAAGCTGGCCCCTGCAATGGGAAAGCAGTTTAGGTTGACCTCTTCTCTCCTCTCCTCCCTGCCCCGCGTGTCTACCCCTCCTTGCTGGGCTGCCGCTGGCTGCTTTGTGGTTTTGGCAGGAGGGGCTGGAAGGGGTAAGGAAGCAGGAGGAGTTGGATTTGACTGTTGCTCTCAGGAACTGACAGTACTCTCGGGGCTTGGCAGGTTTTTTTGTTTTGTTTTGTTTTTTGAGATGGAGTCTCACTCTGTCGCCCAGGCTGGAGTGCAGTGGTGTAATCTTGGCTCACTGCAACCTCTGCCTCCCAGGTTCAAGCGATTCTCCTCAGTCTCCCAAGTAGCTGGAACTACAAGCACATGCCACCATGCCCGGCTAATTTTTTTGTATTTTTAGTAGAGATGGGGTTTCACCGTGTTAGCCAGGCTGGTCTCAAATTCCTGATCTCGTGATCCGCCCGCCTTGGCCTCCAAAAGTGCTGGGATTACAGGCGTGAGCCACCGCACCCAGTCCCTGGCAGGTTCTTAAGCTGACTCTCCCTCTCTTGGGTCCAGTTTGGGTTTTTCAGAGACTCCCACTTGCCACGAGCGGCCTCTACCTGCAGCTGCTGCCGCGAGTGATGCCACCTCAAGTAGGCCATGCTTGACCTCCTGGTTCTAGTGGTCACTCTTACCAGAAGCCACTAAAAAGGCACCCAGGGTTGTGCATTCACTCTTTGCACCAGGATTCCTCTATACACCAGGAAATCTACACTTGGGCATGAACAGGGCCACATTCAGTCCCATTTGCCGTCAACACCTTCCATCTTCTAATCATGTGGAATCCTGCTGAGAGGAGAACGAGAGCTGGGATGAACTAATCTCTTCATGGCTTTTTGGGGACATGAGATGTGCCCTCCTTCCTGGTGCATGACAGGCACATTTCCACACAGGTTAAGCCAGCTGCAGGTGGGTTTTCTGGCACTTGCAGCCAAATGCATCAGAGCTCTCAAAGCTAATACTATGATGCACGGGAGAGGTGGCAGGGAAAGGAACAAAGAACAACAGAAGAGGGAAGGAGGTGGCAGCCATCAGAAGCTAACAGTGAAGAAAAAGGTGGAAGAAGCCATCGGCATGGTTTCAGCAGACCCGATGTGGAGATCAGTGACAACAGAGAACAAACAAAGAATAAAATAGGGCCAGGCACGGTGGCTCATGCCTGTAATCCCAGCACTTTGGGAGGCCGAGGTAGGTGGATCACTTGAGGTCAGGCGTTCAAGACCAGCCTGGCCAACATGGCAAAACCCCATCTCTACTAAAAATACAAAAATTACCCGGGTGTGGTGGCAGGTGCCTATAATCCCAGCTACTCAGGAGGCTGAGGTAGGAGAATCGCTTGAACCTGGGACAGGTTGCAGTGAGCCGAGATAGTGCCACTGCACTCCAACCGGGGTGACAGAGTGAGACTCTGTATCAAAAAAATAAATAAATAAATAAAATAGGACCCATTTGTGTACTTACTGTCTACCAGGCACTGTTCTGAACACTGTATGTGCACTGCATATGCCCCACAGATTGACCCATTTTATGGAGTTTACAGGAAACAGGTTCATGGAATCAGTAAGTGGCAGGGCTAGGACCCAAACAATATGATCAAGTTCAGATGTAGATTCAGGAAACACCTACTGGTCAGCCAGATGCTGTGCTGGGTGCTTCCCTCACAAGGCCCCATTTCATCTAAATGCCAGCTTTGGAAGGTGTGGACTATTTACTGCATTCCACAGGTAGAGAAACTGGAGCACACAAGAGTGAAGTCACTTGCCAAGTGACTGGTGGAACTAAGCCCAGAACTCAGGTCTTGTGATTCGCAGTTCAATATTCTCTCTGCTGGGCAAGGCTGCCTTTCCTCATCTGCAGGAATGTGAATAAAAACATCACACAGGGATGGCGTTCAGTAGGGATGTGCTGAAATGACTGTACTGGTTGTGAAAGTGCTGAAATGCCTCTGTACCACTTGGTAATCAGCCACCGCTCTGAGCATCCTCAAACGCTGCCCTGGCTCCTTCTTCCCAGACACCCTCCCGGAATCCAGTATCTAAAGAATTTTAACTGAGGCCTCCAAGATGCTGTTTTGGTGCTCTGGCACACATCCACTTCAGCCAATTGGTAAATGCTTGGAATGTCATCTCTAACAACCATCTATTCCTCTGGTGCTTCATTCCTTCCTAAGCACTCTTGTACTGTTACCTCCTCTGATGTGCACAGATGAGAAAGCTGAGGCCCAGAGAAAGTAAAAACTGCCCGAGGTTGCCTGGTGATGCTGAGTTGAGCTAGGCTTAAGCCAAAGTCATCTGACTTCTGGTTAAGGGCTGTCTCCATTCTCCAGCTTTTAGTCAGTTAAATAGAAAATTTTATACTAGGTAGAGTTAAGAATTCTAAAATAGATAAAATTAGAACATGTCACAGATGAAGGACAAGTCTTTGTGAATGAGATTTGTCAATTAAAGACAAAATCAATGCTACTGGCAAAGATTCAGTAGGCCTGAGTTAAATGTAACACTCTTGCCCATTGTCATGTGACCTGCCTGAGCATCCTAGGAGCAGATGCTTCTGGCTTTGGACTTGACCATATGACACTTTCCAATGAGATGAGAGGGGATGTGCTGTGTGCTGGGTCTGAGGCAAAGCTGTTTCTAGTGATTGTGAGGTTCAGGACAGTCACTCCTGCACCTGCCTCTGCAACAAGAGAACAGCGTGTCTCGGGTTTGGCTGCACCTTCTGCCAAGGTCCCTGAATAGGAAGGCATACGGGGCCTTCAGAGCCCAGAGATGCCACCATCCTCACATCATGTGAGTAAGAAAATACATGTTTATTTTCATAAGTTATTAACATAGTGGGTTGTTTTTTCTATAGCACAAGCTGACTGATGCACTGGGAAGAAAGAATGCTTTGAAAATTTGAAGAATAAAAATGATTTGAGTTTAAAGTGTTAAAGGACTCTAGCTTCTAATTAAACATCATTTTGTGAGAAAGAATTCAGGCACATAATGGGCAAGTACTTAGAAGATATTTCGATTTTCCAGAAATACTTTTACATACACATATTTCAGAAAGGCTTGTAATCAATAAATCCTGGGCCATACATATTATGGAACTCCTAGGGCTATCTGTGCAGATTACTCAGAAATAGAAAATAAATCACATCTTTCCCAATAAAAGGAGTTGCTCAATTCACAGGATGATTAAATAATACATTTTAGAGTAAGATGAGATCTTAGGATCACTGCTTCTAATTAAAGTCATGTGTGAATTTTCACTTAAGTTTTCACAAGCATCTTTTATTTTATTTATTTATTTATTTATTTATTTATTTATTTATTTTTTGAGACTGGGCCTCACTCTGTCACTAGGCTGGAGTGCAGTGGCATGACCTTGGCTCACTGCAGCCTCGATCTCCTGGACTCAAGTGATCCTCCCACCTCAGCTTCCTAAGTAGCTGGGACTACAGGCATGTGCCACCACAACTGGCTAATTTTTTCTTTTTGTATTTTTTGTTGAGATGGGGTTTCACGATGTTGCCCAGGCTGGTCTTGAAATCCTGGGCTCAAGCAATCCTCCCTCCTCGGTCTCCCAAAGTGCTGGAATTACAGGCGTGACCCACCGCACCCAGCCACAAGTATCCTTATTTACTATTTTTGGTAAACTGAATAGCCACATCACATTCTGTTTTCTGGTGTTGAAACATGAATATTTTGAAACAAACTCCCTCCCTCCCTCCATCCATTCGTCCATCATATTCTGGATACAAGACAAACATCAAAAGTCTCTCCTCTTAGTCTTTGTGGAAGAAGACATTTCTGCGGAGCATATAAATTTGAATGGCAATATACTCCCTTAAGAGGGACTTCAGACACTATGCTGTTCTTTCTAGCAGAGCTGTTGGCTTCAGAATCTAAACAAAACTCCTGAGTTGCCAAAAACAGCCTTGCATTCTTCTTTCAGATCACCTCAAGGCTCTAAGAGGATGGAAGGAGTGTTTTTTGTTTGTTTGTTTGTGTTTTTGTTTTTTTGTTTTTTTGAGATGGAGTCTTACTCTGTCGCCCAGGCTGGAGTGCAGTGGCGCGATCTCGGCTCACTGCAACCTCCACCTCCTGGGTTCAAACGATTCTCCTGCCTCAGCCTCCCAAGTAGCTGGGACTACAGGTGCTCACCACCATGCCTGGCTAATTTTTTATTTTTAGTAGAGATGGGGTTTCACCATGTTGGCCAGGCTGGTCTTAAACTCCTGATCCTCATGTGGTCCACCTCCCAAAGTGCAGGGATTACAGGCATGAGCCACCGCACCCAGCCAGAAGGAGTGGTTTTGATACCTGAGCTTCCAACATGGAGAGTCCATGATTTCATGGATTCACTGTATGGCAAAATAAGCTCCTGACATCACACCCACAAAAAGGCCAGCATCCTACTCTGCAGACAACCCAACAGCCCAGCATTCTGCCTAGTCAGTTATGTGCAGTTACATGTGGACACAGTTATGTGCCTCCACATCCATTTTTATGTGTCCACTGTCAGTGAAGAATAGATCACAGAAGATCCACTGCAAGGGGAAATCTATAAAGATTTGGGTTTCCTGCAGCTGAAATAACAATAATAAAAGGGATGAGCTCCTTGGCATTTAAACAAAGCCCTCAGTCAGAACGTGAACAAAAGGAAAGAGGCTGCCAAGCAGGCCCTGCCCGTGCAGTCCATAAAAGAAAATCTTGTGGACCCTAGAGTTTACAAAGGCAAGAAACCTGTTCTTCTCATTGATGACTGGGCCCAGAACTTAAACACTGGCCACATGTCCATGAAGAAAAAAGAAAGAGCCTTCTCTTGAGACAGGTTTGAATTCAGAGGCAGAGACGTTCCCTGAGCATGCCCTCTGTGCCAGGCACCACTGGCCTTGTCCACGCTTGAGCCAGTGTTTTGGGCAGTGGGGTGTGTGCATATGCTCTGGGGGCAGGGTCAGGCTGACTGGGTCCTTGAGATAATCTCTTTCCACCAGTGGCCGTGGGACATCTCGGTCTGTCTTTGGGTCTGTCTGCTTATGAAAGGTGGCCCTTTGTCCTTATGCAGGTGAAGATGAGGCTGCAGACCAGCCTGTGACACCCATTCAGGTGGGTGTTGGCTTTTAGCCCCCCACTTCACTTTACCTGGATTTCTTGGTTTTACGATATAGTCTTCAGGGGTGGGGGTATGAGGTCATAGCTGTTGTCTGCTTTCAGCAAAGAAGGTGTTTCCCTCTCCATTTCTGACTCTTGTTCATTCTGGAGGCTTCAGAGAAGGAAGTTCTGAAAACAGGCACTCTCTCTGCCATCTTTCTGGAAACCCCTTCAGCTGCTTCAAAATATTTAGGGAACACCTGCTATTCCTCCCTCCCTTCACTCTTACAGCAGATCTTCACTGTGAGTGTAGTGGGTGACAGGCAGGGAACTAAGCTCTTTCTCTGAGCTCCCATGACAGCTCTGGGAGGGACCAGGGAGGAGAGGTTAAGCAACCTGCCCAGAGCCACAGACATGAGCAGTTACACTGGACTTCAGCCCAGGACTTGGACTCCTGGTTCAGGTTCTCTTCCCCTGGGTTACTCCCCGAGTCAACAGGAGGGCCGTGGGAGAAAAGAGGTCCTGGCTTCAGCTGGGCAGCCTAGGGTGCTGGTCGCCTGCCAACCTGGGTGCAGAGCCTGATCTGGGGCTCTCCCAGAGGCTCTCCTTGGCTGGCAAGCAGGAAGCTCCAAATGCTGGGCTGCAGCCCAGAGGGAAAGGAAAGGGGCTTCTCTATGCTTCTGATTGTCCCCGTGACTACCCAGGAACAAAGCGGGGACTCACACTGCCTCCTGCCACCAGCCTCCACCCAGCTGTTCCGGCCACGCAGCCCCATCTCTTCAGCCTGTCTGCAGGAACACTGGGCATTTGTCAGCTTTCAGAATCACGGCTGTGTGCCCAGGGCTCTCTTGACCCTCCAGCTCCAGGCCTCATGGGGCAGACCAACAGAGGCACAGGCCCTCTTTCAAACCCCCAAACCCACCACCCAGTGAAGCCAAGTCCCTGGTCCACGGTATTTAACTATTATATAGCCTAACACCCCACTGGGGAGGTTCACACCCTGATCTGATTAAGCTAAAACTGCATATAACAGTTCACATGCATTCGCTTTCCGTGTGTGCAGAGGAAAGAGCTTTGGGTTAAAAGTCAAGGCAGTTCATCGGTTAGACCTCACCAAGCCTGTCATCATCTCTCAAATGGGAACAGTAGCTGCCAATTCTAAAAGCAAACATCTGCTGGGGGCTTCTTAGTATCAGGCGCTTTCCTACATCCCACGTGTGTCATGCATTTAATCCGCACAGTAGTCCACCCAGCTCCTTGCCCTCTGGGAAGAGCGCAGATGTTGCTAATGGAATCTTGGTAAAAGGTATCATGTGGCCCCAGAATAGTGGTATGCATCAGATTACCGCGTGCTTCACGCATGGTGTGGTGGAGCTTGCAACGTCACACTTTCAACAAATCTATTCAATCGGCGGGGGTTCTTGGCAGCAACTATGTGCCAGTCACTGTGCACAACCAACCAAATCCCTGTCCTCCTGGGGGTGTTGTTCTGGTAAACACAGCAAAGGCTCAAAGACAGCAGATGATGCCATTAGTTGCACGCACTTCATTGACCGAAAAGTTGATTTTCTCCTTATCTTCGGTAATGAACGAAGGAAGAGGGGACAAGCAGAGGGGGTGCTTGTCATTTCCTGGCGTTTGAGTGGATGGCATCTGCTCTGCCCCAGCAGTACAAGGTACCTCCTGAGTGGCCCCATTTGACAAGGCAAGAGAGTAGAACTTGCTTTTCTCTTGTAGTAGTGCAGAAACTCAGTGTCCCAGTGTAGTTCAGGTGGCTCTCCAGGCCCTGGTGGTAGGGTTCCTGACACTCACCATGAGCCTGCCCGGCTTGGCATATCACAGTCCTCTGGCTACCACGGGTCCCTGATAAGAGCACCTGAAATGACATTGAATACCTGGGAGTGCAGCTGGGACTCACTGGTCCCCAGGTACAGGCTCAGCCTTGCCCCAGGCTCAGGGATCCAATCTTGTTGCTGGAGGGCGGGGCAGGTCAGCCTGACAGTTGATCCCGTTCTGACATAGTTTTAGGGGCTGAGCTCTCGCTTCATTCATTTATTCCCTCTGTAAATAATGTTTATTGGGCAGGACTATGAGCCAGGTACTGTCCTGGTGGCTGAGAAAATCCCAGGGAGTAAAACAGGCCAATCTCTGTCCTCCTGGGAGCTTATGTGCTAGAGGGGAGGTGAATTAATATGTATCATCTGGCAGTAAGTGGTAAGAAGAAAATACAACAGGGTAAGGAGATGGAGCATGATGAGGGGTCTATGTTACATCGGGTGGTACGGAAGATCTCTGGAAGAAGGAGATATCTGGGCAGAGATAGGAAGGGTGAGAGGGAGAAAGCCAGGCATGTATCTGAGGGAAGAGCATCACAGGTGGAGGAAACAGCATATGCATATGGCCTGGAGGCAGGAACGCTGAGAGACCAGTGTGGCTGAAGGGCCTACTCCATACCTCATACCTTCATGCCAGCAGCTGGGCCCATCAGTTCCTCCTGCATCTTTGGGCCTGGGCCTCAGCTTGCTGCTTCCTGCCCTCCAACCCAAGATGGTGCCCACCTGCCTGGATCACTTGCCTTCCTCCCACCCCCTCCTGCTGTCCCCCAACCAGGTGCATCTCTCTGTTCTCCACCTCTGCACGCTCTCCTTGCACCAATGAGAGGTGTCTGCAGTGGAGTGGTTAAAGTGCTGGGCTTTGGAGTCAGGCTGCCTGGGTGGATCCCAACTCTGCCATTCCCTACTTGGGGAAGCCTGGGTAAACTGCTCTTGGTGACTCAGTTTTCTCAACTGGAAATGAGGATATGATAGTGCCTATCACAGGGGCTATTGTGAGATTAAATGAGTTACATGTGCAAAGCACATATGGAATAGTACTCAGCAAATATTCATGAAAAAATATTAAGGTGACAGAAGCCCCTTCTTTTTCTTTTCTTTTCTTTTGAGACGGAGTCTCCCTCTGTTGCCCAGCAGGCGGGAGTGCAGTGGCACGATTTTTGCTCATTGCAACCTCCACCTCCAGGGTTCAAGCGATTCTCCTACTTCGGCCTCCCGAATAGCTGGGATTACAAGCATAAACCATTATGCCTGGCTAATTTTTGTATTTTTTAGTAGAGATAGGGTTTTGCCATATTGGCCAGGCTGGTCTCAACCTCCTGACCTCAAATGACCTGTCCACCTTGGCCTCCCAAAGTGCTGGGATTAAAGGCGTGTGCCACCGTACCTGGCCAGAAGCCCCTCCTTACCAGGAAGGGTGACCAGAATTGGGTGCTTGCTGCATGGGGAGAAAGTGGAAAGGGCACAGGCTTTGGGGTCAGACAGATGCCGATGTGCACCCCAGCTGTGTGTTCTTGGGCAACTAACTTAGTCTCTCTAAACCTCATTTCCCTCACTTCCACAAGGAGATCATGATCTGTCCCCCACAGGGTTTGAAAAAGGGTAAATTAAATGACAATGACAAATCACGGAGAGATTGGCCCAGGACAGGCAGCTTCACTGATGGGAAGAACCAACCTTGCTAGGGACGAGGTTGCAGATCAATGATCAGGGAGGAGAGAACCAAAGTGGAGAGACAAAAAGACTGGGGAGCAGACGCTCAGGGTCTCAAAGTGGGGGCCAAGGTGGGCCACAGCCAGTTCATGTTGTGCAGAGGCCCACCGCAGTGAGGGGAGAGCTGGGCCAGTCGTGGGATTTGTGGGGCGTGGGGGTGGGGCCTTGGCCACTCTGCCAAGGCTGGGGGCAGGGGTGTCAAGTGCCAAAGGGAGCACCAGGTGCTGAAAGCCAGTGCCAAGGGGTAGTGAAGAAAAGAGAGTCAGGACACCCATGGCCAAATCCAGACAAGTCAGACCTGAGCCAGGTGAGTGCTGAGCCAGAGCAGGGCAGGGCAAGGATTGTTCTGAGGCTGAGTTGGTTGTGCTGGTTTATTCTGGGGATGCTCCTTGCCTGTCTTAAAGTGGCCATGGTCAGGGCCCACCTCCTAAACCTGCAGATTGGAGCAGGCCCCTTGACATCCCTGCAGGAGGCTCTGGGGAAAGGATAAGGCAGGACCTTCCTGCCCCACAGAGGTCAAACCAGTGAATAGACACAAATGCAGGACCGAACTGGAGGTGCCAGCTGACCCAAGGGAGGCAAAGCTGCTTCTGTCTGGGGCTCGGGAGTCTGAACAGCCCAGATCAGCAACCAGGTCAAATCTCACAAACATGCACCTAGGGGCTTCTGGTGAGCAAGGAGGAAGGCTATGCTAAGCCAGGCATGGAAGGTAGTGCAGGCCTGATTCCTGAGACAAGAACAGGAATGACCTCCCCAGAGGCCACCAAGACAAGCATTTGAGAAAGAAAAGAATGCTACTGACTTAGCTCCACTGACATTTGAATGAAGAGCAGGAGTAACAAAAACAGAGAATTTTAATTACAAGTTCTTGTTCCCCCATTGTTCGTGATTTTGTTAACGTCTCTAGATCTCCCAGTGGTAATTGGCAATAAAATCTCTTAAAACAAACAGGGTTGTGCAGTAAGTGGAGAAATTTCATTTGGTTTTATAGCTGGCTGACCAGAGGAATGAGAAGGCCGTGTGCATTTGGGTGGATTGAGCACCTCTTTGAGCTTGTCTTCCCTTTTGAGTAAAATCCATGCTTGGACCAGACCATGCCTGAAGGGGTCCCTATCTTACCAGTGTACACAACCAGGTGGGGAAAGTTATCATTGTGACAATGTACAATGCTGTCCATGTTAGAAGCCTCAGAGTCACTCCCAGCTCCTCCCTCCTGCTCATTCCACACTAAACCCTAAATGCCATTTCTTAATGATCTCCTTACCCAGCTCCATAATTGCTGCTGAAATGAAATAAGTCCATCACATCCAAATGGCTCCTGGGTCCTGTCTATTCTACTTCCTAAAGGGCTCTTGAAATGGCTGCCTCTTTTCTAGCCAACTGCCATAGTTCAGACGCTCTTTCTCACTAGACTGAGGCAACAATCTCCCTCTGGCCTTCTAGCTGGAGTCTTTCTCACTTGAAGACCATCTTCCATATGGCCACAGAAGGAGCTCTTCTGCCTTCTAAAGGCTCCTGAAAACCCTACCATGGTTTCCCAGGGTCAATGGGATAGAGAAAGGTGTTCTGGCTCTTAATGATGGGCCCCATATCCACTGCTCCTCAATACGCCTCCTTGACTGTAGCCAGGCCTAGCTACTTGCAGGCTTGGAAGAAACCAAGATTTTCTTGCCTCTGAGCATTTGCACATGTTATTTCTTTTGCTGCCATGTCCTTCTGTCACTTGTCGCTCTTCAAGTCTCAGCTCTCCTGTCACCTCCTGCTGTTCTAAGGTGTCTCTCCTCTGCTCCCAGGTGATCTCTATGCATTATAAGGAGTCAGCCTTCCACCCATACCAGAAACCCCTCAAAAGCAAAGAATGTTCTAGGCACTGGGAAATGCCCAGGATGGAGAAGAGTGTGACACAATAGTCAAAAGGCAAGAACAACCCAGGCGTCCAACCTTTGATGGATGAATCGTTCAACCAAATGTGGCATGGATATATGCACACTCCAGATAGCACTCAACCTTGAAAAGGAAGGAACTTCTGACATGTGCTACAACATGTGTGAATCTTGAAGATATTATGTTAAGAGAAATACGCCAGTCACAAAAGAAGGACAAATACTGTATAACTCCACTTATGTGAGGTACCTAGAGTAGTCAAATTCATAGAGACAGAGAGCAGAATGGTGATTGCCAGGGGCTGTGGGCAGAAGGGAAAGGGAATCACTGTTTCATGGGTACAGGGTTTCAGTTTGGAGAGGCAAAATAAGTTCTGGAGCTGGAGGGTGGTGATGGTCACATAATGATGTGAATATGCCACTGTAATGTATGCTTAAAAATGGCTAAATGGGGCCGGGCATGGTGGCTTACACCTGTAATCCCAGCACTTTCGGAAGCCAAGGCGGGTGGATCACGAGGTCAGGAGTTCAAGACAAGCCTGGCCAACATGGTGAAACCCTGTCTCTACTAAAAATACAAAAATTAGCTGGGCGTGGTGGTGGGCACCTGTAATCCCAGCTATTCGGGAGGCTGAGGCAG
The DNA here is from genome assembly GCF_000001405.40 of Homo sapiens. Classification (NCBI taxonomy): domain Eukaryota; kingdom Metazoa; phylum Chordata; class Mammalia; order Primates; family Hominidae; genus Homo; species Homo sapiens. The sequence continues at coordinate 41,782,640 of NC_000001.11, forward strand.
GAGAATCACTTGAACCGGGGAGGTGGAGATTGCAGTGAGCTGAGACCAAGCCATTGCACTCCAGCCTGGGCAACAGAGCAAGACTCCATCTCAAAAAAAAAAAAAAAAGGCTAAATAGTAACATTTTAATGCATACCACAATTTTACAAAAAGAAAAGTGACTACAGAGGAGTTTAAGACCACAATATAATGAATGAATGAAGGAGGAGTTAAGCAAGGAAAATCTTAGGAGATGATGTGACCAGGTCAGAACGGAGGAGCCTGGAGGCTGGGGTGGGGGCCACAACACCTCACTCCCCCCACACTCCCTGTCAATGTCACTCCTTTTCAGATCAGCAGCGGGGCTTCAGGGTGCCAGGGCTGTGGTTTTCAAACCTGGAAACCAAACCAGGTTCCAGGGCTCCTGGGTTCCTCCCAAAACAAAAGGAATCTTTGGGGATGCAGCTGACTCTGGTGGGTGTTTGTCCTCAGGGCCCCTGCTAAGTTCTCCTGGGAACCGAGTACAGAGTCACCAATGGGACAGAATCACAGGAGAAAAGGAGAAACATGGTAAGCCCTTGGCAGAAGCTGGCACGGACTAGATTGTTGTCGGGTGTGGGTGTTGGGGCCAGGAGGAGCAGTGAGAAGCCACAGGAGGAAGGCTGGCAGAGAGGATTCATTCCGTATTCATTCCCCTAGTGAGCCACACGCTTCGGAAGGATCACATTAAAGAGATGAATCACACACTGACTCAAAGAGAGGGGGTGGCACGGTTGTAAATCAGAGGAATGGCTTTTATTTGTCAGAATGCTACAATAAATAACCTCTCCGTGTGCCACTTAACAAAAGGAGAGTGGGAGGGAGGGAAGCAATGTGGCATAGGCCGGAGGGCTCGCAGGGTGATGGGAGGGATGCGGGCAACCTCACAGCTACCAGGGCCCTTCAGGACACTCTTGCCAGTCACTAGATACTCTGTGCTCCTTCACACACACACAGAGACACACACACTCGCATAGATCATCTTTCCCTCAAACTTTCTGAGAGCACCAGCTTTATTTTATACATACAGGAGATGTCTTGCTGGAGATGACATTCGTGGGTATTACTTTTTCAGAATGAAGGGGCCAGAAAATCACCCAGGGCCCCTCGAGGGCTGAACCCCGCTCAGAAAGGGAGAAAGGTAAGGCTGCTCCCTAGAATCAATGAAGTTGCTGTTCTGGCAATGGTCTGTTAGGACAAGTGGTCATGCAGCAAAATCATGGAAGGAAACTCTTCCAAAAAGGGTGCAGCAGGGTGGCGGTATTATCTATTGTCCATTTTCTTGGGGTGGATTTAGAATCAGACTTCTTGGGTCGCCAGGAGTAAAAGTAAAACGCTTTAAAAGTAAAAAGCTGCCTGGCTCTGCAGGGAGTAGGTAGGGAAGAAGGATGGGAATTCTGGGTTTGCAGAGGGGCAGACAGGCACATGACAATCAGGCAGGAGGGAGGCAGCTGTGCTTCCAGGGAGAGCAGGGTTCCTGGGGGAAGCCCAGGGTCCCACCTCCCCTGCCCTAGAGCAGGGCTACAGGATATGGAAGCCACTAGCCACTTGTGGCTATTGAAATGTGGCTAGGCCATATTGTAAGGTTTAAGCACATACTTTATTTTTAACATGTAGTATGAAAAAATAAAGAATGTAAAATCTGTTATTAATTTTTTTAATATTGGCTACATGTTGAAATAACCTTTTGGATATGTTGTGTTAAAGAAAATAAGCTATTAAAATTAGTTTCAACTGTTTCTCTTTGCTTTTTTAAATGTGGCTACCAGAACATTTAAAATCACACGTGTGGTTCACATTTGTGGCTTGCATTATATTTCTACTGGACAGCATTGCTCCAGAGGAGTCCTGGGACCCAGAACAGGGAGAGCAATTGCTCTTGACTTGCTGCTTTTATACCTAGGTGAGTGGGGAGCTTACACTTATGCACTCAGGGATATTTTGGGATACAGGAGCAACACCCCAAACTGTGAGGGGCTGGGGCAGGCAAGCTGGTTACACACCCCATGGGACGGAGGCTGGAGAGTTTCCATGACTTACTCAAGTAAATTAAGGAGAAGAGCTTGGCCTAGAATCAAGCCTTGTAAATTCTATTGTAGTCTTCTTACAACCACATCTCCGTTTACATAGAAAAATGCTCTTTTGTAATTATTAGCCACAAAACAGGTTTCTGGTGAGAATGTAAGTTTTTACATTTTTTTTTCTGGCAGATAATTTACAAATTTTTATCAAAACCATATAACCTAAATAAAACTGGACCTAAATGCCTGTCTCCACATGGAGATACACCCAAAAGAAACACAAATCCAGTTCCCCAAAGTTTTGAAAAATACTGTTAATTGTTGACTGAGATCCCCCAAGAGGGCAGCAAAGGGAAACTGTCCTGCACAAGTCACGGAAAATCTTCTAAAAGGTCTTTAGACATAGTTCTCTCTTTTACAGAAGCTGCTCAAATCACTCTCTTTCCCCTCCTCAAACCTGCCCTGACTTCCTTCTTTAGTTCCCTCTCTCCTCTCTGGCCAAGCTCTTCTGAGCCCCTCTTCTCTCTGGGATCTGTTCTCTTTTCTCTTATTTCCATACCTCCAAGGCCCTTCTGTATGAGAAAAGTTGTTTTCAGTTTTCCTCTCTGCCCATCATCTGATCAGTCCCAAGAAATCCTAAAACCAACTGAGTAGGCAGAGAATGGGGAGGGTTGCATCGGAATTTTACATACTTCGAGCAAATAAATCCACTTACAGGGATTTAGGATGGATCAAAGGAGCAACAGACCAAAAATTTACATACAAAGATACTTATCATAGTATTATTTAACATAACGAAAAAACTAGAAATGACCTCAACATTTGACAAGGAATAGTGGTTAAATAAATTCTGACAACTCTATAAAATGGAATATTGAGAAGTCACTAAAATGTCTGGCTTTGAAAATATTTATTGGTGTGAGAAATTATCCATGATAATATTAAATGAGACGAAACCAAGAATATAAAGCTGTATACAAATTTTGATGCTAATTTCCTCTCAATTTATATATGAACATAGAAAAATTCTTCTCTGGGCTGGGTGCACTAGCTCACGCCTGTAATCCCAGCACTTTGGGAGACCAAGGTGGGTGGATCACCTGAGGTCAGGAGTTCAAGACCAGCCTGGCCAACACGGTGAAATCCCATCTCTACTAAAAATACAAAATTAGCTGGGCATGGTGGCAGGTGCCTGTAATCCCAGTTACTCAGGAGGCTGAGGAAGAAGAATCGCTTCAACCCGGGAGGCAGGGAGGTTGCAGCGAGCCAAGACCGTGCCATTGCACTCCAGCCTGGGCAACAAGAGTGAAACTCTGTCTCAAAAAAAAAATTAGGTTACTAAACCCCACCTCATAAGGGTGTTGGGAGATGTAGTGAGGGAAAAAAAGACAGCATGCGAGAGGTGGCACTGCATGCAGAGTCACAGCCGGCTGCCTGGGCATGGATCCTGGCTCAGCTTACACTGTGGTCCTAGGCAGGTCACCTGGCCCCACATTGCCTCAATGTTCTCATCTAAAAAATGGGAACATTAATGATACTTGCATCCACCCTAATACAGGCTTGTTGACGATGACAGGAGTCAACAGAGGTGAAGCATGTGAAAAATGCCTGGCACACACCAGGCACTCAGTAGAGATGAGTTTCTTGTCTTGTGATCTTTCTAGAGGGCCTTTCTTACCCTATCCTCTGCTCAGGGCCTGCCCCACTTCTCAGCCTAGCCCTGAGGCTGCTCATCTCTTCCTCATCACTTCTGATTTTACAGTCCATTACTGGTTGGCTGCCATTACTCTAGACTAAGAGTCTGCAAACTACAGCCCACAAGCCAAATCTGAGATGCTGCCTGTTTCTGTAAATAAAGTTTTATGGCAACGCAGATACACCCATTCATTTATGTACTGTCCCTGGCTGCTTCAGCCCTACAGCGGCTGCATTAAGTAGTTGTGAGACTGTATAGCCAGCAAAGCCTGAAATATTTACTACTACCTGGTCTCTTACCAGGAAAGCTTGCCGACCCCTGTTCTAGGCCAACACTGTCCAAAAAATGTATAATATAAGCTACACATGTAATTTTCTTTCTTTTTTTTTTTTTTTGAGATGGGGTCTCACTCTGTTGCACAAGCTGGAGTACAGTGGCAGGATCTCGGTTCACTGCAACCTCCTCCTCCCAGGTCCAAGCGATTCTTGTGCCTCAGACTCCCCGGTAGCTAGGATTACAGGTGCGCACCACCACGTCCAGCTAATTTTTGTATTTTTAGTAGACACGGAGTTTCACCATATTGGCCAGGATGGTCTCAAACTCCTGACCTCAAGTGATCCGCCCACCTCAGCCTTCCAAAGTGCTGGGATGACAGGGGTGAGCTACCACACCCGGCCTACATATGTAATTTCCTAGTAGCAACATTAAAAAAGGAAAAAGATACAGGTGAAAATAATTTTTATATTTCCTTTAACTCAATATTCCAAAATGCTATCATTTTATTGAGTAATAACCATAAAAAACTATGAATGAGGTACCAAAATAATGCCCGTGTCTGATGCATGCACTACGCCGCAACAGTATCTGACAGGATGCAAAGGTGAAAGTGAACTGCAGTACTTCCCAAACAGTGCAACTGTCTGTAATGGAAACATATTCCTCACTGCTTTAGCTTTTAAATGTAAATGTAAATGAAAACTAAAAGTTCAGTTCCTCAGTTGTACCAGTTACATTTCCAGTGACTACCATACTGGACAATGCCGATCTGGGCATACCCCCTCCCTACGTATACTTACGCCCCTTCCATGCACACAGCAGATGAGTTTTCACATGGCTTCATTGACATGCAAAGTGATTTTCTCTTTTCCTTTTCTTTCTTTCTTTTTTTTTTTTTTTTTTAATGGGATTTTGCTCTGTTGCCCAGGCTGGAGTGCAGTGGCATGATCATAGCTCACTGCAGCCTCAAACTCCTGAGCTCCAGCGATCCTCCCAAATCGCTGGGACTACAGGTGTGCAGCACCATGCCCAGCTAATTAAAAAAATTTTTTTTTTTTTTTGTAGAGAAAAAATAGAGAAAACTATGTTGCCTAGGCTGGTCTCAGACTTCTGGGCTCAAGCGATCCTCTTGCCTCAACCTACTAAGATGCTACAATTACAGGCGTAAGCCTCTGCCCCCAGCCTACAAGGTAATTTTCAAGGGGGAGGGAATTTTAGGTGAGGAATGGGGGCAGAGATAGTGAAAGAAATATGTGGGGAGGGGGGTGTGGATGTCCCCAGGTTCCCCTGGTGGGTTCTGAGCCCCTGGGGAGAGAGAAGTCAGAGACAGAAGCCAAGGGAACTCCTCAAAGGGATTTAATGTGACTTTGGGCTCAAGCAAAGCTGCTCTGGGGCTCAGGTGACCCGGTGCCACCCTCTGTCTACCCAGCCTCCCACCTCTGTCCAGAGTCAGAACTGCCCTGGGCCTGAGGACTGGAGGCTTCAGACTATCCAGACAACCCACCGCAAGGAGTGGCCACCCCCCGACAGTGAGGACAGGAGCGCAGCGTCTCCCAGCAGCTTCCAGGGCAGCAATGTGCCTCAGTGTGAGGCAGTGCAGGAACGCAGGAGGGGAGCAGACACCCATGGTCCCTGCGGCTAATGGTCCTGTTTGTGGGCATCTGTAAGACCGCTTAGAGGACTCCTCAGAATCACTAGGAGCCAGTCTGGGCTGCATCCAGATGAGCATAGGCTCAGAGAGGCGAAGTGGCCACCCAAGACCACTCAGCCAATGACCCCTAGTAGAAGGTCAGCAGCCAGGAGCCCCAGGGAAGGAAGGAGAGAGAGGCCTGAGCAGGAGAGAGAGCTCAGGCTATTCTCCCTCCCAGCCGGGATCAAAGCACCCTGGAGTCTGCTCTCTGATGCACTCTGGGACCCGGGCAAGCCCATTTGCTACAGAGCAGCACAGGTTAGGCACAGGCATCCTGCTAGCAGTCCTGGGACATGGTCCAGGTAATCAGTGCCCTGGCCTGTGGATTTCTCCATATTGTATCTCATCCAGGAGAGCAAAATTTGAAGAAAGCTGGGAATGGTAAATCCTTCTGCTAGGAATGAATGCTTAATGGAATAAGGAAAACTCCAAATAAGTGCCCAGGAACATCCCCGTGGAAAGGAGGGGTCATGTCAGCCAGCTCCAAGACCTTCTCAACTCATTCCTCCTTCTCAACTTGCTTGGTAGCTGAGCCCAGCTTTCTTCCCTCTGAGGCCAAATCCTACATCCTCTGCCACCCCTGTATCCTTTCTATCTGTGGTTCTTCCCAGCTCCATGGAACGTGAGAGCGAAAGCCTGCAGCCATCTCGCCCCCTGGCTCCTCGTCCCTCTAGGTACCCAGTGAGTCAGGACAACCCTGTGCTCTCCTCACCTGCTCCTCACAGCAGCTGCAGGCACCCTCCTTGGACACCGCTGTCTTCCCTGGACCAAGGTCATGGCTGGTCTGTTCATCTCACAGCTCATATGACCACACCTGCAGCAGCGGAGGTAGGTGTAGAATTGTGGCACCTCAGATGGAGCCAAAGTGGGGAGCACTTACCTAAAACAAGACTGTTTTAGGTGGATGTAGCCATATGATTGTGGGCATGTTATGTAACCACTTCATGCTTCAGTTTCCTCATCTGTAAAATGGGGATAATAAAGCATCTGCCTCACAAAGTGACTGAGGAGGGGAAATGAGTTCATATGCGTACAAGGCATGAGTTCAACGTTTGTGAGCTACCATTGTCATGAAAACCAATTTTAGCATTTTATTTGCAGCTGTGAGTTTATTTTACACTTGATCTTAGCCAGAATGCTAAGAAGTGATGGTTATGAGTTTATTTTAATATGACCTACAGAAAATTTAAAATGACCTACGGAAAATTACAATCAAGCTCATAATTTGGCAGACCTTATTGTTTAGGTCAAAGCTAAGTAAACAAATCAATGTAAACATATTTAAAGAACATAAATAAATACTAGTGTAGGTGATAGGCTAGTGTGTCATGAATTGCCAAGATGGGGCACACAGACTATTTGGGAGCTATTGATCTAGTCTGAGCCCTCTAGTTCTATAAGGAGGAAACTCTAAACAGGAAGTAGTGAGCTGAGACCTTGGTCAACAATGTAGTCACCGGCTGGGTTGGGACCAGACAGTTGCCCCATGCCCTGTCCTCCCTGTCCTGTCATTCTGCCCCCTCAACAGACTCATCAAGGTCACATTTAAATAAGTACACACAAAAGCAGCTTATGCATAGACAGCTTGTCATCAGACAGGATCACACGTAACACCCAGGTCAAATCCTCTGCCATGTCAAACAAGATAATCCCATGGAGTAAAAGCAACTCCTTTACAAAACAGGGTCAGGTGCTACTTTCTGACTCCAGGGTCAGAGAGGCTGGTGGAACTGGCTTCTCTGGCTCTGCCACTTCTTAACTGCGTGCTATGATTTGGATGTTCATTCCCCCAAATCTCATGCTGAAATTGGATCCCAGTGGTGGAGGTAAGGCCTAGTGGGAGGTGTTTGGATCATGGGGTGGATCCCTCATGAATGGCTTGGTAACCTATCCCTCAAGAGCTGGTTGTCAAAAGGAGCTTGGCACCTCCCCTCTCTCTCTTGCTCCCTCTCACACCATGGGATCTCTGAACATGCCAGCTCCTCTTTGCCCTCTACCATGAGTGGAAGCAGCCTGAAGCCCTCACCAGTAGCCAGTGCTAGTACCATGTTTCTTGTATAGCCTGCAGAACCATGAGCCAAATAAACCGCTTTTCTGTATAAATTACCCAGCCTCGCATATTACTTTATAGCAATACAAACAGATTAACACACCATGTAACCTTGGAAATGTTGCTTAATCTCTCTGTGCTTCTGTTTTCAGATGTACAAACTGAGATAAGAGGTGGTAAATCTAGTGCACAGAATGTGAGGATTAAATGTGAGTTTCCTTTCTTCTTCCTCTAAGAGCAAGAGCAAGTACCTCCCGCCAAAGATATGGGAGAATCCTTACGTAGGAAGCTCTTTATCTATCTGTGAGTTCACCCATCACTCTCTGACTACAAAACCTTCAGCCACTCCCTGTTTCTTACCACTGCAAATCTGCAGGCCTCAACAATGTGGCCCCTTCCCATCAAGCCAACTTTATCTCCTTGGTCCCTAACACTTGTCCTAGCATATCCCATGCTCCCTCATGGCCCCATGGACAAGATGCATCCATACTGACTCCCAACCCCTGTACCATTTTCTTCCCCACATTGGTGTATAGACTGATCTTGCAAAAACCCACATCTAATTAACCTTCCTCCTGAAAGCCTCTGCACAATTCACCCTTTCCTGTGGAATAAAGTCCAAACTCCCTACCACTGCAGTCACAGTCTCTCATCATCTAACCCCATTCCCTCTCCTGTAGTCATCCTTAGTTATCCATAATTCTCTCCCCACAGCACAGGCACACATGTGTACACACACACACACACACACACACACACACACACACACACACACGAGTCTACACTCAAGCCAGTCAGGTCCGCTCACTGTTCCTTCAATAGCTTGGGCTCCTTTGCACCTGCATATTTGTGCACTAGCTGCTTTTTATCCCTGGAACACTGCATTCCTTTCTTTGCTGGGTAAATGCCTTCTAACCCCTTAGCACTTTGCTGAAACAGAGCATTTTGTTTTGCAAACTCCCACCTCCACTCATCCCTTGCAGCTTAGGTGACTAAGTCCTGGCCAATAAGATGTAAGTGAAAATCACTGGGTGGAACTACCAAGAAGGCTCATTGAAAGGAGCACAGATGGCTGCATGGCCTTTCCACCTTTTTCTAGTTTTTTTATATATAATGGATGTGATGGCTGGTGCTCCAGCAGCCATCTTAGACACAAGGTCACCTTCAGAATGAAAATCATGCTCTATGGATGGAGAGGCCAAAGAGAGAAGTTGCCTGGGAATGCTGATATTGTGGTGCTACCATATACCAAGGCTAGACTGGCTCCCTTTGGTTCTTTTATGAGAGAGGAAGATAAACTCTTATGTGTTTAAGCCACTGTTATTTTAGTTTGTTGTTATATGCAGAAAATCGAATCCTAGCCAATATAACAGACATACAAGTCATTTCCTGATTTGGCTCCTACACACCTCTCTAGCCACACATTTCCCCTCCCCACCCCCAAACCCCATACTCCACACCTACTAATCTAATTTCAGTTTCCTCAATGCATCATGCTTTTCTCAGGCATCACACCCTTCCCCCTCTCCTCCATATCCCTCCTCAGACCACCTGGGAACACCTGCTCAGCCTTCCAGACCCAGCTCAAGGAACACCTCCTCCGTGAAGCCTTTCCAGATGCACTCTCTATACTTCTCCCAGGCAGAAGTGACCATTCCTCCCACTCCGTATGCCCCCAAATATCTACCATGAACCCTCTAACATGTCATCATTTAGTCATCCACCTGTACCTCCGAGGTCCTGAGTTGCTTGAGGCAAGAGCTATTTCAATCATCTTTGTCTCCAGCATGTAGCCCAGGACCTGGGAACACTGAGCACAAGTAAAGTTGTTCAGGGAAAGTTCCCCTGAGGCAAGGTTTCATCTGGGATTCTGGCCCAAGGGGCAGGGCTATGTCCTTGGGAGAGGATGGGGGCTCCTGCAGGGCAAAAGGGCTTGCTCTTGAGCATATTCTGCCCTAGGAGGCACCAGGAAATGTCTGTTGGGTGGGTAAATGAATGTGCAACTCAACCTCCCTTCAAGCTTCTCTCTCTAGGATGCTGACTTCCTCCAGCCGTGGTGGTGCTGCCTGTCACCATCTGACCCTCTCTGCTTCCCTTCCCCTGCCATACTTAGCAGGCACTCACAGCTGGAGGCAGGAGGCTCTCAAAGTGAAGGGAAAAACTCTTAGCTGCCACCATCCTGAAACCTGCCCTCCCCACAGCCACAAAAGGCCAAGGAGCATGGAAACAGCTGCTGCAAGGAGACCAGTGAGCAGGAAGGTGGGGCAGCCTCACAGGAGCTGCCCTGACTGGGGCCTTCCCTCTAGCAGTGACCTTGACTTAGAGAAAGGACACCTTCCATGGCCACTCAAACATACACATGACAGTTTCCCTCCACCTTCATTGCATACACTGAAGACAACTGGACAGAAAATAAAGAAAGTAAGGAGAACTTCCAGAACCATAGCCAGAAATGCAGAGTAACTTAAAGTAGCTCTGTTTTAATATATTGCTTGCTTCCCCCAAGGCCCTGCAGGGATGGAAGCTGTATCCTTCAAGGGCAATGGGATGAATAGTGGGGAGAGGAGAATGTTCAGGGGATCCTGGATTCTGCTCTTTCCAATGTGAATGGCCACCATATGGAAGAACGATTGGGCCACTCTCCCAGAAAGCTAATGATCAGTGTAGCATCAGCCCACACAGGAGTGGCCTGTCATGGGAGGCTCATACACTGTGTGCCATGAAGCAGTGGACATACTCAGAATCACATGCCACCACAAAGACTTCGGGTTCTGGGAACTTGGGACCTCCTGCCTTCTGGGGCTTCTTGGAACATCCATGCAGTCTGGCCCCAAGAATGCCAATTGCTCCTGATACCTGAGCCAACTTTCTGGGCTCCCCCTGTCTCATCAGGGATGCTCTCTATCTGCAGAGCACTACAAGTGGCTCAAGCCTGGTTCTCTGACTGCTTCAAAGGTCCTTCTCTTAATCTGGTTTACCTCACTCTTCTGCCTGCTTCTTGGAGCTCAGCTTCCTATGACTGGTGCCACAAAAGTTCCTAGGGTCACACACAGAGGGGCAGAGAAGCTGATCCACTGGAGAGGCTATTAGAACAGGTGGGAGGAGGCTGCACTGTGAACCAGGGTCTGGGGCCATGCCTTTCCCACCACATCATAAGCATTAATTCATTAATTCATTCACAAAATATATATTTAATGTCTACTACATGCTAGGCATAATTCTGGGAATAAAGCAATAGAAAAAAAACATGTGATGAAATATATTCAGGGAAATATATTTTGGTTTACCAAAGTAGAAAGATTTCTGTCCTGCAGGAAGGACTCAGAATTTTTACTATGTCAGCCACAGGTACTGTGACTTGCCCAGAAGGGTCTTAGCATATAGGCCCTTTGAGGAAGAAACATCAGTGTAGAAAATTTGAAAAACGTAGAAATGCACAAAGAAGAAAATAAAAATTACTGGTAATCCAACCACTCAGAAAATACTCTTATAAACATTTTTTGTGTTTGTCACTGAAATATTTTTATATACACATCTATAACTGCATAGATGTACCCACCATAACTTACAAAACCAATTCCCACATTCTTGTGTATTTAGATTGTCTCCAGTCTCTTAATATTGCAAACAATACAGTGAAGAGCATCCTTGTAAGTAATCCTGTATTAGTCAGTTCTCATGCTGCTAATAAAGACATACCCGAGACTGGGTAATTTATAAAGGAAAGAGTTTTAATGGACTTAGTTCCACATGGCTGGGGATGCCTCACAATCATGGTGGAAGACGTAGGAAGAGCAATGGGACGGCTTACATGGTAGCAGGCAAGAGAGTTTGTGCAGGGGAACTCCCATCTATAAAACCACCAGATTTCGAGAGACTTATTCACTATCACAATGACAGTAGGGGGGAAAATGCCCCCATGATTCAATTATCTCCACCTGGCCCCACCCTTGACACGTGGGAATTATTAAAATTCAAGGTGAGTTTGAGTGGGAACACAGAGCCAAACCATAGTAGATCCTTATCCATATCAGTGATTATTTTACTAGTATAAATCCTTGAAAGGGGAACTTATAGGTAAAAATGTAGAACTATTTGCTTTTATACTGCCAAAATGCCCTTTGGATATTTGAAGCAATTTATGCTCTTAACAGTGGTTGTTTACCATGCCTGGGTCCTCACACCCTAACAAACAAACAAACAAACAAAAAACAAAAAAACCCTAAGTATTTGGTTTTTATTTTTAAAAACTGCCATTTTGATAGGTAAAAATGGTTATCTCATTATTGTAACTTGCCTTTCTTATTACTAGGCAAACTAAACTTTTCCCATGTTTATTAGGCTTTTTGAATTTCTTTCTCTATTTTATATTTATTTTGTCCATTGCTGGGGAAGAATTTTTTTAACTTTTAATTTTGCAATAATCTTAGAATTACAGGAAAATTGCAAAGATAGTGCAGAGTTTCCATATACCCTTCAAACAATTTCATCTAATGTTAACATTCTCCATAACCATGGCACAGTTCTCAAAACTAGAAATTTATTTATTTATTTAGAGACAGGGTCTTGCTCTGTTGCCCAGGCTGGAATGTAGTGGCACAATCATAGCTTACTATAACCTCAAATGGACCTAAGACTATATAGTCATGTGCTACCACGCCCAGGTAAACTAAGAAATTAACACTGGTACAATACAATGAACTAAACTCTAGACTTTATTTGGATTTCACCAATGTTTTCTTGACTGTCCTTTTTGTCTTCCAGTATCTAATCCAGGATCTGACATTGCATTTAGATGTCACATCTCCTTAACTGTCCTCTGGTCAGTGATGGATTTTAGCCTTTCCTTTTCATGATCATGATATTTTTGAAGAGTCCTGGTACAGTATTTTGTATGATGTCCCTCAATTTGGATTTGTCTTATGTTTTCTCGTGATTAAACAGGGGCTGTGGGTTTTTGGAGGAATGTCACAGAAGTGAAATGCCCTTTTCTCCATTTCTGAGGTCACGTGATACCAACAAGGTGCATTACTGGTGATGTTAACCTTGACCACTTGGTTAAGGTGATGTCCGCCAGGTTTATTAACTGTGAAGTTACTATTTTTTCCTTGCCATACTCTATTATTTGGAAGTGAGTCACTAAGTCTAGCCCACACTCCAGCGGAGGGAATTTAAGCTCCATCTGCTGGAAGGGGAGTAGTATATATCTAGAATTCTCCTGTAAACAAGATTTGCACTTTCTTCCCTTATTTATTTATTTATTCAATTATTTATTTACAACAAATGTGGTCAGATTCTTTGGGTTATAGTTCAATACTATCATTATTTATTTCGGTGCTCAAATTGTTCTAGTTTTGGCTGTTGAGAGCTCTTTCTGGTTGGCTCCTGGGTCCTTCAGACATCCTACCATCTTTTTTTGTCTTGCTTTGTTTTTTGTTTTTAAACACTTCCTTACTTTCTGGAACTACAAAATGTTTTAGGCTCATTTTTTTGTGTGTTTGCTTTTTGTTTTTCCCTGCCCAGGCCTGGAATCAGTCATTTCTCCAAGGAGTTCTGGTTCTTTTTACTAGAGAATGGTCTTTAGAGACTAAGATCTGGGCAGTGAGTGTGCCCATTTCTACTAGGGTATTATTGGTTCTAGGCTCTTTCAGCGGACAGAACTGGAAAATATATGTGTGTATACTAATCCATGCATATCTCTACTTCTGTATACTTCTATCTGTACGTATATTAAAAATACATGATATTTTTGACTCTAATCCAGCACTATAGAGTTCATTCGAGCCTTTCTAGGGCAAAAATGTTAAACCTCTAAAGCACCTCTGAATACTGTCTGGAATCTCCATTTCCCACCCAATTCTGAGCAAAAATTAAATCAAGTAGAGCATTGATTGGCTATGACTGATCCCACGGCCATCTGCCGGGACCACACGACAGCCCCAGGATGGCTCCAGCTCTGTTCCTCTGGGCCTGGAGAAAGCAACAGAGGACAGAGAACTATATGAGGACAAAGAATAAGGCAGCCTTGCCCAGAGTTCAAATCCCAGCCCTGCCACTAACTACCTCCTGGTCGATTCTTTTTCCGTAAAATGAGGGGTTAAATTAGATGCTGCATAGATCTGGTATTCTGTGATTACAGAAGGCACTCGATTCATGTTGGCTGAGTGAATGAGTGGGTAAGGAGAGGAGTTTGGCACATGCCAGGGCCCCTCTCTAGTTCAAATCCACGGTCCATCATTATCTTGAGCAGGTAATTTACCTTGCCAGGCATCAGCATTTTTTATTTTATTCTTGGTACTTCTCTGTATTTTCTAGATTTTCTACAATAAACATGTTATTTTATACTTACTAAAAGAAAACAATTAGATTTTTTAAAAAAACACAATAGCATATACCATCCTTCTCCCTAGAATTATTATCAGTAAGTACTTCACAGGCTGGCACTGAGGAGCACTGTGCTCGTGTGGATGAACTTGAACCCATGCAAGCTTCAAGTTCCTGCCATAAAGTAGGTGTTCAACAGGCACTAGTTTCTGTCCTTTCTTTTCTCTCTCCTGCTGATCCAGAAGCTACATTGTGAAACTGGTGGAAAAAGTCTTCCTCTCCCTTTTTTCCCTAGTGTGAGTGTGATGGCCATGGCAAAAAAAGTCCCTGTCAAATGAGCCCCTTTCTTTCTCACTCAGAGTTCTCCCTCCCTGGCATCCTCCGTGAAGGGCCTCCTCAAGGTGTCTTTGCAGAAATGTGGAGTGTCCACCATCAAGGAAGATGGAGGGTCCATTCCCAGGTCCCACACCTGGCTGAACACGTCTCCCAGTCCAGCATGAAGCTAAGGAGCTTATGCTCCAGGAAGCTCCTGCTCATTTTCAACCAGGGCCCAGCTATGGTTGCTCCCCTGAGCCCTCATTATCTGTGCTGAAGACCTTAGGTTGCAGGGTTTGAAGCCTCACAGAGAGCAGAGCACAGTATGTGAGCTTCAGGCTACAAGCCTCCACCCCAGCAGTCCTGGCTTAAATTCTGTTTCTCTGCCTAAGATGAATTCCTCCAGGAAACTATTCCCTTCCCTCCTTCTGAGAGGAGGGAGGAAAGACGGCTTTTAAATTACATGCTTCTTCTTATTTAAAAAAAAATGATGGAGAATTTCTGGTAGGAGGAGGGGAAATATTTTGTACTTCTAGAACCAAGAAGGCACAGACGTTCCACCACGACAGCAAAAGTCCCAAGTCCGGAAAAGCTAGCATATTCAGCAAAAGCAAAGGGAACTGAGGGCTTCTCATGAAAACAAATCTAGAAATACTTGAATTTGTTTTAAAAAATTAGGTCAGGCACGGTGGCTCATGCCTGTAATTCCAGCACTTTGGGAGGCCAAGGCAGGCGGATCATAAGGTCAGGAGATCAAGACCATCCTGGCCAACATGGTGAAACCCCGTCTCTACTAAAATATAAAAAATTAGCCAGGCATGGTGCCTGTAGTCCCAGCTACTCTGGAGGCTAAGGCAGGGGAATCACTTGAACTCAGGTGGCAGAGGTTGCAGTGAGCCGAGATCGCACCATGGTACTCTAGCCTGGCAACAGAGCAAGACTCCATCTAAAAAAAAACAAAAACGAAAACAAAAACAAAAAACCATCATTCTCAGCAAACTATTACAGGACAAAAAACCAAACACTGCATGTTCTCACTCATAGGTGGGAATTGAACAATGAGAACACTTGGACACAGGAAGGGGAACATCACATACCGGGGCCTGTCGTGGGGTGCGGGGAGTGGGGAGGGATAGCATTAGGAGATATACCTAATGTAAATGACGAGTTAATGGGTGCAGCACACCAACATGGCACATGTATACATATGTAACAAACCTGCACATTGTGCACATGTACCCTAGAACTTAAAGTATAATTAAAAAAAAAAAAAGAGAGAAACACTCTTTTCCAATAGGGATTCCAAAATCCAAATCGTGGTCCCTTGTCAGCACCATTGAGTTCCTAACCATACCTGGAGGGAATATTACAAGTCCCTTTGCACTGATGCCAAGCCTCAAATTTGTCTGCTTTCTGTATTCATACTGAAGTGAACATAAAGCCATAGGCTGATGCCACACCAGGCTGTGCTGTCAGTGAAACCCCTGAAGAAGTATACCAACAAAGATACAACAGAATAATAAAATCAAGCTTGGTCTTTTCTCCAAAAATAATTTTAAAACCTCTGGGTAGCTGGTTCTCTTCTGCTGCCTTTTTTTTCTCCCCAATTAAAAAATGTATTTTTGCACCTACACTCTTAATGTTTTATTTTTATTGTCTTTGCTTTGTTAAATAATCTATTGTGTGTTTGCATTTGTTAAATCACTTTGGTCCATTCAATAAATGTTTATTGAAGAAAAAAAATCAGCATTTTGTCATAGAGCTCACTTTCCACATGAGCTACCTTCCTTTCTAGTGGATTTACAACCCAGACCCCTGCTTCTGATGGGGCTCCTTCAAAATTATTAAAGTGCTTGACTCTTGTAATATCATGTAGGGTTGGGTTATGTCTGCCCCAATGTTGACATGAAGAAATTCCTCCCTTTCTAACCCCACGGACAGACAGCACTTAGCATCTCTCACCTGGAGCATCACTTCAGCCTCTTGACTTGTCTCCTCCCTCCTTTTCTTTACTGCAGAACTTCTCAGAACCTTTAATATCCTGATGATCTTCCAAGAGGGAAATACAACACAAAATAATATATGTATTTCCTCAACTTATTTAGTCATGAAATCTTTTATTCAAAGAACATCTGTTAATGCCTCTCAGGCCACTAGGTTCTAGGAACTCAGTTTGGGAAACCCCACCCTCTAAAATATAATCCTAACTCCTCAGTAGGCATGTGAGCCCTTCCATTGTCTGCTGTCTGCCTCCCTCCCCAGGATCATTTTTCACCTCTCTCTTATACCTCTGACATTCGCCCTAGAACTGTTTGTGGTTCCTTAAACATGCTGTCTTATTTCAAACTTCAGTGCCTTTGCATATGCTATTCCACCAGCCTAGAATGCTGTTCCCTGCTGTCCTCTGAGTTCAACACTGCCAACTCTTTGAAATGTCCCCAGCTCCCTCAGGCTGACAAAGTCACACCAGCCCCAATGTTCCTGCAGTGCTAGCTTTATGCTTATCAGCACTTCCCCAGACTATAAATGTGTTTCTCGCCTGTAAATCGTCTTGCTTCTTGCTCTCTCCTGGCCTAATTCTTCAGCTCCTATCAATCCCATTAGATTCCCATCTCCCTTTAATACATTTCCTCTTTTTTTAAAAAAAGTTACCAAGAATGAGTTTCTTAGTTGCATGAGATCAAAAAAATCCTAAATTCTACACTCAGAAAGAAGAGTTTTAAAACACTTTTAGTCCAAAAAATGCATGTTAAAAATGGCACCCCCCCTTCCCCCCAACCCCAAGCATACAGGTCTCTTTTCATAGGGGGAATCATGTTCACAGGGCCCCAGGGAAAAATGCAGCAGGATCTGCCTGGTGCCTGAGAAGCTGCACACTATGCTGACTCAGATCCAGAGAGACAGCATTACTCAGGCCAATCAGAAAGGTGGTACCCACATCCCTAGGAGCAGCCTTACCCAACTCTACTCTGCAAATGGCCTCTTCCTGGGCTTTGGGGCAGGCAGGGACAAGAGCATCAATTCCTGAACTTCCTGACCATGCCACGTTCAGAATGCTTCCTTAGAAGCCATTTCACGAAGGTTTCCAAAAGGAGGATTTTTATCTTTCAAAGTAAATGAAAGAGGATATAGTAAACTATTGCTAAACTGTCCCAGGCCCTTTGCAATCTGACTTTGCCCCTCCTTTCATCAGGGGTGGAGTCTATTTCTCCCTCCCCTGAATCTGGCTGGGCTTGATTTTTCCTTTGGTCCAAAGGATGTGGCAGAAGGGATACTGCACCAGTTCTGGCCTCTGCCTTAAGAGGCATGGCAGGCTTGCTTCCGCATTCCTGGAGTCCTGAGCCTGCCATGCCATGGAGGAGCTGGGTCTGGCCCACTGGAGGACAAGAGGTCATGCAGAGAACCAGGCTGCTCCAGCCAAGAGCTGGCACCAGGCCCCTCGATGTGAGGGAGGCTCTCTTGGACCTCCCAGCTCAGCCCCACCACCAGCTGAATGCAGCTGCAGGAGTGAGCCCAGCCAAGACCAGCAGAGAACCACCCAGCCAGAATTGTGAGAAATAATAAATCATGATTTTAAGCTACAGAGTTTGAGTGTAGTCTGTTAAGCCAGCAATAGATAATGAAACAGAAGGGAAGGCTCAGAAGCCAGCAGGGAACTCAAATGTGTCCAGTGATAGAGGATGTGGGAAGTCCCCTTGCTATAGAAAATGCAAGAGCAAGGCAGGTGCCCCTTTCACTATATATGCAAAGTACCAAGGGTATCAGAAATGCAAGTGATCAGATGCCTCCCACATAGAGATGGGCTAGGATATGCCCTTCCTGCTTCTCCCATAATGTTCCAGACAGGGCCTATTACCCTGAGACAAAGGAAGGAATTCGTTACCTGCCTACCTAAACTCCCTCCCTCCCTTTCGTCTACATTATCTGGCCCTGAACCATGACTGTGCAGAGAACAAACTACAATTAATGCTATCTTTTACCCACAAGGAGCTACAATTACTAAGTGGAGTTAAATAAAGTCACAAAGGACTTAAAAGCAGGTACGATGAAGGGAGGTCAGAAGACAGGCAGTGTAACCGTGGGCTTATTAGGGCCCAGAAAAGAAGAAGATGCAAGGCTTTTTGCTGAAGGACCCTCTGTGCTGAGCCTGGAAGGAAGAGAGGTCCCTGCAGGAAGAGATTAAGTGAAGATATTATTAAGGTTGAGGGAGTAGCAAAGGGATAGCATAAGAGCAACATCCCCCTCCCTTGCCCCAGGTAATTCCTCCCTTCAATCTGGTCTCCCTTCTTCCCTTTCCAAGGTTCCTCAAGGCCATGCCACCTAGGCTGATGGGTTTTCTTATCTCTCTACTCCCTCCTGCACCCAGCCCTAGGTTGAGTTAATTGGGAATACTAATCATTTGAGAAGAGCTACTAAGACCTGAGAATGCCCCCCAGGTAGTAGTTCCAGCCTTGGTAATTTTAAGACTCTTACAAGAAATTACTGATACTTTTAGCATCTGTTGATTGAGAAAATACACATGTGAAAATAGATATCAGTTCTCCTTATAATAATGCCCCTAGGGAATCAGCTGGGCATGGCAGCATGCGCCTGTAGTCCCAGCTACTCGGGAGGCTGAGGCAGGAGAATGTGTGAACCCGGGAGGCGGAGCTTGCAGTGAGCCGAGATCTCGCCACTGCACTCCGGCCTGGGGCACAGAGTGAGACTCCATCTGAAAAAAATAAAATAAGATAAAAAAAAAATGCCCCTAGGGGTCCAGGAGCAGGTTGAATCCACCAAAAACCACTGATGAGAGGAAATAATCAGCCAATGAAACAGACCCATGCTTTTAGAAGGGCCTTCGTTGCTTTGACCCCAAAAGACAATGAGGGAATTGCAGGATCTGAAGCTGGTATGTCAAGGAGTGGGGGGCAGGGGAGAGGCATACCCTTGGCCCACAGGTCCTACTGGGACACCACTATCCAGCTGCTCTGGGAGAGAAGCAAGGTGTCCAAATGTAAATGCCATGGCGGCTGGGCCTGGCTTGCCTAGCCACAAGTTCAAACTCTGCTCAATGCTGGACTGGTATCATGTCCCTGCCAGTTTAGAAAGCATCTAAGGCAGTTTGGAAAAGCAGTAGACTAGAAACCACTAGTTAAGTAACTTTCAGACTCAGCTACTACCTAGCTTTGGGAGTTTTTCCAAGCTTTTTGTTTTTGTTTTTGGAGACAGAGTCTTGCTCTGTTGCTCAGGCTGGTGTGCAGTGGCGCCATCTCAGCTCACTGCAGTCTCAACTTCCTGGGCTCAAGAGATCCTCCCGACTCAGCCTCCCGAGTAGTTGGGGCCACAGGCATGTGTCACCACACCTGGCTAACTTTTTATTTTTCATAGAGATGGGGGTCTCCTGATATTGCCCAGGCTAGTCTCAAACTCCTGGGCTCAAGCAGTCCTCCTACCTCAGCCTCCTAAAATGCTGGGATTACTGGCATGAACCATTGCACCTGGCCCCAAGCTTTTTTCTTTTTTTGGCTTTCATCTTCAATAAAAAGGTGATGGAGGGTGGGAATAGGAGAGGAATGCTGAACTTGCTCTCCAAGGCATTGCCAAAGTGCCAACATCCTGAGCAAATGATTCTAGTCGACTTACTGTTTCTGAGCCTCAGGCTTCTTACCTGTAAAATGGGAATGACATGTAACAATTAAATGAGATACAAGTTGTGAAAATGACAGTCACATAGCAAGTATCAATTAACATGGGTTTTTCTCTCTTCCTCCCTTCTGTCCTTACAATGACAGATGGTTCTTTCTTCCCAGTCCCATCCCCCTGCTCTTACTGAGTTGCTAATTTGACCTCTGAGTATAAAATGTGTCCACTTTTAGTGACATGAAGCTAGTCCTCCCAGAGAGAGGCATTGCCAAAGTGAGTATGATGACTTCAAACACGCTCAGAAACCCTAGGAAGCAGCTGGCAGGGTGCCCCCACTCCCTGCCCCTGGCAATGCTGGGTTCCTCTTTGGCATTTGTACAGAAGGGAACTGGCCCAAGGCAGAAGGATGGGCCTAGGCTGGTGAGGCCACCTCCCTCCAGGCCTGGCCAAAGCCAAGGCAGGCACAGACAGCAACAACCACCCATTTTGCAACAAACAGGAAACCAGTTTACCAGCCTCAAAAATAGAACAGACAAAAACCCCAAAATATGAGGCTCTGACAGTGGGGCAGCTCAGCTTTCTCACATGGCTTCCTGACAGGCTGCGGAGTATGTGTTGTTATTGTTGCTTTAAATTTCACAGGCGAAAAAGTCTTGCAATGTCTTTATAAAGGTGACCAGCCTCTGGGGCCCAAGACCAGCAGGCAGCCCAGCCAATCATGCTTCCTGCACTGCCAAGGCCCCACCTTCTCAGTCTCTGATCCAGCTACTAATGACCCCAACTGCAAGGGCCACAGAAGCCTTGATTCCTGTCATGTCCTAACAGGATTGGCCCTGACATGTCTGCAAAGTGAGTCTTCCACACCCCAGCATTGCTTTTCCTGTGGCCCCTCACCTGGTGCCATGCCACTCACCCCAAAACTGCTTCCATAGGTACCCAGAGGCCCCACTGGGCCACATGGTCCAAGAGCCACACTGACAATAGGCCTGCAGACATTCCCTCCACGTGAAGCTGGACTCATGCTGTCCCCTCTGCCAAGAACAGTGTTCCTTGCCTGGTACACTCTCCTCAGAAGCAATCATACTGGAATGACATGGTTAGAACAGCAATGTTGCTAAGGACTATGTCACACAAACTCCCCTTGTTGAGGGATCACGGGGAAAATGTATCTTAGGTCTTAGCCCCAGGGAAAGCTGTGCACATCCTGGGCACTGGGTGCATTTTTAATCCTCTGGACATGATGACTAAGAACCGCCTATCGATTATGTTCCCTTTTTGTCTTCATTGTTAGGAAGCACAGTGCCAAACCTGTTCATCACCTCTAGCAGGTTTATGTCCTAACCTGTCCATGGCTTTATTTTAGTTTCTCCTCTTATTTTCCCTTGCATATTATTTCTTTATTAAATTTATTTTACCTTAATGTAGAATGTATATGATCTCAAATCTTTATTTGGAATAAAGTGAGGTATACATAAATAACTGAGCAAACAGCTCCTACTTACTCTGTAAAACCCACTTCGAATGTCCCCACCTCCGATTTCTGCCTAACGACTCCACAAAGGTGGGCTTCCCTCCCCAGTGGTCCCACAGCCCCTGCCTGTACCTGCCTGGATTCACACTCACCCACAGTTCTGTATTTTACTGTTTTCATGGCTCTCCCCACCAACCGACAGAAGGTTCCTGTGTGAAAGCTAAAAGCCCGCCCTCTGCCAAAATCTGCCCAGTGCTGCAGGCACACGGGCTTGTTTAATCCTCAAGACAAACCTGCCAGATAAGGCTGGCTGTGCCCATTTTACAGCTGAAGCAACTGGAGCTAGCCACCACCAGGTGCTCATTCAAGGTCATGTACTATTGAGTGGCAGAACTGATACAGAAGGCTTATCTCCCTAAGGTCACCCAAGACATGAAAAAGAGTTTTTATGTGAAAGAGAGAAAAGGAGAGAGAGGGAAGGGATTTAGATTTCCTTAGATTATCAAATCATTCACTGCAGATGTCAAAGTCATCTGCATCACTGGAACCATTTAAAATATGGCTTGATTCATAACAATTTATCCTCTACGACTATCTAGAAAAATCTACATGTATTTAATTGTGGCAGACTCATGCTGACCCTCCAATAGGCTGGTCAGAGCAAGTGGATTAGAGGAGTTACTCACATGCTAGATTGTTTTAGAGCATCTCCTATCCTCACTCCCTCACCCACTGTGTATACACACATTTTTAAATCCTGGTAAGTAGTTACAGGAAAAAAAATATATACTCAGAAGACAAGAGCTAATTCTGCAAGAAGCTTCTAGGAGAAAACAAAGCCTACTTTCCCGGTAGGCAAGTGCACATGACCCATGAGGCCAATCATTACCCTGGCTTTACAGTGTACAGACAATTAAACTACATGAAATGGCCGGGCGCGGTGGCTCACACCTGTAATCTCAGCACTTTGGGAGGCTGAGGCGGGCACATCGCCTGAGGTCAGAAGTTCGAGACCAGCCTGGCCAACATGGGGAAACCCCATCTCTACTGAAAATACAAAAATTAGCCAAGCTTGGTGGTGCGTGCCTATAATCCCAGCTACTCGGGAGACTGAGGCAGGAGAATTGCTTGAACCCAGGAGGCGGAAGTTGCCAGGAGCCGAGATTATGCCACTGCATTCTAGCCTAGGCAACAGAGTAAGACTCCCTCTCAAGACAAATTTAAAAATAAAAAATCAACTACATGAAACAATTTTTAATATTCCAATTGAGAACCCACTTGGCCTGAGGCCTTTAAATCAAAGTGGCCACTGGTATCTACACGTGCCCTTCCATGGAATGAGGAAGGCAGGACAACAGAGGCTGCTAGGGTCTGGGTTCAAATGGCCTTGGGCAAGCTGGGGGCTCTCCCTCTGCCCCTCGTTTACATGCGTGTGCGTGGGAGATGATAATGACACCACCTCTTAGGGTTGCAGTGAGGACGAAGCTGGCACAGGGATAATGTTGAATAAATCACTGCATCCCAGGCAAGAGGATACGTGACCAAGAGCTGGAGTCCTCTTTGTAGACCTTGTGTTCTTCCATTTTAAAATGAGAACAAGAGCCAGAGAGAAGGGAATAAGGCATAAGCTATGAATGGACGGGAAGGAGAAAGATTTCTGACCCACCTCTTCACAAAAGCAGCCCTTCCATCCTGATGGAGAGCACCTCTTTTGGGGGTCTGATTTGTGTCTCTCAGGCCACCTTACGCCTTGTGTTCTGTGTGTGTGTGTACACGTGCACGCACACACATCTCCTCTGTAAAGCTCATGCACCCAGGTCCTGAGCCTGATTCCCCCCACTCCCTCCCGTGTCTGGTACGTGGTTGAGATCAGTAAGCACAGGTTGAGTAAATCACAATGGTAGAAGCAGTACCAGCTGAGGCACAGAAGGGATCTTCAAATGTCAGTTCTCTTTGTCCTCCTTGCCAGATGAGGCCCCCAGAGCCTGCCCTCTGCCTTCCTTCCTGAATGTTCCAGGGACTCCCCTCTGCTCTCCAGACAAACACCCTCACTCTGCCACCAAGGCCCCTCTCAGCCTGCACCAGCAGCCACCCCCCAGGGCTGCCCCCTTATCATCCCCTCTCTTCCTGTTGACAGCCTTGGATGACATAACCTTAGGAGACCCAGCCACGGATCAACCTGACTACACAGCGTGGGCATGGTAGGGGAATAGGTGATTCAAAGATTTCCTGGGTGTGGTCCCCTGCCCTCTCCCTTCACCCCCTCTGAAGCATGTCACAGTGGTTGACAGATTGAAGGCCCAGCCCCGGCATGGAGCCCCTGCTATGCCACTTACACTCTTCTGGACCTTGGGAAGACAACTTCACCTCCATAAGCCTCCATTTCTTATGTGTGAATGGGGGTAAGAAGAGCATGGATGCATTTCACCTGCCTCTGAAGGTTGTCACTAGAATGAGAAGCACTGATCTCCACCCGGCACATGGCGAGGGCCAGCGCAGGTGGCTCCGTCCCAGCACCATGATGAGTAAAAGCTGAGCAGGAAGGGGGAAACTGTGCTTCCCCTCTGTGGCACTCCAGTGGGCAAGGAGGCCTTGGAAGGCGCAGGGCCGGGGCCAGCGGGACCACTCAGGCTCACCTGGGACTCCAGAGGGAAGGGGCATCTCAGGACGACTCCACAGGGTAGGGGGCTCCTAGCTCAACATCTTCCCTGCTTTACCCAAGAGAGGTCAAGACGACAGGACTGAGAGTATGATGTGCTCGCCACCCCTTGCCCTCACCCCACGCCCCACCCACACAGCCCCTACACCTTCAGGAGGATGGGATGAGTCATCATTAGGTCACTGGGTCATCGAGTAAGCAGTGGGGGCCACAGGGTGCAGTTTCCTCCCTTCCTCCCCGCCCAGCCCACCTACGGCTCTCCTCCTACTCTCTGCCCCCGCTACTTTCCTGTGCTCTGATGTGGGAGGGATATCGCTCATTGACAGGTTTCAAAACTAAAAGTAGAGCGCATTTAGTCTTCTCCTGTGGCTGAGCTCAGCTCCCAGCTCCCAGAACTTTGCCATGCTGCTGCAGGGCCGGCATGCCCCCTCCTCACCCTCACGGGGAGGGCCCCCATGGTGTTAGCCAGGGCTCAAGAATGAAGCTAGGACAGGAGGGGCAGAAGACGATGAAGGGAAGTGCAAACATATGACCCTGTCATCTGTTAGGCCTTGAGGTAGATCCTGGGACCCCAGACGACAGAAGAGTGGAAGGGAAATCAGAAACCAGCATACTTCACCTGTCTGGAGTGCCAGACCCTGCCAGGTACAGAGAGAGAGACAGAGGGAGTGAGGGAAGGAGGGACCTGTATGGAGACTGAATTACAGGGCAGACACAGGATCCCTACAGAATCCTGCCAGGCAGTTGTTCCAATGTGTAGCGATAAGCAGTGACAGGGCAGAAATGGGAGGCGATTTTCCCAGCCTGTCACCTCCAGCAAGGTGTGAGCCAGAATGCACACGCAGGCCTGCGTGTCTCTGGGGCTGATGACAGAGTCACAAGGAAACAGATCTCCATAGCACAGCGTGGAAAGGGCCAATGCTGTTGGGTGAAAGATGCTCTGGGAGGTCAAGAGAAGGGCCAATTAACCCCATCTGGGGAAGCATTTCATGACGGTTGTGATGCTTGCCCTGGATCTGAACAGCACATGCATGGGAATAGGTCAGGAAGTCAAGGGGACAAAGATCAGGGCAAAGGCACCAAGGTGTGTAGTCATGATGGGGGGCAGGGGGAAGGCATCAGGAGGCTCCAGCCAAGGAGGAGGCTGTGAAGGAGGCACTCAGCAGCCCATGCTGACTTTCCTTATAACTTGGACCCCAGAAGTCACTGCTATTTCCAGAAAATTAGAGTCACAAATCTGATAATATTATCAACCACTAACAGGGCATCCACTATGGGCTAGACATTGTCCTAAGCACTTCATAAACACTACCCCCATTTAATCTTCACAACAACCCTATAAAGTAAGATTACTACCCCCATTTGGTAGAGATCAAGAACTAGGCCCAAAGAGGTTGACTCACTTGCCCAAGGCACACACCTCTACAAGGGGTGGGGCTGGACTTGAACCTGAGGCTCCAGAGGGCATGCTCTCCTGACCACTCAGCTGGGTTGCCCCAAAGACCACAAAATGCCTTTCCTGCTCCCCAGAAGGTCCAGTTCATCCTCTCCACTAGGCTGCAGGCATCTCCAGAGCAGGGCTGTGTCCTCTCCTCCTTCTATTGAGTTCCCCTACCTGAGCCTGGCCTTTGTAAAGAAATTTGACAGGCACATCATGACAGGCAGAATCCAGGGGAAGAAAGCACTTGTCACAGTCCAGTTTGGGCTGGGAACCAACAATTTGTTGACTTAATCAGGCAGATGCAAAAAGGTGTTGTCATGGTGGCAAGCTTTCTATTCCAGGCGGCCAGGCCATAATTAAATGTCCTGACCTGCACACCTCCAATTACAGCACAAGAGCTGGTTTCCCAGGCCTGTTAACTAGCAATTATAGAACCTTCCAGTGAAATTCCAAATCACTTAGTAAAGGTCAACTTCCTTTATTTATTTTTCAGATTTGGGGGTAGAAGTGAAATGGAATTATTGCCCAAATTATGTGTGACATCCATTACTTAAAATAGGTTTATTCAAACGGCCCATATGGAGCAAGGGATGGAGCCTGCAGTTCTTACAAGTTGTTATAAGGGATCTCATTTATGGAGCACCTGCTATGTGGCAGGCAAAACCACAGTGGCTTTAAATGTGTTCTATGATTTAATTCTTATAATAAACTTAAGAGGTAGGAATTACTATTTCCATTTTGAAAAGGAGTAAACTGAAGATCAGAAAAGTTAAGTAACCTTCCCAGGGTCATACAGCTGATGCTTCAGAATTCAGGATTTACAGCCAGGTCTGTCTGCCTCTGGACACCAGGCTCTTCCCATTACTAGGTGGTCTCAAGCTAAGTAACACAATTTGGGGTTCAGAGCACAGCTCCTATGTGTTGTGCAAGGAGTGCTGAGACCTAAAATATTCCCTTCTCCTGGCCTATCCATGAAGGCACAGTTGAGGCACAGGTCTCTTCCAGCCTCTGGGATGGTTACCATGTTAGGGTTAATAACCCTTCATTGTTGACGGCTCAGACAGCTTTTTATATTGATAAGAGAGACTTGGAACAGTGTGAGGACAGTAGGCCTTCAGAACAGAAACAGGTGGTACCAAAGACACGGTCTTCATGCCATCACTTGCCACGTGATGCCCATGGCAGGTGCCACTAATCAACAGTGACCCCAGGCTCCTTCTCAATACAGGTGATTCTTCCAATGCATTGAACTGGCCCAGGAGATGCAAATTGTTTTCTCTCTCTGTCTTAGATATATGGTGACCATATTTTCTGCATGCAAAATTCTGACATGTAATTCAACTGAAGATTATTTCCCTGATTTATGAATTTATTTATGCTTTACAAAAGCTAAAGTCAAATCACATTCCCCCATATATTTAACAAATCACTTTTAATGAAAAGAATAAATGCCCCTTAATCAGAATTGTCCCAGATGATCTAGGCCATATGGTTGTTACAGTTGACTGTGGGTGCAGATCCTGGGCCTGTGCACAAAAAGACACTCAGTAAACACATGGGGAACAAGTGAATGGGAGGAGGGTTCAGATGAAAGAAAAAGGGGAAGGTCCCTGAGAATAAATCTGCTGACATCACCATCTCGCCGAGTCCATGCTTGACTGGGGACTTTCCTGAAGCTATAAATTACTTTTCAATGTCTCATTCCAGGAGAGAAATATCCAAACGACATGTCCATCTGATGAAGAGAACAGTGTACATGCACACACCAGATGCATGTGGGTGCAGCTGCCCAAATTGCAGCCAGTCAAGTTTTATACCTGACTGGCATAAAACTTAATCAGGCTCCAGTGTTCAGGGCCAAAAGCCACAACAAACATTTCAAAGTCAGGCCTCACCCTCCATCTCACAGATAGTCCCCCAGCTGCCCACAAGACCTGGACTGATTGGGTAATTGTAGAAATCCACATCCAAGAGGTTGAAATGGCAGAACTGCTATGAAGCTTGTCCCAGTTTTTCGATTCTGCCTTCAGGCAGCAACAATCCTTTCAGTTGCTTATCTCAAATAACTAAGTCACCTCCACTGAAGAAGTGCGATCAACCACTTGTAAGAAAGCAAAACTCCACAAGCATCCTAGCATCAGGGCCCACTAGTTGACTCCAGGATGAGTGCAATGATCTCTCCTGGGTACCAAGAAGACTCCATCCAGAGAGAGGGCAGATAACAAATGTCCATCTTAGGTCCCTTGCCCCCCATCCACCATCTCCTAGTCCCTGGGACCTCCATCTAAGAGGAGAAGCACCAGCCTTGGCAATGGAAGCCCACACCAGTAGGGGCTGGCCCCACACTGATCCTGGTAGGTTCATGCTTATGCTTCTGCCTCATGCTGAACTAGTGCATGCCTCAGCCCTTTGGAACCCCTTGGAGCTCTCCAAGGTACTGACCCTCATTCCTGGCTGGGCCCCTAAAAACAGTGTCATGGTGAAATGTGGTTATTTTGAGTTTATATATGGTTACAGTCTTTTAAAAAGAATCAATTCAAAATAAATTTGGCTTCACTGTTGTACCTCATTTTAAGAAGTAGTTTTCTAACTTTTCACCTCCAATTTATAGTGTGGATCTCTTTAAGAAGCCAGGTGGCCTATGTGGCATGTGGCTTATGGATTTGCCTGTAATGGCCCTGAAGCCTTTGACATCACCAAGTCCTCACTCCTTTGGATCTTGCCTGTCCTATTTCTTGGCCTTGTGCCCTTCCCAATCCCTTCCTATCAACTGCAGACTCCTAGGATGCCCTTTTCCAGCCCTTACAGGGCACTATGATTGTTTATTGACCAGTTTATTTCCCCCATTGGCCTGAGTCCTCCAATGACCAGATTTTTTTTTTTTTTGTACCTAATGCAGGGTTTGTGTCACCTGGGTCCTCAGTTGGTGTTTATTGCCCAGTGGGCAGCTAGTGAATAGTCTCCTGGGTGTGACCCAGGAGATCTTCCATCTCTTAAGCCCTTGGCTTTTCCTACTCCCCAAGGCCCACTCTGGCAGCCAGCCAGGTGTGCTGTCCTCCCAATGGTAGGAACAGTGGTCTGTGCTAGTCTCCTGCTCATAAGAAACTTCAGGATCCATGTCTTCTGCTTGCTTGTTTGTTGTATTTCCTAGAGGAAAACAGTCTGGTGTTAACCTTGGGTTTTACTGGCTACCTCACCCCATAGAAACACAACAATAACAACGAATGCTTCTTTGAACACCATTTTTCACTATTCTAAGCATTTTATATGCATTAATTATCAGTTACATTTGCTGTTAGGCAAATGCTACCACATCCTCTTTTTACAGATAATGAGGCAGACAGAGAGGTTATGTGACTCACTTGGGGCCGCCCAGCTGGTTAGTGACGGGCCCAGAGCACCCTCCAGAGACACTGTCCTGAACCATCGTGCTGTGCTGCCACCCACTGAGCTTGGAGCACCACGGGGAGGGGGTGGGGAAAGGCGAAACGTCAGGAGAGGGTGAGAAATGGGAATTTGGAGGCATAAAGTCAGGAAAAGGTTGAGTCCTTTTTATAATAAATTCCTAAAAGAGGGAATACGAAAATCGCAGTTGCTGTAGTTGTACAGATGAGTCCTTATCTAACTCCATACAATTAATATAAAGAACCATATAATTAATTTACAACTGGAAAAAAAAATACTTTATTCTAAAGATGAGCAAGCAGAGGCCCAGAGAAGCCCCCGAGTGCCCAAGTTACAAAGAAGAGTGTCCAGAGGCACTGGCTTAAGAAGACAGAAGGCACTCAGTTGAACCATTTTTACAATGGTATAAAGAACCCCCAAGGTGATATTTTAATAAACAAAATGACCCAGGTCATTAATCTCTCTGCTGCTTTGAGACATACACAGGTGCTCCCAGGGCTGAGGCTGTGGAATCCCAGCCAGCTATCCTCTAGGGGGAGCTAGAGGCAGTCCTTCCCTTTAAACAGGGCCTTCATTAAGCAAACTTAACAAACACGAGGAGCACAAACAGAAACCTCTTTCTCAGCTTGCAACGGACAGATGTTTAATAAGATGCCATGGGCCGGGTGCAGTGGCTCATGCCTGTAATTCCAGCATTTGGGGAGGCTGAGGAGGGAGGATCGCTTAGGGCCAGGAGTTCAAGGCTGCAGTGAGCTATGACCATGTCGCTGCACTCCAGCCTGGAGAACAGAGCAAGACTGTCTTAAAAACAAAACAAAACAACAACAAAAACAAAAAAATAAATAAGATGTCATGGATATGGAATAAATAGAGGATAAAGCCCACTGAGGAAATGCCTGAATTCTAGACAATCTCAGCAGCTTTCTTGCATTCCTCTGGAATGACTGGGCCACATCTGTATTGTGTTCCCATCTGGACACTTCATTTTAAGAGTGATAGTGACGCATTTATCCTGGGAAGGGAAATTAGCAAATACCAAGGCTGGTAGGGGGTGGGGGGGGACCTGGGCTGCTCACCCCAGAGAAGACTGGCCAGCTGGGCTGCGAAGCCACCACTCCAACAGTTCCCTGTCTGTGAAAAACAGAGTGTCCCCTTCCCTGAGGGTGCACTCCTCCTTGGGGGTGGGGGGACAGATAAGTTAGAACTGCCAAGGTTCTCTGCTCCTTAAATGCAGCCTAGCAGGATGGGTGGAGGGGGTGGGGGGCGGTCCTTGCAGCACTCAGAGCCAAGCGCTTTCTGGACCTGGTAAAGTGCCTATGCACTCTGGGGCCT
Organism: Homo sapiens; assembly: GCF_000001405.40. Lineage (NCBI taxonomy): Eukaryota > Metazoa > Chordata > Mammalia > Primates > Hominidae > Homo > Homo sapiens. The sequence goes on from NC_000001.11 coordinate 41,812,963, forward strand.
CTGAGACTCCTACAGCAAGAAGGACCTTAGCTGTCTCCAGGCCCTGATCCAACCACTTCATTTCATTTTATCTATTTTATTTTATTTTATTTTTGAGATGGAGTCTTGCTCTGAAGCCTAGGCTGGAGTGCAGTGGTGCGATCTTGGCTCACTGCAACCTCTGCCTCCCAAGTTCAAGCGATTCTTCTGCCTCAGCCTCCCAAACAACCCCTTCATTTTCGAGATGAGGGCTCTGAGGCTCTGGGTTCCATGGCCAGTAAGAAGCAGAAGTGGGACTGGAGTCCAGTCATGCAGCCCCCCATCACCCTATCTAGTCCTCTTGCCATTTGGCCCACAGCCTCCACCAGCAGGAGCAACACTAGGCGCCAATCTTGCCCTGTCTTTCTGGTGATCTGGAAACAGTCCTATCATGGCAGCTGGAAAACAGTGGCTCACACTGCTGCCAGGCAATGTTCACCAGCTGGTCCTCCTCCCAAACACACTGGCAAGACCTAGTGACACACAGGGTGCCTGAGAGACTGTGCACCCACATACCGCCTTGCAATTGTCCATCCCCAGCCATTAACAGGTGCGACTTCTCTCCGCAGGACCACAGTGGATAGAAATCTCTGTGGAAATCTCCTCTTGGCTGCTAGCCATAGAGGACAGATCTTCTACGCCAAAGGGAGAAGGCTGAGAACCATAAAGCCATCAAGTAGGAGGGACCATGCAGTGCTCTCTGATGCCCAATATGTAACCATAATACATGAGAGACCATTAAAGGAGAAGAGCTGGGGAACCCCACCCCTGCCCCATGCCATACAACTCTTCCTAAACACAGGGTCTTCACAGCCAGCCTCGACAAGAGACACATGTAGAAGGGAACCATGACTAGCCATTCCACAGACCAGACCAGCACAGCCTGTTGTGGTGGAGACAGTAGCTTCTTCCCCAACCATTCAGCACTGCGGCCTGGGCTTCCTCACCTACAGATGTCTAGGGCTCTGATGCCTTCCTGTAGTTACCCACAGCAGCCCACAGCACTGCCCTTTCTCAATCTCAGCCTCCTCCCCACCCCTACACGGTCCATCCTCCAGTGGTGGGGGCTTCATCTCCTGATGGTCTTGACCTTGGGCACTCTTATCTTGCTGTCCAAGGGAAATCCCCAGAAGACACTGAGTAATGAGAGCTGAGAGAATGGGACCTTGCTTTTAGGCCATGGGTGAAATTCAAGCCCCAGTACGTCATGTCTGTGAGGCTTGTGGAAAGCTGGCTTCTGAGTGAGTGTCCCTCAGCCAGCACTCAGCAGACATTTATCTGGCATGACCTCTGCGCTCACACTGCCAGGGCTGGAGTGCAGAGCCACAGGAGAGTGGGGTCACGTGGGGACAGTTCTTCCCCTCTCCCTACCCTGTGCTGTATGAACTATATCCATCACCTCTTTTAGCTCTCATGCCACCATGGTGGTTGGTATGTTCCCATTCCACATATGAGTAAATGTAGACCCATGAGGGTTAAGGGAATGGCCCAAAGTCACATGGCTAAGATGCAGAACCAGAACTTGAATGCAGGCCCGGCTTCCCTAAGGCTAGTGCCTGCCACCAGATTATAGCCATGAATCTTGCATAACCTGGGTGAAACGCTTTTCCAAACTCTATTTCAAAATTATGAGTTGGCCTAAAATATGACTCCCACAGCATGCTAATCTTGTAATTACTATTCATTTATGACCACTCTCCATTGCATTTGCAACTGAAAGCTTTATTATGCATTAGTGTGTTTCGGTTCCACAAATATTTATGTTTCCATTCCACAGGTAAGAATAGGTACCCAAGAAATTCTTTTCCCCATTTTAAAATGGAGAGTTGCTCCTTTATGAAAGCATTCCTTTCAGTGAATCCATTTATTCAACTGCCCATTGATTCAAAAGCATTTACTGAGTGTAAAAGGCATACACGTTATATGCATGATATGCAAAATCAGCACTGCTCTGGGTTTTGGAGATACAGCAGTAATCAGGACAGATAAGGTTCCTGCTAAAATCAAACTTAGGTTCTAGCAGAGGAGACAGACAGTAAATAAGTAAATAAATAAATAAGATGGTTCAGGTAAGAGGTGCTATGAAGAAAGTAAAACAGGATGGCCTGGGGATGTAATAAGAGGTAACATCTGAACTGATACCTGTTACCTGCTGACTGAAAAGAAGTCAGCCATATAAAGATTAGGTGAAAGAAAGTTCTAGGCAGAAGGGGGTCAGGTGCAGTGGCTCATGTCTGTAATTCCAGCATTTTGGGAAGCTGAGGTGGGAGGTTACTTGAAGCCAGGAGTTCAAGACCTGCCTGGGCAACATAGTGGGACCCTTTCTCTACAAAAAATAAAAATTAGCTGGGCATGGTGGTGCATGCCTGCAGCCCCAGCTATTCAGGAGGCTGAAACAAGAGGATGGCTTGAGCCAGGAGTTTGAGGCTGCAGTGAGCTATGATCACACCACCGCACTCCAGCCTGGGTGATAGAGTGAGACCCTGTCTCAAAAAAAGAAAGAAAAAAAGAGAAAAGAAAAGAAAGTTCTAGACAGAAGGAACAACAAGTACAAAGCCCCTGAGGTAGGAATGGGAATGGTCACAGCCAGTGTTAATGGGACCTAGACAGTTCAAAGGGAAGCAGGGGAAGATAGGGAGGCTGACCCATAACAGGCCTCAGAGGCCCATGGAGGAGGCTTAGCTTTTATCCTAGTGGCATGTGGAGAACCAGGCATGAAAACACATATCATGAATCGCCAACAAGTGCCGTAGGAATCGATGCTTTTTTATTGTTTTTTTTTTTTTTATTGTTGTTGTTGTTTTTTGAGACAGAAGTCTCTCTCTGTTGCCCAAGCCGGAGTGCAGTGGTGGGATCTCGGCCCACTGCAACCCCTGCCTCCTGGGTTCAAGCAATCCTCCTGTCTCAGCCTCCTGAGTAGCTGGAGAACCACATCCCCAAAACTTAGAAATCAGATTGCCTTCAGAATTAAACCACTGAAGCCCACGTGCCGTTGATGCAATTAGTCACCTGTTGGTTCTGGAGTAAGTCCCCAAAGAGCTGTGGAGCATCCTAAACTAATCAAGGTGGCCTTGGAAGCAGGGCCAGTATTAGTATGTAGAAAGTGGCAGTACCAGCATTTGAACCCAGTTCAGCCTGACTCCACAATCCCAAGTCTTGTCCACTCCAGCCTCTCAGTAGCTTCCATAAAGCTTAGACACATAGCACACATAAAGATAACATGGAGAACTGTTGCCAGCATTGAACAGAAAGCACATTCTTGTGTGGCATTTTGCTTATGGCACAATCGGGGTGGGTACATGGAAGGCAGCCATGGAGTAGGCCATTCAAACCTGGTGAAACAAGAAGTTTAAGTGTTTCTCTTATTTCAGATCAAACCCAGAAGGCAAATTTTCATTAACTAACAACTAAAGGCATCTGTTACGGCTGGGTGCAGTGGCACACTCCTGTAATCCCAGCACTTTGGGAGGTCGAGGTGGGTAGATTACTTGAGGTCAGGAGTTTGAGACCAGCCTGGCCAACATGGTGAAACCCCATCTCTACCAAAAATACAAAAATTAGCCAGGCATGGTGGCGTAATCCCAGCTACTCAGGAGGCTGAGACATGAGGATTGCTTGAACCCAGGAGGCAGGAGTTGCAGTGGGCTGAGATCCCACCACTGCACTCCAGCCTGGGCAACAGAAGGAGACTTCAGCCTCAAACAAAACAAAACAAAACAAAACAAAAACATAGCATCTATTCTTACAGCATTTGTTGGTGATTCACGATATGTGTTTTTATGTGTGGTTCTCCTGCAAGCCCCATGAGAAAGAAGGGCTACAAACTTGCATTCCTAACACACCACTTGCTTCATCTTGCCATGCTCTTGCCCTCTGCTAGCACTGTCCACCTGGAAAACTCGTCCCCACCCTTCCAGATTCAGCTCAAGTGTCAGCTCCCATAAGATGTCTTCCTGACCATCTCTACCCACTTTTAGGCCAAATCAATCACTTCTAAGCACATCTTTTTGATCAACTCATCACACTGGATGCATCTGGTGGCTTAAATGTCTGCCCCTTCCTAAAGTGAGCAAATGAAGAGCAGGGATTACATCACTCACTGAGGAATTGCTGGTGCCCATCATAGCACTTAACACATAGTAGGCATTTACTGAATGCTTATTGAGGAGCCCGCTGCTGGCTGAGTAAGGTTTTCTTGCTACTGCTGATAAATGGCAAAGCTGAGACCCACATCCAAGCCTTAGACCACATTTTTCGGCCATGAGAAATGGCTATATAAAAGTAGCTAGGTCAGGACAAAGGTGATGGAGACATCAGACAGACAATAATTTGGGGTGGAGGGAAGTGATGCAGAGAGGAGGATGGATCAAAGGAGTTGCAATGAAACCTGACACAGCAGGGAAAAAAGGATGGGGCCGGATGGGGCAGGACATGGCAGAAAACGGGGTGGAAGTGAGCCAGAGGTGAATTACCTGAGGTTCCTTACGTGGGATGCTGGAGAAATGAGGACACTGCCTGCTGCATGGCTAGGCTGAGCAGGGGATGTGGGCACACTGAGGAAGTTTTCTTCACATATTCATCTTGGGTTGTCAGTGGGATCCCAGGTCACCAGGAGGACCTGTGGTTCAATGCTCCATTTAGAGGTATGTTTAACTTCTGATAATTACAGCCAGGAAGGTGACAGTTACCCCTTGCTAAGGTGGACGAGGAGAAATGAGAGCTTCCAACAGCTCCAGAAAAGGTCTTTTACAAATCACAAATCCTCACCCTTTAGGCATCAACATGGCTTCTGAAGCACTACTGGGAGGTTACCTTGTGCAATTTCTGGAGATGCACTACTCCCTCTCTTTCCAAATACCCACAGGCTGCCTTGACTGAGTGCAGAACTGCCCTCTTTGAAGAAAGCAGGTGGGGAGGGAGGAACACTATGGAAAGAGCATGAACTCCTGAGGGAGACTGGCCTGGGTTCCAATCCTGATTCCACCCTCTTGAGCTGAGTGACTAGGGGCCAGCTCTACTGTCCAGTCAAGGACACCTCAGCAATGTCACAGGCATATGAAGACTGGGAGAAGGCATCTGCGATGTCTAAACACAACATACCATCAATTTCTAGAATATACAAGGAACTCCAGAAAGCCAATCAGAAAAGGACAGGAAACTCAATTTAAAAAATGGCAAAGCATATGAATAGGCAATTCATGGAAGGGAGAATCCAAGTGGGTAACAGCGTATGAAGAGACCTTCAAATGTACTAGTAATTCAAAAACCCAAACTAAACACAACAAAATACTAATAAACTCCCACAGGTAAATATTAATAATGCCTGTGTTGGTGAGCAGGGTGCAAAGATTCCTGTTTCTTCGTGTCCTGCTGGTGGGAGTTCAAATGGATTCAGCCGTTCTGGAAAACAGTCTGCAGTATATAGTATTTCTTCTTTGTGACCCAGAAAGCTCACTCCCAGATGTAAATCCCTGGGGGCGGGGGCATTGATGAAGAAATGTGTTCAAGTATTGTTTCTCTTAGCAAGGACTGAAAGCAACCCAAGTGCTTTAGACTAGGGGTGAGGATAAGAAGAGGTTATGGGGGGATGTGAAACACCATTGAAACACCACGCAGTCATTGGAAGCAGTGGCCTGAAAGTACAAGGTTGTGGGGACATTGGACATACCATACCGAATGAAAACGAACCCAGTCAGTAGCAGATGATATTATTATTCCCGTCTATAGGAGGAAATAGGTATTCACATTTAGCACACTAGCCCATGCACTGTGGAGATTTAATAAATGCTGGTTCTCTCCCCCTTGTGCATTCCAACCTCTGCCCCTTCTTCATTCCCTCCCCACGCTTCCTGAGTGGCATCCCAAGCTCTCCAGGTAGTTTAAGCATTGCTGTGGAAGGTGAGGGAGAGGTGTTAAGTAATTCTGGGGCAACCTTAACTAGAGAAAGAGTTTTAAAAATCAGAGTGAATGAATCCTTGTCCTGAATTCCCAGAGCCTCATGAAGGAGGCAGTGTGGAGGTATGGGCCGGAAGCTATTATCACCTCCATTTTAAAGAGATGCATTTAAGTAACTTGCCCCTAAGATACTCACTAATAAATTGTAGAATCGTTGTTAAAATTCAGGCAGTTTGAATTCAGAGCCCACTCTCCCTTTTTTTTGTTTATTTGCAGATTTTATTTCATGTCTGTGTGTGTATGTGTGTGTTGAAATCTTTCAAATATACAGAAATGTACAGAGACTAATAAAATGAATACACTTCGCCCATCACCCAGCACTCTCCAGTGCTTTGCCATTTAACCACAAATCAGTTTCATTCTCAGTAGTGTCTAATTGTTCCATTTGTCTTTTTTTTTTCTTGGTCTGTCTTGCTAAAGAATTCTTTATCTTTTGTTTTCTGATTTAGTTGCTCTTTTCTATTGTCTCTTTATTTTCTATTTTGTTAATTTCCCTTCTGCTACTTTCTTTGAATTTACTCTTTTGTTCTTTTTCTTACTTCTTGATTTGAGTTCTTCTTTACCAATATAAATATTTACAGCTATACATTTCCTCTCAGAATTGTTTTAGCCATTTCCCACTCATTTTGAAATTCATTCAAATATATAATTTCCGCTAAGATTTCTTCTTTGATTAATTATTTCGAAGAATTTTTAAAATTTCAGACTTATGGGGGATTAGTTATCTTTTAATTATTGATTTCTGATTGAATTGCTTTGCGGTCAGAGACATATATGATATTGGGGGTTTTTCTTGTAGTTAGAGATGTTTATGATATTGGGATTTTAAAAATTAGTTGACATTTGCTACATGATTAATTTTTGCAAATGTTCACATGTACCTGAAAAGTATATGTACTCTTTAAAAATTGTTAAGAGTCAGGATTTTATATAAATGCTTTAGATCAGGGGTTAGCAAATGTGCTATAGTCAAGACTTTCAGCTTTGCAGGCCATACAGTCTCTGTCATGGCTACTCAACCTGCCATTGTAAAGCAAAAGCAGCCATAGACAATAGCCATAGAAAATAAGGAAATAAATGAATGGGGATGTATTTCAATAAAACTTTATTGACAAAAACAGGTGGTGGGCTGGAACTGGCCCACCACCTGTTAGATCAAGCTTTTTACTTGTGTTGATAAAATATTCCATATCCCCCATACATTTTTTGTCTATTTACTCTGTCAGTTGTAGAGAGAGTTATGTTTAAATCCCCCTTTATAAAAACGTATCTGTCCATTTCTACTTCTCATTCTGCCAATTTTTGCTTTATTTATTTTGAAGTTATGTTATTAGGTACAAACAAGGTCAGAATTGTTACGCTTCATGAACCCCTCTTATCTCTATGCAGTGATCTGTTTTATCCCCAGAATGACCATAGGTCCCTGTTTGCCTGAGATAGTCCTAGTTAACACATGCTGTTCTCACAGGTCTTATTAATAGCACCTCTTATATTAATACATGTTGTCCCCATAGACTTTACTAATAGCATCTCTTTTAACTCTGAAAAGAGTCCTCATTTGAACAACTGATTACATGGTCACTTTTAAAAAATATCCTTAATGTTCTCTGTTCTCCAAGGATAATGTAGTTATTTCAGCTTTCTTTTGGTAGTGTATGTCTGAGAAATAGCCATCCATTTAAATCCAAATGTTTTAAATAATTGTTTTATATTTACCTGTCCCTTGAATTTTCTACTGTCTTTTAGGTAACAGTCCTGTGGTCACTAAGACACAACATACAATATCAATTTTAAAGTGTCTAGTCCTAGATATTAATCCATTAAAATGTTAGCTCCACGAAGGAGGATATTTTTATGTATTTTGCTCACGGCTAAATCCCCAGTGTCAACCAATACCTAGCACAGAGTAGGAACTCAAATATTTATTGCATGAATGAACACTTGAATCTTCAATTCAAAGTAAGAAATCCTTTATCTCTACATAGGCAAGTTGCAAGTGGTTCCTACCCTCCCTAGCTAGCACCTGTGACAGGTGGGAACTTGGGGTCAGGGAAGGAAGGTACAGTGTGCTGATTTTCCCCTTTCCCCTCTTGCCCTCAGATTATGAAGCAGGGCTCCAAGCTCCTGAGGGGCTGGAGCCCAGAGAAGGAAAGGAAGCAGAGCCGTAAAGCTCTTAGGTGGCTGCTGACTGATAGGTGACTCCAGCTTCAGAGACTCCCCAGTTGTGGTCTGGCTGCAAATCCCCTGGGGTAGAGGCTGTATTCTATCCCTCCAGCTTTCCCACCTCTCAGCCCCAGAGGTCCTCATCACCGGTCCTCACTCCGTCTTCTCAGGCAGGTCTTAGATATTAGGGCTCCCATCTGACTTGGCATAATCTGCCTCTCATCAATCAAATGTAGGCATGCATCCCTTGTCTTGCTGTAGTGGGAATGGAGGCACTTCTCAAATGCCATCCTCTATTTCATCTTCCATGTGTCAAAGACCACTCGAGCTTTTTGGGCCTATGTCAAGCATCGGAGCAGATATCTCTCAACTGCAGGACACAAAACCAGGCTCTCTGAGTCATTCTGCTGAAGGGCTTCCCCTACTCCACCCCAGCCCCAAACATACTATAAGTTGAACTGAGAGATGAAGCACCATCTCACCTCTCTCCACAATCCAAAAGTCCTCCTCACAAAATCCTCTCTTCAAAATACTCACCCAGATCCCTTTTTACATATTGGAAAGAAGCCCTACTTCCCTTAGTTCCCAGGCACTGTCTGAATCCTTCCCTTAGAACAGGAACTAGAGAGATGGGTAATGGGTATTCATCATTTGTCCAGTCTGGTCCTTTGGCTGCCTGAGCAAGGTGAGAGAATGGGGCTGGGCCTTGGGCAGCCTCTGTCTACATCCTAGTCTTCAGGGTCTCACTTGCTTTAATTGTGTTGATCATGCTGCAACAGGACATTCCCTTGGGTCAGGTATACATCCAGCCTACGTGGAGTGCTGGCATCAGGATGCACAGGCCATTTTGATGTGAAGGTCCTCCTTCATTTATCCATTGCTGCCTAACAAACCACTCCGAAATGCAGTGTCTTAAAATCATCCTTTTATTGCTCCCAATTCTGTGGGTTAGGAATTAATGTAGGGCTCAGTGAGGGCAGCTTGTCTCTGCTCCATGTGTTATGGCTAGGGCAGTGTGACTCAGGTTGGAGGGTCCCAGCGGGGCACTGAGGCTGTTGTCTGTGTGGCCACTCTCTCTCTTCATGTGATCTCTCATCCTCCAGGGCCTCTCTCCCTATGTTGCCTCTCTCCAGTAGGAAAATCTGGGTTTCTTTACATTGAAGTTGGGTTCTGAAAGAACAGTAGTATAAGCCACGAGGTCTCAAAAGGTCTGGGCCTAGACCTGGCACAGTGTCACTTCCTCCAAATCCTATGGACAAAGTGAGTCAAAAGCCAGCCCAGGTTGAAGGGAATCTGCTTCTGGATGGAGGAGCAGCATATGCAGAGATGGATGGGGGAACTGTTGACTGCCATCCAGAAGGACTGCCACTGTCCTTCTTTGATTGATGCTCATATTCCTTGCTAATTGCTTAGAATTTTTTTCCCATCCTTTTCACAGGGATGAAGAAAGAATAAGAGTGGTTAGAGGTTCTTCTGGCCTAGGTCTCAGGATGCAAGTATCTGTCACGGAAGAAGCTTCAAGAAGGCAGTTCTGCATTTTTTCCCAGTCCAGCTATACCATGACAGTCCCCAGATTTGGGGGTTATCAGTGTAGTTTCTCAAGCTTTCCTATATTTGCTTTGCATCACACAAAACTGCTTGGTCTGGGAAGGGGACCTCTCCATCAACTCCAAGCGTCTTCCTACCATTTGATCTGCATTGTTCTGGATCTGGGAAATGGCTGTTGACAGCTGCAGAATGCGGCAGGGACCCATCCTTAGTTTCAGCATTCATGTTCTAGTCCTTGTTCTTTTTACTACCTTTTGATTATATTGTCCAATTCCACCCTTCATGACGCTATGGACTGAATTGTCTGCCCCACAAATTCATATGTTGAAGTCCTAACTCTCAATGTGACTTTATCTAGAGAAAGGCTCTTAAGGAAGTAACTAAGTTTCAGTGAGGCCATAAGGGTGGGGCCCTAATCTGAAAGGGCTATGGCCTTATAAAAAGAAGGAGAGCAAGAAGGAGATCTCTATCTTTTTCCACCATGTGAGTACATAGCAAGAAGGCAACCGTCAGCAAGCCAGGAAGAGAGACCTCATCAGAACCCAACCATGCCAGCGCCTTGGTCTTGGGCTTCTGGCCTGCAGAACTGTGAGAAAATAAATTTCTGTTGTTTAAACCATGCAGTCTGTGGCATGCTGTTATGACAGCCTGAGCAGACTAATATACCCAAAGACTGCATTGTATGCTTAATCTCCTCACAAGAACACCAAGATGCAGATACAAAAGTCCCCAGCTCACAGATGAAAGAAATGAGACCCAGTCTTAGTTAGACTGACTTGCCCCAGGTTGCACAGTGAGTAGCAGATAAGAACCCAGTTCATCCAGCTCCAAAGCCCATGTTCTGTGCCACATGCCAAGAGGCTTTTTGGCCATCTCCTTGTAATTTGCAGTTTGGAAAGAAGGCGGAGTCCCTGACTTCTCCCTGGCTGCTGGCTGTTTGCTCCTGGCTCTGCCCTCTACCTCATTCTACACTCTCCACAGGCATAAGCGATCCCAGAGTGGTGACCTCAAGGGGAGGGGCAGGGTGCAGAGAGGAATTCTGCCTGGGCTGCACATTCCTTCCCAGCCTCTGGGGAGGGCAACAAAGAAACCCAATTAGCACAAAGTGTGTAGGTGGGTGGGGAGACAGCCGCTTTTGTCCTTCCTTCTGGTGTCACTGGGGGTACACACAGCTTCGTTTCTAGGCCTGGATCATTCCAGGAGGGCACTAGGACTCTAGCAGACTCCTGTCAATGACACAAAAGCACTGAAACCAAATATTTTAAAAATCCATTTATTTCTGTCTTGGCACATAAAAGTCTGGTTACTTGCTATTTTAGAGTAGGCAGCAGAGGCAAATAAGCTGGCTTGTGGACTCTGATAACAGAATTAAGCTGTAGTGGAAGCACCATTGTGTAGGACTTTTCAGTGTTTCAAGCACTTTCATACTAATCTAGCTTTATCTTCATGTCAGAAGTCAGGGGAGTGAGTGCTTGCATATCATATTCCCATTTCATAGGTGAGGAAATGAAGACACAGAGAATGTAAGAAACTGGTCCCAGGATACACCAAGAATCCCCCCAGGCCTTCTCATTCTGAATGCTACACTCTTTTCATCCCCAAAGGCTCCGTCACCCTGGAGATGCATATTGTCTTTCCCCCAACTGCTTCAAATAGTCATTTCCACCATTTACTTTCCACAGTTCCTTCTCTTGTTTGATCAAAATTTCAATCTAACATTTTGAAACTTAATACAATCTACCATTTTGCAATTTAATAATAACCTAGTCTAGTCAGAAAGGTAATGCCTCCTTTTCAGTTCAAAACAGGATCACACAGCTAACGTTGTAAGTGGTCCGGACCCCAGCCCTGGCATTTTTCCTTGTGACCCACACAACCTCGCTGTGCACTGACAACCTCAACAACCCAGTTACCACTTAAGAACCCTCAAACATCCAAGCTGTTTGAACAACTGGAAAAGGTATGTTTGTGTCTGATCTATACTGTTTTTCGTGACAAGGTAGTCCCTCCTAGGAACACAAGGAACATTAACTCACATGAACAGGAATCAGAGTTAACATTTATATCACCAGATACCAAGCCCTGTTCCAAGTTAAATATATATATATATATATATATATATATATATATATATATATAGAGAGAGAGAGAGAGAGAGAGAGAGAGAGAGAGAAAGAGAGAGAGAGAGAGAGAGAGTTTATATATAGAGAGAGAGACAGAGACAGAGAGAGAAAGAGAGACAGAGAGATGGAGTTTTGCTCTTGTTGCACAGGCTGGAGGGCAATGGCACTTCTCAGCTCACTGCAAACTCCACCTCCCAGGTTCAAGTGATTCTCCTGCCTTGGCCTCCCGAGTAGATGGGATTACAGGTGTTACCCATGTCTGTATAAGAGACCACCTGACCAGGCTTAGTGTGAGCAACAAGGCTGTTTATTCACCTGGGTGCAGGCGGGCTGAGTCTGAGAAAGGAGTCAGCGAAGAGTGGTGGGATTATCATTGGTTCTTATAGGTTTGGGATAGGCGTTGGAGTTACGAGCAATTTTTGCGGGTAGGGGGATGGAAGTTACAAAGTACATTCTCAAGGCGGGAGGATGTTACAAAGTACATTCACGAGGGCGGGGAGGGCATATTGTCACAAGGGCAGGGAAGAATGTTACAAAGTACATTCACAAGGACCAGGAATATCACAAAATACATTATCACAAGGGCGGGGGAATGTCACCATGGCTTGACCATGGTAGGGCCAGCTTAGAGGACCTTACAACAGGTGCTCGCCACCACGCCCAGCTAATATTTTCTATTTTCAGTAGAGATGGGGTTTCTACTGTTGGCCAGGCTGGTCTCGAACCCCTGATCTCAGGTGATCCACCTGACTTGGCCTCCCAAAGTGTTAGGATTACAGGCGTGAGCCACTGCACCTGGCCAAAGTGAGATATATATATATATATTCATTTAATTCTCACTATATATATTTTTTGAAACAGGGTCTCACTCTGTCACCCAGGTTGGAGTGCGGTAGTGTGATCACAGCTCACTGTAGCCTTGACCACCCCAGACTCAGGTGATCCTTCCACCTCAACCTCCCAAGTACCTGGGACTACAGGCGTGTGCCACCATGCCTGGCTAAGTTTTGTATTTTTTTGTAGAGACGGGGTCTCTCCATGTTGCCCAAGCTGGTCTCGAACTGCTGGGCTCAAGTGATCTGCCCACTTCGGCCTCCCAAAGTGCTAGAATTATAGGGGTGAGCCACTGCGTCTGGGGAGTCTCACTATTTTTGACCTGACCTCCTGGGACCCCTTGGCCCCATGAGCAACTCCACATCCCTGTAGCCCCAAGAGAGTAATGAGTAATGAGCCATGATGTGAAGATGTTGCCCAAAACTGTGCAGTGCATGACCTGTGCAACTGGACATGGCTGCCCTGCTGGAATTGTCACTGTTACTCCCTTGCTCTGACATAGGACTATTTGCAGTCTCCTCTCTCATAAGTGGGGCCACCCTGCTTCTTTTCCAGAACCTGTGAGCCATTAGCATGTCTATTGCTCATTAACCGATATTTTGTAAAAGGCTTATTTCTCTTGTATATAGGTCACTGTCACAGAGGTAAGGGGCTGAGAACTGCCTGTCACTGGGAGAGGCTGAGTGAGGAATTTAGGGTCTCCAGGAAATGGGGGATCCTAAACAGCATGCTTGATTTTGCATTAGTAGCAGTACTCACTCAGCGCTTCAAGTGTGCTTGCATGGGTGTGAGATGCCCTGGGTGTTTTGTTTGTTTGTTTGTTTTTGAGATGGAGTTTTTGCTCTTATTGCCCAGGCTGGAGTGCAATGGCACAATCTCAGCTCACTGCAACCTCTGCCTCCCAGGTTCAAGTGATTCTCCTCCCTCAGCCTCCCGATGTGAACTGGACAGTCTGACTTCCAGTGGGGGCCCTCACAGACAGGGCACGGCTTAGGAGGAATCCCAGGCTGTGAGCATTCCAAGGCCCAGTGGCCAGGCTTTTGGCATTTGAAGCAAGGAGGAGGTTTTGAAGGAGCCCCTGGGAACTGTGGCTTGGATGTTCTGAAGGTTTTGTATGCTGGAGACGTGGTTGTGAGTTGTCTTACAGTTCATTCATTCTATAATGAACCTGTATTGCTTTAATAAAATCAGGGAGAAATGTTACTGACTTCAAAACCTGCTTGGGCAATGTGGACTGGACTAATAGTGACTGAGCCCTGCCATGCACTTGGTACCCAGCTGGCCACCTTAACTCACTCATTCTTCAAAGGAGGACTTATTACTGCTGTTTTACAGATGAAGAAACTGAAGCTCAAAGAGGCATGGCCTCTTCCCCAGGTCCCATGGAGCCCACATTCATCTGCTTAACTCTAAAGTCCCAGCTCTCTTCTCTACCTGGAGCTCTTTGCTGCCTCTATGGTAGCTGAACAGGAGAAACACCCAGGAAGATGGTCACCACGCTGCCCCAGAGCCCAGGGGACCAGGGGGCTGCTGACGGCCATAATCAGGGTATTCTTCCTGAAACAGGTAAGCGACATGAACCTGGCCCAATGGAGAGGCACTTTCTTGTTCCACCACAAATCTCCATTAAAATCGCCTTTTCCATAGTCACCAACAGTACCTTATTGATATCCTTCTGGCATCACCTAAAACCTAAAAACAGCCTGACAGTTTTTGTGAATCAGTTTCCATTCCTCATCCTCTTGGCTGGCTTGGTGACACCTCTTCCCTGCTGCTGTTTGCCAACTTTACCAATTTACCATCACCTGCAAGTGAATGACCCTCTTATGCCTAGTTCTAGATTAGTTGGATTTTACATTGTTTCAAGGTATCATAGAGGTTCCAGGGAAGATGCCTGAGGCACTGCTGGGGAGGGGGTGGGCTGGGGACAGTGAGGAATGGGTTGAGTCAATCCCACTTTCCCCTCCCCCATCCTAACCAAAGCAGCTGTTTCCATCTTTGGGTGAATACTGCCCTTTATTTGAGAAGGGATCCAAGTCTATAGGCTGATAGGGGGGCCACAGATGTAGATCATTAATAAATATATTAAATGCTCCAGTAATTAAATTATTCCAGTAGAACCACATCATAGTGAAGAACATGAAGAAGATTTTTTTTCAAGGCTGCACTTACAAATCATTGATCCAAATTCACTGGGCAATTTCATCAGGACCTCCCTTTTCCACAGGCTTCTTGGGAAAAGGATATGGGCAGGGCTTGGGGGGCATGGGGTAAAGTAGGGAGAGAGAGTCAATAGAGGAGGACCCCAGAGGGACAGGAGGCAGGGAAGGGAGGGAAGAGGGAGAGGAGAGGCAGAGAAGTCAGAGTCCTTGTCACTCCTAGGACAGCTCTCTGGCTTCTTCACACACTGACATCAAAGAACACCTTTGAAAAGTGACCATTATTTTATTTATAATTTCCCAACCAGTGAAGAACAAGCTTCTGCCAGCAGGAGTTCCTGGGATGATGCCGGGCTTCCCCTGCAACCCCAGTATGGAAGCAGTCACTCTGGACCCTAGTAAAGGAGCTGGTGTAGTTAAGAGTTTAGAGGGTCCTTGCAAGGTCACAGCCCTGGGTGGCCACCCAGTGTCCCTGCTGGACAGCAGGACTCCCCGCTGCCCCTCACAGCTGCATCATCATGTCTGCAATTCGCAGATGTTCACAATGATCTTTGGAAGAAACTGCCTTCCTCAGAGCCAAGTTCTAACCACACCAGGGATTTACTCTCCTTATTTAGAACTCCTAACTCACTTTTTTGGGAACCGTCCAAATGGCATTAGCTACTTCAGTTGATAAACTTTGCCTTTTGACTGTTTCCAAAATATGACCCCCTCCTTTAAAAGATGAATGGCCTTCCCTGGGGATTTCTTAGACAAGAGGTTCTGAAGGCATTTCTAAGAGATACTTTAAGCCAGTGGTTCTCCACTTTGGCTGACTGAATCACTGGGACCAGAAATTTATGTATTTGGTGCTGCACTCAGATGGTATTAGGTACTTCCCTGCACATTAGGAAAATCTGTAAGAGCTTCATTGTATAGATGAAGAAATGGAGGCTGATAGTGAACAGGTGCCTTGCCCGAGACCTTAGGGTGAGAAGTGCCAACTCAGGCTCCTCAAATATCATTTGTCCAGCCCCCTGCACCCTGGCCAGTCTCCTAATTCTCCATCCAGAATCCCTTTCATTGTGCCAGGGCTTGCACGTAGTGCAGCTCTTTAAAGTCTAGTTCATGGCATGTTTTATCTGGCATACACAATATTTTATAAAAGCCCAAGTGAGTCAGCTAAAAATCAGAATTTACAGTAAAAATCTGTAATTCTGGCCAACATTGCCCAACCCTCCTGCAAGGCAGAGTTCACCTGAGCTGGCTCAGGGGTGGCCTCCCTTGATGGTCCAGGCTCTCCAGGAGCCACCCCTCTCCCACCCCACCCCTATGACCCACTGGCTTGGCCTGCCTGGCCAGGCCAGGCACTCACATCAGTGACCCGGCACTATATCATGAATGGAGTGGAAGCGTCACAGGGGTATTATTCCATGGAAACAATACCCACTTCGATATGGCATGCTTACTAAAAAAGTCTTTGCTTTTATCTAAAGACACTGCAATCAGACCTGACACACATTTATAGAAGTCCAGATGATGATGACACACCAAAAATATCACATTGATGTAGTGTTTTATCACTTTCCAATTACTTTCATGTATATCAATTTATTTGAGTTAGAAAATCCAGAGAATTCATCCTGACCTTCCCTCTCTGTCTCCACCCTACCTCTGTTGCTTATCCCAGGCCCTGAAAATGGCCCAGATATAAATCCAGACCAGCGGCCATTAGACAGACAAACAGAAACCTCTGTGCATGGAAGTCATTGTTCTATTGCTTCTCAGAAATGCAGAATTAAGGGGCGGGGGGAATGTAACCCCAACATATAATAAATACAATTATAAATAAATAAATTAAATAATAATAAATATAACAAAACAGCAGATGTAAATGACAGAAGCAAGCACATACAAACCTAGCACATACAAACTGATAAAAACTATGAAATATATTCATATACATTGAACAAAGGTCAAAAGTAAATTTGAAGAGTCCATATAATTTTAGACTTGTTAGCCTTTTTTAAAAAAAAATGTTGCCTTCATGTTCCCAGTTAAAAAAAAAAAGCTCAAGAATTCTTAACTTTCTCTTATAATTTCCTCACCTGTAAAGCGGAAAGATCTGTATGTAATTTTCAGAACAGTATAAGCATTCAATAAGTATTAGTTACTTTTATTATCATTTGCATGTACAAGGCAATCTTTCCAATTTCCCTCCTTCATTTTCCCAGAAAAAGCTAATCAAATGGGTTTATCAGCTTCCATGATCTCTGTGCATTGAATGAAGGTGAACATATTCAGGTGTGATGCACTTCATGTCAAGGTCTCATTGACCCCGTAGATTTGAATGCTGAAGTGACCATCATATCCATCACAGAAGAAGTATTTTTGTACAATTCATCAGCTGGAAGAGCTACATGGAAATACATGTCTAACTATCTCTCTGTCTACTTGTGTCTCCACAAAGTCCTGCAAGCTCCAAGATGGGAAATTTGCCTAATTCATTTCTGCCCCTTCAGTGCCCATCCCATAAGTTGGAAGTCAGTAAATGTCAACAAGTATGTGACCAATAAATGAATATTCAAACAAGGCAAAAATAAGACAGGAGAAAGGTGTTTTTATGTCCTTCAGTGGGAGAAACCTGCAAGCAATACATCTTTGGTGCCCTGATGACAGGCTATGGTGGATGCTGCGGTACTGCCCAGGTCCCCTCCAGCATGGAGCCACTCATTCTTCTGGCTGCTGGGAATGTTGTCTGCTGACAGCTCACACTTGAGTCTCTCCCAGGAATTCTGAAGGGAGCTGTGTTACCAAGGCCATACACCTTTCCCAAAAGCAGTCTTTATCCACTGACTGATCACTCGCACAGGGACAAAGACCTGGCTCCTTTGCCGCAATGTGGGACAACTCTAAAGAGCCATTTCAGCTCCAGAACTCTGTAGCATGGACTCAGGCCCTTGTTGGAATTGCATCACAGTTCAACTTTTCCCTCTCCCCCACCCTGTGTCCCTCCCACCCCAGTGAACTTCCTACACATAGATCCATCATCTCTGAGTCTGTTTCTGAGGAAGCCAACCTGTGACAGTGGGTACCAGGAGTAAGAGCTGGGAGGTGGGAGTATGTTGGCTCTTGCTGGAAGCTTCTTATCCCTACGCGTTCGTGACTCACTTTATTCATGGCTTGTCTCAAATGTACTATCTCAGAGATGACTTCTCTGGCAGTGTTGTCCAACTATTCCCAAATCATTGCTAGCATATTTCCCCATTTTGTCTCCTCCTATGCAGTCATCCACATCTGAAGTCATCTTGTTCTTTTTTTCTTATTGTTTTTTCTCACTCTCACATGAGGATGTGAACTGCAGAGGACAAATACCTTGCTATACTGCTCACTACTATCTCCAGCTTCTAAACAGCACCCAGCACCATGTAAGCTCCTAAGAAATATTTATTGAATGAATGAATGAGAATCTGCACACACATTCATAGTGGGAAGAACTGGGCTGAGAGTGGGAAACCCTCATTTCCAGCTCTGTTTCTGCCATTAACCATCTGGGTGACCTCAGGCAAGCCACCTGACTTCTCTGAGCCTCAGTTTTCTCATCTGCGGAATGAGATGGTAGAATGTGATGATCACTAGAAATTGTGACAGCTCCAGCATCCTATAATTTTACATGGTTATTCAGCTTGGAATTGTTCTGTCTATAAACTACATTCTATGGGAATCATACAGTTTTTTATGCTGAAACGGAGCTTCCCAGAGCATTTCACAATATCCAATGAGTATCGGCTTTCAGATGCCAATTTCATTATTATACCAATGCTAGAAAAACTTTCATGTGAGACGCTGCAGTTAAGGATATGTTCAACATGGGGTTCATCAAAGCTTTAGAGCACTGTGAAATAACCATTCTCCTATTTGCATAAATATCATGAGAACTAAGTCTCTTTCTCAAGTCCCACGAGGTAATGAAAAAGTGAACACTGGTTGAGGCTGCCTGTGCACCAGGCATGAGTCTGTGCTCATGGGAGGCAGTGAACACCTCACCTGGCCTGGAGCAAGCATTCAAGGAATGCTGGCTCTTAACATCTGTCTCATTTAATCCAAACAACAGTCAGTTTGAGGTGGGACTCTTAACCCCACCTTGGAGTTAAGGACACAGAAGCACTGAGATTTACCTAATCTACCCAAAGTCATCGAACTAATAAGTAAGTGATGGAGCCAGGGTTGGAATCTGGACAGTCAGGGTCTAGAGCGTTGCCATTTATCCACTACACTAGAGCTGTCTCAATTTTCTTAAAATTCAGATTCTGAATCAGAATGTTTGGGGTCAGCCTCGAGATCTGCATTTCTAACTATTTCTAGGTGATGTTGATGCTTCTAGCCTATGGCTCAGGCTTTCAGTTGTAAAAGTACAGAAGAAGGAACTCCTGCTAAAAGTCAGAAACTAGCCTCTGGTCCAGCCCTGGCAAATGCTGGCAATGAGACCATGGCTAAGTGACCTCTCCTCACAGGCTCACTCATGCCTGTGATCCCAGCCCTTTGGGAGGCCAAGGTGGGAGGATCACATAAGCCCAGGAGTTCAAGACCAGCCTGGGCAATGTGGCAAGACCCTGTCTCTACAAAAATTTTTTAAAAAATTAGCCAGGCATGGTGGTGTGCCCCTATAGTCCCAGCTACTCGGGAGGCTGAGGTGGGAGGATCACTTGAGCCTAGAACACAGAGGCTGCAGTGAGCCAAGATCATGCCACTGCACTCCAGCCTGGATGACACAGTGAGACCCAGTCTCAAAAAAACAAAAATTACTGGGTGTGTGTGAAAGCACTTTATAAACCAGAAAACTCAAAAGCAAGGGGACAGAAATTTGCTTATCCACTCGTCTTTTTCCCTCTAGGATGTGAGTCTTTGAGCCAGCACAAAGCAGTGGTGCCTGGCACATAGTAGATATTTAGTAAGTGTTCAAAGTGCCAAGTACTTTAAATGTTATGTAATTTAATCTTCACAACAATCTCTGATTCACATTTTACAGATAAGGAAACTGAGACTGCCTAATACACCCTCAAACTACTAAAGCAGTAAATGCTGAAGCCCAGATTTTAAATGAGATCTGTCTGGTTCCAAAACCAATGCTGATTTTACCCTCCACTCCCATTATTCCTCCCACATAGGGGTCTGGCTGAGGTCTAGGAATGGATCCAGATTTTGCTTCTGCACCTGTCACATGGGCACTGGGAGTCCAACTCCTTCTTAGAACAAATGAGGGCTCTGGTCTAGGGACAGATCCTACAAATGCAAGTAGAAGCTCTTCATTTTAGGGGTGGGAGAAGGCACGGAAATAATTCAGCTAAAATAAACCCTTCAAGTATTCTGCAATGAGAAGCAAAGTCAAGGTCTTCCTATTATCAGGGCCCCCAAAGCCAATCCAGAATGTACAGGTTCAACAAGTTCAAAGGAGCAAATGCCTGGAACAGTGGCTCTAAAAGTGGGGTCCACCAGGGTCTCTGGATGGCCCTGCTGACCAAAGTATTTTGTTCTTGACATTAATTTATAGCTCCAGCATTGGTAGGAAACTTAGGGGTCATGGAGTGCAGCTTCCCACACAATGCAAAGCCACATGAGGGGGCTGGTTTTTGAGGTCTTGAGTCCACTGACCAACTCAATTTGAGGCTCAATGGCTTAGAGAAGGAAAAAAACTAAAGTAAGAGGTTGATACTGTTCCTATCCTAGAGGCAAGGAAACAATGCTCAGAAAGGCTAAGGAATTTAGTCCAAAGCACAAAGGCACGAATGGTAGAGATAAGGCCTGAACCTAGGGACAACTGACTCCAAAGTCTATGCCCTCTCCTCTGCCCCTCCAGGATTGTAATTACCATTATAAAAGCAGCAGAATCTGAGGGCTCAAGGAGGAGCTGGACATGGCTCCAGAGCCTCTCCTGAACTCTGCTGGCATCAAACATCATGATGGACACAAGAAGCACGCCTGAGCCCACAGTGATAAGGTCCACACACAGTGGCTCCTCCTTTCCCCAAGTCATTCTGTGGGTGGTACCCAGCTCATCTGGATAATAACTAACCACAAGCTGACCATGGTGGAAAATCCAAGATCTGATAAACACACAAAGGAAAATCCTTCAAAGAAGCTACCGAGCCTGCTCAGCGTGGGAGCCTCCAGCTTGTGAAATGGCGAGGGGGTAGTATTGTGACCCAGACTTGACCACCTGGTGTGACCCTAGCAAGGACCTCCCTCCTGCTCCCTGAGGGCTGCTTTCCTACCTGTAAGAGGTGTGACCAGGAATCCCCAGCATGGTCACAGAATAAGAAAGGTCAAGAGGCTGGAAAGGGCCTCCTGAGACCAGTGAGCCCGGCTCCCTCTGGGCCTGGGGCTGGGTCTAGCATAACACACCCTCATTTAATCCTCCTCACAAATGGGTCAGAGAAGTATGAAGTCTTTGGGGACAGGAGGGGTGATGGCCATCTGGGTGTCTCATCAGCTCCATCTCTCTGCAGAGACCACGGACATCTTCATTGACACCCCCATTCCCCCACTGTGAGTAAACCACTCTCTCAGGGGAAGGGGGAATATGTCCATGCCCTCCCCAAGAGGACCTTGGCACTGGTGCTGTTCTGTGGGCTCTGTCTGGCTGCCCCTTACCTTATGAAATACAGGGGTCACAGTTCAGTTTTCTTAACATCTAGTACATTCTCCAGCACACCAAGTGTTCAGTAAGTGTTGGCTATGACTGGATAATCATCCTATAAAGGGTCTGACTCAGGCAGAACACTATAGCTGTAACAGCTCCCCAATTCTTATTGAATAAGACAGCGATGTGGTGGTTCCTCCACAAAGCAGTGATTAGAATTCCAATTGTGAGGTTCATCATTTCATCCAGTATTTATTGAGCACCTACTCAGTGCCAGGCACTATTTGGGGATTCAGTGATGGACAAAACAGATATAAATCCCTGACTTCATAGAGCTTATTTTCTAGTGGAAGAGACAGACAAACAAAGACACAATACAGTATCAGTTAGTAATAAATGCTCTGAAAAAATAATAAAGAAAGATGAGAGAATGAAGTGTTGGGAACACTATTTGAGATGCATGGCATGAAAAGGCCTTCCAAGCAGAGAGAACAGCAAGTGCAATGGCCCTGAGGTGGGAATGTGCTTGGGGACAGGAGAGCAGTGACCAGGAATGATGAGCTGAGAATGAAGCTGGAGCAGCAGGCAGGGGTTTGGGCCACAGTGGTCATGGCAAGGACTCTAGATTTTATTACAAATTCCACGAAGCCATTGCAGGGTTCTGAGCACAGTGGTGAGGCCATCTGGTTTACATGATCTGGGGACCAGAAGGACTAATTCTTAGCATGTAAGCTCCAAGGAAATGTAAGTACATTAAAGAAACCCTAAGTACATGGAGAGTAACTTGTTTGAAAATACTATTGTCTTAGCCTACTAGGACTGTCATCACAAAATACCACAGACTAGGTGGCTTAAACAACAGAAATTTATTTTTTTCACAGCTCTGGAGGCTACAAGTCCAAGATCAAAGTCCCAGCCAATTAGGTTTCTGGTGAGGGCTCTCTTCCTGGCTTGCAGACAGCCACCTCCTCACTGCGTCCCAGCATGGCCTTTCCTCCGTAAGGGCATGCAAAGGAGAAAGTGAGCTCTCTGGTGTCTCTTCACATAAGGACATCAATCCTATTAGTGACTCTTATAACCTTATTTAACTCAATATCCAAAAGGTGCTATTTCCAAGTACACTCACACTGGGAGTTAGGGCTTCAACATATTTTAAAGTAACACGATTCAGTCCATAGCGTCTAGATTCCTATCAAATTAGATTTTACAAAATCTGCTCTTCCATGGTTAACTTCAGACAAACTGATGGACAAAACCAATGGTGAAGTCAGAGTTAGTCAACGCAGAGGAAATGGATGTAGATCACGCTAATATTCCTTAGGGCAGTAGCTCTCCGCCCTGGGATGATTCTGATTCAGAAGTGCTGTGGTAGGGCCCAGGGAAAGTGCATTTTAACAAGCCACTTTGACAGACTGATGAACAGTGGACAAATGCAGTGCTCCCTGGGCCCCTCTAAGAAGCAGTACCAAAGATAAAAGTTAATTTCAAGTCACTATAGATAGAGTATTATGCAAATAAAAGATTATTTTTTATGTTCCTCACACTTTCACCAAAAGAAACAGATACCCCTAACCTGCCATATGAGCTCCTTCTTATCCACCTGATATTTGTCTTTCTAGATTATGTGATTTTTGTGAACAGGACAGTCCATGAACCCTGTGGCTGCTATGTCTTCAGAGATTACAGGCAGCTCTCAGCACCTGAGCTTTCGTGCATGTTTTGAGTCCCATGATCCTCTGGCCATGACTAGGCCAAGAATATGTGCACATGCCAAAGACAATGACCTTCAGGAGAGACGTCAAGGACTCCAGCTGCCTCAGTCGGGGCCTGGCTGAGCCCTCTGCCCCGCAGACTTGCCCTCTGGTGAACCAGCCAATCCAAGCAGACTGTCCCTGCTGAGCAGCTGGGAGTGTGAGACCCAGAGAGAGAAGAACAAGGGAGGCATGGCTGCAGGAGAAGGACAGGCAGAGAGCACAGCTGGGTCAGGTTCAGCCTGGGTTAGTGGCTGGCATGGGAAGATGCCTGGTCTCCAGAGCTGCTGAGGGTGACAAGGGACATGCTGCAGTTCTCCTTGGGCGTCACAGGGCAACTTCCAGGATGTTTCAGAACGTCCTCATCTCCTTGATCTCCTTACGAGTAATCCCATCAACAAGACAATCTGAGCATGTTCTCAGTTCCCACAGCAAGAGCTAAGAAGCAGATCAATGAAACTGGTCATGTGGATTCCCACACTACTCCAAACTTACTGGGTCTCAGCTCAATTCTCATTTATTTCTCATGTTTTCCCCTTGAAGGAAATTCACAAGAATGCAACCAGTCCTTTGGAGTTAGTTGTGGTAGGATGCGACTGGCAAACCTAAGAGGCATCCTGGCTTTTCTCATTTCACCCACCCATGTCTAAACCCCTAGTGAGTCTGCAGTGGCTCTACTTCCAAAGCATCCCTATAACCCAACAACTCTCTCCATCCCATTGCCAAAACTCAAATCATACAACTATCTTCTTGCATGAACTATTGAAGTGGCACATCATGGTCTTTTTTCCACTGTTGCTGCTCTAAAATCCATCCCCTACACAGCAGATCATGTCCCTACTTAGAACCTTCTAGGAGCTTCCCAATACCAATCCTTACCAAAGCCTACAAGAGCCTATAGGATTGGGCCTTGCCCTTCTCTTCAGCTTCATCTCCCTCCACCCTTTCAATAATTCCCGCCCAATGGCCTTCATTTTGTTCCTCCAACACAACAAGCTTATTCCTGTCTCAGGAAATTTGCACCTGCTCTTCCTACTGCTAGGAATACTCTTCCCGACACATCTGCACAGCTGCTTCCATCTCATTTGGGGTTTCCCTCAAGGGTTACCTCCTCAGTGAAGCCTTCCCTGAATACTCCAGCAAAGGCAGCCCCTCAGTCACCCTGTCCTACTTTTTGCTCTTTTTATTATTTTTATTTTTATTATTTTTTTGAGACAGAGTTTCACTCTTGTTGCCCAGGCTTGAGTGCAATGGTGCAATCTCAGCTCACTGCAACCTCCGCCTCCTAGGTTCAAGCGATTCTCCTGCCTCAGCCTCCCGAGTAGCTGGGATTACAGGCATGCACCACCACACCCCGCTAATTTTATATTTATAGTAAAGAAGAGGTTTCTTCATGTTGGTCAGGCTGGTCTCCAACTCCCGACCTCAGGTGATCTGCTTGCCTTGGCCTCCCAAAGTGCTGGGATTATAAGCAAGAGCCACCACGCCCGGCCTGCTCTTTTGTCTTCTTCATAACCCCTGTTAGCACCGGACATTGCCCTGTTCACTTACCTGTTCCTTGTTTAATTCTATCTCCTATTCTAAAATACAAGACTTACAGGCAAGCACACTGGCTTTCTTCCCCCTGAATCCCTAGCCCTGGAACAGTGCCTGGTACCCAGTAGGTACTTGATGAGTGTCACCTGCCTGCCTGGCCAGTATTTATTCCACATGGCACCACCTCTGGGGATTCTGGCCATCTCTGTCTCTCCCATTGCCTTCTATCTTAGCAACAATCTCAGGAAGGTGGTTCCTCTCAGCCCTGCAGGGGCCCAGGCTAAGCCTCAGTGCATTGCATATGGACATCTGAATACACCTTTGCTTTGGAATACCATGTTCCAGCTCTCCTTTCAGTCCATGAAAGGAACAGGAATTCTGCCCCTTTGACACAGATGGCCCGGTGAATTCCTTGTATTCTTTTTGTTTTTCAGGACTTATATATATATTTTAATTGAACTTGTTGAGATAATTGTAGATTCACACAGAGTTGTAAAAAATAATACAAAGAGATCTCAGGTACTTTTCCCTCATTTTCCCCCAACGGTAACATCTTGCAACACTATATTATATCACAATATCAGAATCCACATAATGTCATCGACAGAGGCAAGATTCAGAGCATTTCCATCGCACAAGGATCCCTCATACTGTGCTTTTATAACCACTCCCATCCCTCTAGGCTCCACCAGGACAACCAAAAAGCTGTCTGTTCCCCCTTCCTATAACTGTGTCATTTCTTCACTCCTTGCCTTCTTTCCACACTTTCAGACCACATGGCATTGCTGTCAGGATGCTTGGCTGCCTCATATCCGCTTGTGGTCGGCCTCGGATCTGGCCTCCCCTTCCCTCCTGAGCCACATTGTCTCGTCCTTACCCATAAATGGCACCCTGATTTTTTAGGACCTGCTTTCTAATTCATCAAGAACATTTCAGATTTATCACCATCCTCCTAGGGAGGCAGCATCTCCCTGTGCAAAGAACACAGGCTTTGAATCCTACTCTCTACCTCTCCGAGCCTCAGTTTTCTCATCTATAGAATGGAGTCAATAATACCAGTATCAGGGATCCATGGAGAATAAATGACACAGTGAGAGGAAGGACTCTGCCCAGTGTCTGGCACATAGCAGGCACATGCTAGGAAGGGTAATATGCACAATTTAGGATTACCTACGAATCTCAGTCAGTCTGCGAAACAACAATAGCAACTAATCAAAACACCATTTCCTGATGGGATTAAAATCAGAAAGAGCATCTGATCAGAGAGCAGATATCCCACAGTGTTAATAGCTGACAACTGGACCAAATTATCTTCTTTCAAGAAGGGTGTCAAGGATGTCAGGGGGTTGGGGGTCCAGGAATAGATCCTCAAAATCTTCCAATTGACAATATTCATCAATTTGCTGTGTGACCTTGTCAAGTTTCTCTACCTCTCTGAACCTCCAGTTCTTGGTCTGCCACAGGGATGCCAGCCTTGACCTGTGATTTCCTCACCCTATGCTACAGGGTCCACAGAGGAGGGAAGGTGGAGCCCTGAGAAGGTCTCTGGCCTCCTTCTCCTCCCACCTCCCCATCCAAAGCAGCACCCACCTCTGTTACTGGCTCTACATATCAAGAGTACAGGTGATCTTTCCTTTGAAGAAGAGCCTCTGGTGGTTTCAGAACTTGCAAGACCATTGTCCCGATGATTGCTGGGGTTCCTTCTGGTTCTAAAGACCTGCAGTCCTAAGTTCTCAGCTCACTCTCACGTACTGAAAACAGACAGGACTCTGCAGCAGCAACTGGTCTCAGCTCAAGCATCACTTCCTCCAGGAAGCATTCTTTGACCCAGGAGATGAAGGTAGGGCCACCTGTGGGCACCCCCAAGGCACCTCCTTTCTAAGTTGCCCATAGGAGGATTCCAGGGATGGAACTAACAAATCGCAGGGCCCAGGGCGTGAGTACTCTGGAGTGGGGCATGGGATGCTCTGTGTGTGTGACTACACATGAGTGAGGTAACCACTCACAGCCCAGATTAATGGCCACGCCTGGGGTCCAGAGGACCCCAAGTGAAATGCAGCCTGGCTGGCTGTATGTCACAGAGGATTTTTCCTAATCAAGGAGGGAAACAGAGTAACGGTCTACCTTGCTTAGCCTTGTAAGCCCCCGGTGACCACCCTGGATGCAAATGACCTTGCCCAAACTATTAAACATTCAAACCCTCCTTCTCTTATTTTATTCTCAGGAGGGTTTAGAGCCTCACTGTCTGCCATGGTTGCCACTAGTCCTGTGTGACTATTTAAATGAGATACAATTTAAAACCCAGGTCCTTAGCCACACTGGGCATATTTCAAGTGGCATAGTGACAGAACTGTATCCCATCATCTCAGGAAGATCGACTGCACAGTGCTGCCTAAACTGTTTGGGAATCCTGAGCCTGGCTCTCGTCGCGCCTCCTTTTATGAATCAGTTTGCCACCGTCCCCGCCTCTTTGTCACTTGTTCCTGAAAAACCCGGACTGGGTTGAATAGTGTCCCCCCAACGTTCACATCCACCCAGAGCCTCAAAATGTGACCTTATTTGGAAATAGAGTCTTTGCAGATATCATTAGTTAAGATGAAGTCATATTGGAATAGAGTAGACCCCAAATCCAACATGACTGTGTCTTATAAGGAGAGGAGAGACACATGCATGGATTCACAGAGGGAGAAGGCCATGTGATGACAACAGAGGCCGAGACCTGATGACATCTCTACAAGCCAAGGTCACTAAGGATTGCCAGCAACCACCAGAAATTAGAAGAGGCACAGAAGGATCCTTCCCTAGAGACTTTGGAGGAAGCATGGCCCTGCTGACACCTTGATTTCAGACTTCTGGCCTCCAGAACCATGAAAGAATAAATTTCTGGTGTTTTAAGCCATCAGTTTGTGCTAATTTATTATGGCAGCCACGAGAAATTAATACAGGACCCCATCACGAGACCCTACATTCTCATCCAACTCTCTCCCTCAAAGACAGCCAGGACCTTCAAATCCCTTGGATATTAACCCCTGGCCAGTGACACCCACGGAGCCCATCAGATCCTGGCCGTGCCAGCCAGCCAGTCACTGGACGACATAACCAGAGGAAGCTTGGCACTGGAAGGAGGCCAGGCATGCTGGGCTGGTGAGGCTGCCTAGGAAGGAGCCAGGAGACTCAAGTAGAGCACTCAAATTCCATAACTTTCTCTCCTTTTAATTTTAAAACAATATCAGAAGGGTTCCCAGAAAGCAACAAGCCCCAGGCCATCCAGTCAGTGGTTAAACAGTGGAGCCTGATCACTTACTTTATTAACTTGCTAAATCAAAGGGCTGTTAAAGTCTCTGTCCGGTAATAAAATGCAGGAAGGAGCTGAATCACCCACCTATTAGTGGCAGTATTGGTGCAGTTAATGACTGTAGCCTGGAGGGCCGTGCAGACAACAACAAAGCCAGCCCTGCGTTTCCACCTACAAACCCCACCACTTCCTCTGCCCATCCCAGTGCCCCCAGCACACCTGCCCACACACACCTGTCTTCAAGAAGGCTGCATCAGAATCTGTGGTGGCTTGATTTTTAAACACACCCAGAATTTCTCCTGTCAAATACACTTCCATCCAACTCTTCCAGGATCCCACCTCCATGACCCCAAACAAAAACAAAGAAACCAAACATCCAGAAACGCGGTGTTTATTAAATCAATTCTTTAAACAGGCAGCCAACACCAAGTTTTGACAATGCATTACAAACAGTGCAAAGCCTCCGGAGCCGAATGCTCTGTGAATATCAGTGCAGCACTGATAAGCTGGACCCTGAACCAGTATCACCCTCTGACCACACAGAGCCAGGAACAGCCCTATTTATTTTCTTCATTCCACCTTCTCCTGCCACTTTAAAATGGGGGAGAGGGGAACGGCCTGTGTGCTGTTCTTCCAGAAGCTGGTGGAAAGACATGCCCAAAACCGCTGACTTCGTCCATGTAGCTTATCAGCAGGGCCATTTTGAACAAGTTATCTAAGCTCAGGGCCTCAATGTCCTCACGCGTAAGTGATGGCTCCAGAGGGAGTGTTCTTCTAAGACCTGGTGAGGTAAGTGTGCTTATGAGTTTGGTACATCATAAGTACTGCATTAATATTCGTTGTTGGCTGGGTGGGGTGGCTCACTCCTATAATCCCAGCACTTTGGGAAGCCGAGGCAGGTGGATCACTTGAGGTCAGGAGTTCAAGACCAGTCTGGCCAACATGGTGAAATCCCCCCATCTCTACTAAAAATACAAAACTTAGCCAGGCGTGGTGGTGTGCACCTGTAGTCCTAGCTACTCAGGAGGCTGAGGCAGGAGAATTGCTTGAACCCAAGAGGTGGAGGTTGCAGTGAGTCGAGATCACAGCACTGCACTCAGCCCGGGCAACAGAGAGAGACTCCATCTCAAAAAAAAAATTCACTGTTAATGATTATGATGAATAATGCACCTAGTATATAGTAAGCACTCAATAATAACAGCAATAAAGTGCTGTTATTATTTCTAAAGTAACATCTAACAAAACCAGGCTCCAAGTGCCATAAAAACTCATTATTAAATCTTTATAACAGATGCAACTCTAAAACTATCCAAATTAAACCCTTCAGAATATTCCCAGGACACCCAGAAAAGATTGAGCCTGAATCCCCCATTGGCACTAAAAACAGGACCCACAAAGGAGCCTCGAAGTCATGTGGAGCCAGGTTTGGCAACTCACTCCCCACTGTCCCATTACTGGCCCCTCATAAAGGCTTCCTGATTTATCACTGCAGTAGGACTGAACTCTTCCACCAGGAGGTTTGCTCCATTATGCTCCATTACTCTGGCCTCATTTGAAAGCAGCCTCTGGGGCTTTATCCATGCCAATCAGGAGGTCTTGGTGGAAAGAGCTCCACGTGCCCCTGAGATAACAGAATGCTAGCTTCCCACAGCTCAGACCCACTGAGAATCCTGAAGAAGGAGCCCAGCATGAGTTCATTCTCCTTCCCAAGAGAAAAGAGAGCAGAAAGAAAGAAAAGGAAGCAGCATTCTTTCTCATCCCTCGAGATGGTGAAGCTCCTTTTCATTTGCTTCTGAGATCTGCAAATCAGGTGGCAATTTTAGCTCTTTTTGCCCCCCGCTTCTTGCTAGAGTATCAGAAAGGCACTAAGGCCAGCAGCCTCTTTCTTCATCAGCAATTAGATCTATGGCTAGGATCTGTCTACCTGGCACTGACCTGGGGTAACCTCAGTTCCAATCTCTGCAGCTTTCCAGAAATGAGGCTTCAGTGTGGAGAAAGATTTTTGTTTCAAATAAAGGCTTTTCTTACGCTCAAAAGCAATGTACCCTGGAAATTGTTGCTGGGAGGACAGGAATGCAGGATGCAGGCCCTCAGCTGTGAAGTCCTCCCCTCCGTTCCCCGTTACCAAGCACCTCTACTTCCTCCCTAAGACCTGAGGAAACGCTAAAAGCAGGCACAAGCAGTACACAGCAAATCCCCACATTTCACGGCATATGCGCCTTCCCAGATGACTGCATGGATACACTCCATAACACATTGTTAAAGTGATAATTAGCGATAGACTTGTTATGAATATTCCAAATACAGTTTCTCTCTACAACAGTTGATGGAGACAAAGGACATCACACGAAATGTAAGAAGTAACAGAGGGATTTTTGTGCATATATTTTTAAAAGGTCCTGGGAAAATAGCATAAATCAGAAGTTGATTTCAACAAATTAAACATTTCAGGACCCATTTCCAATGAAAGATGCATGGGCATCAGTATTTCCTCCGCAATGCTTAGGGAACACGCCATCCTCCCACAAACTCCAGTAAAGAATGTGAAACCCAATTCCAGAAGCCACTCTTCTGTTGCCCTGTTTCACAGCAGCTAGGAGTGCTAAAGACGGGTAGTTTAAGAAAAAAAAAAAACAGAGGAAATGCTGAGGAATAAGGAAGAAAGTAACTACAGCCAACGTGACTCACCCTTTAAAAGTAAAAGAGAAAAGGCTTCTATTCATGTTTAACATTTCTCCCTCTAAATGAAATTTCTGGAGGCCCCAACTCTGCCCCCACACCTTTACACACATTCTGATTTTTTTTATTATACTTTAAGTTTTAGGGTACATGTGCACAATGTGCAGGTTAGTTACATATGTATACATGTGCCATGTTGGTGTGCTGCACCCAGTAACTCGTCATTTAACATTAGGTATGTCTCCAAATGCTATCCCTCCCCCCTCCGTGTGTGGGGCCTCCACAACAGGCCCCAGTGTGTGATGTTCCCCTTCCTGTGTCCATGTGTTCTCATTGTTCAATTCCCTGATTTTTAAATTCACAGTGATTTTGCTCCACATGGGACAATGTTGATACCAATGACACACTCCCTCCTCTCATTGCCTGCTTCACCAGGGTGGATGAAAGACTTCAGGCAGCCAAACTGAGGATAGTAAAGAGGGGAGGGAGCCTCTGACACCAAGGAACAAAAGAAGGAGACCCAGCCCCACCAAGTCCACCTCCACTGCAAACTGAGAATCAGTTCAGCCAAGGGGCATGGAAAACAACAACCCCTTCAGGGCTGAAAGGGAGCAGCACACTAAACTAACAAGGAGAAGAACGCAATGAACAGTGCTGCTGCATCTCCTCTGTGAACATCAGGGATTCTGGACTTACTCAGATAGAATGTTCTATTTTAAGGATGAACCTGAGCTCTTCTAGTCCAAGAGGGAGACACAAGTAGCAACACACGTTATCATGCACACAGAGTCCTCTGCAGGCAAAGGCGCCCTTCTCCTCCCCAGCAGTATCGCTAGACGTCATCCGATGCCGCTTCTTACCTTAACTGCTCGCAGGGTCACAGGGCTTGAAAACCACAGTGTTGGGGACAGCCCTAGAGCCATTTAAGTACACCCCTTTCATTTTCTAAGTGGGGAAACTACAAACCATAGAGGCTGAATAATGTGCTCAATTCAAAAGGCTTGAAAACAAGTGCCAAGGTTGGTGTAAAATCTAGGACCTTCAAGTCTCAATCTTAGTCCACCCTCTACAACAATGTTCCCCGCTTTTCCCCTTATTCAGACTAAACTAACATCCAAAGCATAGAATTATCTTGAAGGAGTAACATTAAACATCAGGATCAAAATATAAAGAAAGGAAAATCTAACATCTCATATAGAATAATCTCAGCACTATACCTAGAACACACCAGCTGACCTGGGCTTCTTTGGGTCCTGAGGGAGGCCAGCCAGGGGCAGAGGTCACCAGGAACAGCCTGGAGAGGGGAGAAGAGGGCCGCTGGAGGCCTTCAGGGCTCAAGCTTCTGCCACAGGGCCTTTGCACTGCCTCTTCCCTCTGTGGGAGCTCCATCCCTGGGCATCCACAGGGCTCACTCCCTCACCTCCTTCGCATCTATGCTCATAGGCCCCATTCTCTATGTAGCCTCCCCTGACAACTCACTTGAAAATTTCCCTTGATAGTCCCCATCTCTTGCACCCTACTTAAGTTTTTCCATGGTATTTATCACTTTCTAAGAGACTACAATATGTTTATTCTCTACCACCTTCCATTTTAAATAATATCCATGAGGACAAAGAGTTTTGGTTCACTCCTCTATCTCCTGGGTCTACAATAGTGTCTGACACATAATAGGTGCTCAGTAAATAAATACTAGTAGAATGGATAAATGAGTGCTCATTCCTTCACTGTCTCCATCAGCAACAACCACCTACACACCTCCTATACACACACACACACGCACACACACACACACACACACACACACACACACACACACGCCTCTTTCTGCCCTTTTCTCTCTTCTTCACCTATACCCCAGGCCTGCCACTAGGAACAACAGGGATAGTTTAGGTTAAACTTAGAACATTCAGTAATAATATTGCCAAGCCTTCCATTAAAAACTCATGTTTTATATACATATATGGTTTTATAGGCACAAAAACTCTAGAAGGATACACATTAAACTGATATCACTAGGTGTCCCAGGGAACTAGATGGCTGGGCATGTAAACTTTTCACTCTATATGCTTTTATACTATTTGAATTTTGAACTATATGAATGTAATTACCTGTCAAGTATGTTTAATTAAAAATAAAATTGGAGGCTGGGTATGGTGGCTCATACCTGTAATCCCAGCACTTTGGGAGGCCGAGGCAGGTGGATCACCTGAGGTCAGGAGTTCAAGACCAGCCTGGCCAACATGGTGAAACCCCATCTCTATGAAAAATACAAAAATTAGCCAGGCATGGTGGTTGGTGCCTGTAGTCCCAACTACTCTGGAGGCTGAGGCAGGAGAATTGCTTGAACCCGGGAGACAGTTGCAGTGAGCCAAGATTGCGCCGCTGCATTCCAGCCTGGGCAACAGAGTGAGACTCCATCTCAAAAAGAAATAATAAATAAAAAGTAAACTGGAAAAACCAACGCACGAATAACATTCATTCCTCAGCTCTCGTCCTCACATCATCTTAATACAAATTTTTCAGGGTGACGGTCACTAGAATGCTGTCAGCCCTGGATTAGATAGTGAAATATGGTAACATTCTCCTTTTCTCTCATCCCCCAATTTTCTGAAATGTGCATGTTACTTTTACAATGAAATATTTGAAAAAGTTTCCATTGTGCAGAAGGATATGAATTAATGCAAATTTCCCTACATACATAAAACATGGAGACTTTGTTTCAACTCATGAATCCATTTACCTTTCATTCTGTTAACTCCTGTTGGATTTTTCATTTAATAGATTTCAGAGGAAGTTGTCTAAGATGGTGCCAGGTCACCAGAGGTGCCAATGCAGGACACAGGCAATGCCGTCAAGGTTGTATCCGGTGAGGATGACCACAAGCAAGCCAGGCTCATAGCCTAAAGGATACACCTGAACGTGTTCGCTGTGAGGAATGGGCCAGAGGATTATGTGATGTTTCATATTTTTTCCTTGGGACTTTCAGATTTTTCCAAGTTTTCTGCCCTGAGATGCATTACTGAACTTCTGTTTTTCCTCTTACTACACTGTGAAGTAAATGTGTGTGATGAGTCACTGGCCTTTGCCAGGCTGTGATCTTCCCAAGAATGAAGTCCCTATTTAATTCATCTTTGTCTTCTCAGCCTCTTGCCTGGTGCCTTGCAACAGCGGCTCCTCCATAGATGGGTAATGAAAGAATGAACAAATGACTGTTTCTCAGCATCCAATGAGCACTCATGGGATATAGCCACATACTAACCCCAAAGAGACAACACCACTCCCTCATTCACTGCCTGCTCACCTCAGTCATCATTCATGGGTATTCCCTGTTCCAGGCAAGGCAACGGAAGCCAGAGCCACCCAAGTGTGGCTATATAAAGGCATCCAGGAAAGGGCATATGTGGCCTTCCCAGCAACCTAGTCTCTCATGCATTTGGGTTCTGAGCAGTTAATGCTGGCTCCATACTTTGACATCTTTGTAACTTTTGCAAATTTTCTTTTGATTCTTTTCTGGGGATTCATCTTAAGGAAATAATTAGTCATAGGAAGAGGAAACTAAAACCACATTTATTAATGCTGTTTAGGTGGAGAAAAGTTGGAAACAACCTAAACATCAAACCATAAGAGATGAGGTAAACAAAGGATGCTGTAGCTATGTAAATGAGTACTCTTACATTACAATTGCTGTAAACTAAGCTTGTTGCTCTAGAAAGTTGTTCATATAAGATATTAAGTGCCAACGTGTTTTATGAAAGACTATACATGATATTGTGACACTACACTTACATTAAAATATATGTGTACATATTATATATGTATGATACTATATGACTAAATGATCATCTTGTCTTTGGGGTAAGTAGGATTTGGAAGTAGCTTTTTCTTCTTTTTATTTGTCTACACTTCCAAAGTTTTTGTAACAAGCATGTGCTGCTTTGCAATAATGAAAAATAGCAATGCTAACATTTAACTGAAAAAAGAAAAGCACAATTATCCTGGAGTAGGGCAGGCACTAAAAAGGCGGGAGTAAGAGCGATGAGAGTAGAACGCTGAGCTGAGGCTGGCCTCCTTCACGGCCACCTTCCTCCAGGGGTGGATCCGTGTTCCAGTCACCTCCAAACACACAAAGATGTCAGTGCCACAGACCATACTTTCTCTCACACATCCAGTCAAAGCACCAGGAGGGGACAGAGTCACCACAGTGCAAGTCTCAGCTGGGATTGGGCAGGGGAGAGGAGAAGGGCATCAAGGAGCTGACCAGGAGACACACTGATCTGGCCAGGCAGCCTCTTGCAGAAGTGGATCCCGTTAACAATGAAACAGATATGACATGAACTTGGCAACTTCTGAGAACAGGAATGTCTAGTGGTGCTTCTAGCCTAAAGTGACCCAGTTTCAGATAAGACAGTTTAATCCAGAACTCAGAGGGAGAAAAGATTAATATTTTCTCCTAGGGAAGGATACCCAGAGCTACCACAGCTGAAATGGGAATAACATGCTTAAAGGTGGATATGAGATGGCCAAAGTCCCATGAGGAATGGCCTCCAGGTATGATGATGAAATCCAGTGCAGGAGGGAAGGTCTCTTCTCATAGTATCCAATTGCAAAACTGGTCAAAATTCAACCATTTTCTCAGGGTTATTCTAAAAGCTGTTGGACTTGTACTGCTTCTTTGGCTTCTCTGGCTCTTGTTCCAGCTTTTGCAGTTACAAAATGAGAAAGACCTCGCTGTGCTGTCCTCCATTCAGTGGGTTCTGGATGGATTGCCAGATGATGTGAAGGGCTCTTGGTCATGGCTGGTACCTGCAAACACGGAGAGTGCTTATCACCATTGGACTCTACTGTGCCATTTCCATCATGTCAATCATGGATAGACATGAGATAAGGAGGATGGAATCGGCAGTGGGCAGGACACAATAGGAAGCGAGGGAGGGGAGAGGGCAACAGGGTGGAAGGGTAGAGAGAATTGCA
Source organism: Homo sapiens (assembly GCF_000001405.40). Lineage (NCBI taxonomy): Eukaryota > Metazoa > Chordata > Mammalia > Primates > Hominidae > Homo > Homo sapiens. The sequence continues at coordinate 41,848,614 of NC_000001.11, forward strand.
GGAAGAAGGAGGGACCCAGGAATGGCCCAACATCCTCAGAGATGAAAGATTACAGAAAGAGGGCAGAAGGCGAGAGCAGAGAGGCCATGCCAGCTTGGGCTGGAGCAGTCAGATTCCTCACCACACCCTTGTCCCTGCTGTGCCCATCTGCTGCCCTTTCTTTGCCTTCTGGCCCTGTAGGAGCCATCCCAGCCCCACATCCCAAGCCCTACCTGTGACTACCCCTCCCCTAAGCCCTACCAGAGAAATGAACTTACTTCTACCCTTCGTGGGCCGCATGCCTCCAGCTCCAGCTCTTCTTGGGGCTCCAGAGTGTGCCAGTTTCCCTTCAAGCACCAGTGTCCTCAACCTCTGGCATGGTATTGGAATCTGTGCCTTCAGAACCTCCTTTCTTCCCATTCTTCAGGACGTTTGTCCCTCGACTGGACAAGATCCAGCAGGAGTGGGCAACACAGGAACAAATCCGAGACACCAGACTGAGAGGGACAGGAAGGGGAAACACGGGGCAGTCCTGGGTGATCTGGACCATCTGGTCACCTCATTCTAGTTCACGAGTGGACATTTAGATAAGGGAAACCAAACTGAATCAGAACTCTAAACTCAGTGTGCAGCAGGGTCACCAGATTGCTTATTCTATGGCACCTGAGACCTTTCATCACCACTGATCTTCACGACAGATGCACGCAGATATATCTACCAAGGACTTAGAAACCCAAGACAGTTTCATACTTTAAAAATGTGTGGAAACTAACCATGCACAAACTTCTCCAATTACATCAGTCTCCCCAGAAGCACATCCAACAGCACTCTGTCACAACTTCTGGAAGCAGCCTGCCTCCTTGCTAACCCCTCCTCCATGCAGATGCTCACCTAGAGGAGTGGATGGGACATAATACCAAGGAGGAGAGTGTGGGTCCAGTCCTAGCACAGGCCAGGAACATTTTCTGCTTTAGAGTCACAGGACTGTTCACCAAGCCAAGCTGAATAAACATCTTATTGCAATATTTGCACAGACATGCAACTACTTGCTGTGACCATGACAGTGACTGGAATGTAAGGATCCATCAGTGGTAGACCCAAATCTTTTTTTTTTTTTTTTCCAAGTCTTGCCCTGTCGCCCAGGCTGGAGTGCAATGGCGCAATCTCGGCTCACTGCAACCTCTGCCTCCTGGGTTCAAGCAATTCTCCTGCCTCACCCTCCCGAGTATCTGGGACTACAGGCATGCACCACCATGCCCAGCTAATTTTTGTATTTTTAGTAGACATGGGGTTTCACCATGTTGGCCAGGCTGGTCTCAAACTCCTGACCTTGGGATCCACCCACCTTGGCCTCCTAAAGTGCTGGGATTACAGGCATGAGACACCACGCCTGGCCGGTAGACCCAAATCTTAAAGCACATACTCTACTCTAGTGGTTCCTAAACTTTAGCATGCATCAGAATCATTTGTAGACTTTGTTAAAACACAGAGTTTTGGTTACACTCCTACGGTTTTTTAATCAGTAGGTCTGGGGTGGAGGCTGACAGCTAGAGTTTCTAACAAGTTCCCAAGCCCAGCTATTGCTGGTCCAGAGACCACACTTTGAGAACCACTGGTCTACCACCAACAGTGTTCAATAGTATCACCTGTCTTATATCAAAGGAACCACTAATGACTCACTCGCACTCAGCCCTGTAACCTCATCCAAAGCAGAGGCACAGAAAAGGCCACCACACACACAAAGAAAAACTGTTTACAAAATGTTTTTATTTTAAGGTTAAGAATAAAAGGAGCCTTAGGGTTCATATAATCTAACTACCTCACTTAATATAATATTAATTAAACTAAGCTTAGAGAGGGTAACTTGCACACAGAAACAATGAAACAATCAATAGAACCCAAACCAGGAACCCCAGCAGCACTACTCTCAAAATCGCAAACGTGGAGTCCTAGAAAATCTCCTAATTTTTGTCGTCATTAGAGTCACAAGGCTCAAGAGTCTGCAACTGGCAAATTAGGGCTTCCCCTTCTGGTCCTCCATGCCGAAGCACTCAGGCCATGCCATGGTCATTTCTTAGTAAGGCTATGATGGAAGCAATTCTTGGTTCCCTCCAAGTTCAACTGTGAGTCCACTGCCTAGAACTCAGAACTGGTTTTCTCAGAAATCCCATAGCACACGTGGAGGGTTCCTGGGAGAACTCTTCCTACTAGGCACCACATTGTTGAACTGCAGTGATGATAGCCCACAGGATCTAACCATCATGAAGAATATAATTTCCTAAAATTCCATTCTGAGTTTCAACTTGGACCTGTGCTGGTCCCTCTTCCTGGAAAACTGCTGCCCCAGTTTTCTCATGTCAGGCTCCTTCTGTATGTTTCCTCTTGCAGAGTATCTCCTGATCATCTACCCAAGTAGTTCTCACTCCCCTCCTGCCAGTTACACTGCATCTCATCAGCCTTCTCTACACTCCTTATAGCCCTAGAACTATATAAAACATTTGTTCATCATCTACTTGCTCATTACCCCCTGAAAGTAGGATGTGAGCTTCGAGAGGGCAGGAACTTTACCTTTCTGTCTACCACTATAACCGCAGCACCTAGAACAGTGCTTGGGACACAGCAGATTCTCTATACATATCTGTCTAATGAACAAATGAATGTACAGAAGAATGATGAGAGAGCACCTTCTTCTTCTTCTTTTTTTTTTTTTTTTTTTTTTTTTTTTTTTTGAGACAGAGTCTTGCTCTGTTGCCAGGCTGGCGTGTAGTGGCATGATGTTGGCTCACTGCAACATCTGCCTCCTGGATTCAAGCAATTCTCCTGCCTCAGACTCCCAAGTAGCTGGGTCTACAGGCACGTGCCACCACACCTGGCTAATTTTTGTATTTTTAGTAGAGACAAGGTTTCACCATGTTAGCCAGGATGGTCTCAATCTCTTGACCTCGTGATCTGCCAGCCTCGGCCTCCCAAAGTGCTGGGATTACAGGCGTGAACCATCATGTCCAGATGAGAGCACCTTCTTTCAACGTGGTTTCCAAAGTTGGAATTTGAGACTTTCCTTCCTGTTTCTCTCATTTTCAATAGTAGGAGTTAGACTACTGAGCTTTAATAGAACGTGGAAGGAGAAAAACGTGCCCTTAGGCTGGTGTTCTCAATGACAGGACAGAGAAGAGGAAGTTGCAGGGATTGGGGGTGGTGTCGATTTACTTCTCAGCTCTGGTGTCCTTTCGCACAGAAAGCATGCTGGTGAGTCAGGTCTTCCTGGATACAGGGCTTGGGAGGCAATGAGGTGTACTGGAATGAGATGTTTTTGAGACCAAAGAGTTGGGTTCAAACCCTCAAAAAGTCATGTAAATCTCTCTGAGCCTCATGGGGCTGGTAGAAAATACCCAAGGGATAGGGTGTTTGTGAGGATCAAGGAAGTTAACATATGTGGACACTCTCTGTAAATAGTAAAATAATATAAGTTGCTATTAAATGATTATTGATAAGACCACATAGGCTCTGGAGAGATCCAAATAGGTGAAATTTCTCGGCATGCATCTCCATTCAGTCTTGCTGTTTTGCCTTCCTTAGTTCTACCAGCACTCTCAGACCCCAGGCTGCTGCGTGGGAGCCCCGGCTCAAGAGCAGAAGCCCTAAGGTGCTGGCATGGGCTCCTCAGAGCCCCGTGGGGCTGCCAGCAGCCACAGCACAGCCATGAGCAGGGCAGCCAACAGGAAGCCCAGGAGAAGACCACTGTGAGAGGCCACAGAGGGACACAGGGACACCGTCATCGGCCCTGAGCCAGGGGCAGGTGTAAGAAACAAGCCGGAAGCCCTCACTTTTGGCCCAAATGCTTTGGATAGGCCAGAATCCCAGAGACAGGAATATCAGAGAAGCCAGCTTCCCTCTTATGACCAGGCCCTGGCTTCTTCATGTCCTTAGGGTGGGTTCTACACTCCACTCCCAAAAGCAGGGCCTATACTTCTTCCCTTGCCAAGAAGGTGGGGTGGATGGTATTGGGATCTTTGGATGGATTCCCAAGATTGGAGAAGGTCTCCTTTCTCAGTCTTCATGGGCTGCACTGCCAATTTCTCATTGACCAAACTTTAATGTTCCAGGCAACGAGGCTCTTGGCTATAAGGTGTCCTCATGTTACAGAAATCACCTCCTCTGACCCAGTTACTCCCAAACTGTTTCCACTCTTCCTTAAGTGATAACCTTAATGACAAGTCTCATGCAAACAGTAATTTCTTATCCTTTCTTCCAAGAGTTCAGTTCACTCCAGCAACTGGCTACTAACTACTTACAGCTGAGCACAGATTTCACGCAGAACTGTGTAAAGTTGTCCTTGGGAAGACAAACACAGCAGCCAGTTCCTGCCACCAAGCAGCACACAGTCTGGGTGGGAACAGAGACTTCACGTCCCCACCACGAATGGCTGTGTTTTAGAGTTCATTACCTGAAAAGAAACAGGGTGGGAGGCATGTGGGGAATAAAGTGAGCAGGCTGGAGGAGGTCTTCTTCAAGAAAACAGAGACTGGCCCAGCTCTCTTCTGGCTCCAAAATGCTGTGTTTATTGGGTTGTCTGGATCAGAGGCAAATTCTTGGATTTCTGACAATGTTGCTATGATGTAATGAGGGCTAGAATCTTCTTGAATCAGGAAAGTTTCAGGGAGGTTCTATTAGTCTGTTCTCACACGGCTATAAGGACATACTGAGACTGGGTGATTTATAAAGGAAAGAGGTTTAATTGACTCGTAGTTCTGCATGGCTGGGGAGGCCTCAGGACATTTACAATCATGGTGAAAGGTGAAGGGGAAGCAAGGCACCCTCTTCACAAGGTGGCAGGAAGGAGAATGAAAGCAGGAGGAACTACCAAACAATTATAAAACCATCAGATATTTCGAGAACTCACTATCATGAGAACAGCATGGGGGAAACTGCCCCCACGATTCAATCACCTCCACCTGCTCTCTCCTTTGACATGTGGGGATTATGGGGATTACAATTCAAGTGAGATTTTGGGTGGGGACACAGGCAAACCATATCAGAGGTGTTATATAGTAAGGAGCTTAAAAAACAGAAGGATTTCAACGTGTAGAAAGGGAGAGGAAGGGAGTTCCAGGCTGAGAGGAGTGAGTGAGGGAAAGTAGGAGTGAAGAGGGTACCCAGAAACTGGATGATCCAGCAGCTTTAGTTCAGTGGGGTTTGAGGCACTTGGGAACTCACCAAGGCGAACCTGCCACAAGCTACCCAGGGTCTCCACCTGCCAACCTTCAGCAGCGGCTCTAGGCTGCTGATGCCAGCTAGAGAAGCCTGTCTGTAAATGATGATGAATGTGTGAGCTCACCAAGGGAGAAGGCCAGAGGAGCTCACACATCGAGGAGCTGGCTTTCAAGGGATGGGGAAAGAAAGGCACCAGAGAAGCAGAGCGAAGACGTGGAAACCATAGAGCCTTACTAAGTGTGTTCACTCACCCGGCTGTACCTAGGGCCACCTGTTGTCCTCTTGGATGGAGGCAGATCGGCTTTCTCTCTCCCTCTCTCTCTCCCTCTCTCTGTCCCACCTCCTCTCTCTCTCTCTCTCTCAGTTCTGGGCTGGGACAGGGAAGAACAGCAGGACTCTATTACTTCAGGCAAATTTTGACAGATGGGCCAGGACCTGCATACAGGGCCACCCAGCAGGCGCTGGGGAAGGGAGCCTGCTAAGGGGCTGACTGCAGAGCCAGGCCCAGGTCTGAAGGGCCACGGGTGCCTGGTTTCAGGTTGGAAAGGGTTTCAAGTTGGGCAGGGTTGGCAATGGAGCATCCCACTGAAAACAGAAGAGCCTCACCCCCACCCCACTGACTCCTGTTCGCTCACCCCTCTGAGCTTCTGCCCATGCCGATCCCTGTGTCTGGAGCACTGCTCAGGGCTCCCTCTTGGCATATTCTTGCTGCACTTTTTTTTTTTTTTTTTTTTTTATACTCTAAGTTTTAGGGTACATGTGCACATTGTGCAGGTTAGTTACATATGTATACATGTGCCATGCTGGTGCGCTGCACCCACTAATGTGTCATCTAGCATTAGGTATATCTCCCAATGTTATCCCTCCCCCCTCCCCCGACCCCACCACAGTCCCCAGAGTGTGATATTCCCCTTCCTGTGTCCACGTGATCTCATTGTTCAATTCCCACCTATGAGTGAGAATATGCGGTGTTTGGTTTTTTGTTCTTGCGATAGTTTACTGAGAATGATGGTTTCCAATTTCATCCATGTCCCTACAAAGGATATGAACTCATCATTTTTTATGGCTGCATAGTATTCCATGGTGTATATGTGCCACATTTTCTTAATCCAGTCTATCATTGTTGGACATTTGGGTTGGTTCCAAGTCTTTGCTATTGTGAATAGTGCTGCAATAAACATACGTGTGCATGTGTCTTTATAGCAGCATGATTTATACTCATTTGGGTATATACCCAGTAATGGGATGGCTGGGTCAAATGGTATTTCTAGTTCTAGATCCCTGAGGAATCGCCACACTGACTTCCACAATGGTTGAACTAGTTTACAGTCCCACCAACCGTGTAAAAGTGTTCCTATTTCTCCGCATCCTCTCCAGCACCTGTTGTTTCCTGACTTTTTAATGATTGCCATTCTAACTGGTGTGAGATGATATCTCATAGTGGTTTTGATTTGCATTTCTCTGATGGCCAGTGATGATGAGCATTTCTTCATGTGTTTTTTGGCTGCATAAAAAAGCAATGGCAACAAAAGACAAAATTGACAAATGGGATCTAATTAAACTAAAGAGCTTCTGCACAGCAAAAGAAACTACCATCAGAGTGAACAGGCAACCTACAACATGGGAGAAAATTTTCGCAACCTACTCATCTGACAAAGGGCTAATATCCAGAATCTACAATGAACTCAAACAAATTTACAAGAAAAAAACAAACAACCCCATCAAAAAGTGGGTGAAGGACATGAACAGACACTTCTTGCTGCACTTTTAAAACCTGCTTCCAAACTCACCTTCTCCATGAATTCCCTAACTCTTGAAGTCAAAAATCGATCTTTTCCTCCCCTATACACTATTCTCACAACACTTTTCATACACAAAAATCAGATATGGCTCTATCTCCCCCACTGGACCATAGAACTCCTCAGATTAGAAACGGCACTAGGGTCACAAATTCAAATGCTCACAGAGCCAGGCAGATAACATAAATGGGTGAAGCTGCTGGTTTAGGTGACATGGGTGGTAATTGTCTTGGTGATGGCCAGACAATAGGAGTCACTGGAAGCTGTGATGAATCAGAGGGGCTGGAATGATTGATTGATTGAGACAGAGTCTTGCTCTGTCATACAGGCTGGAGTGCAGTGATGCAATCTCAGCTCACTGCAACCTTTGCCTCTCGGGTTCAAGTGATCCTCCTGCCTCACCCTCCCAAGTAGCTGGGACTACAGGTGCATGCCACCAAAGGGGCCTGCTGCCCCTCCTGCCCATATGGAGAATACCAGAGCATGGGAATGTGACCTGTATTACCAGAACTGCAATTTTCAGGGAGAGGCCAGGTATCTGCATTCTTATATGAAATTACCCCATCTTTATGTGTCAGCAGCAAATCCAAATTTAAGACACCATGTTGCAAGCCAAATAAAATGCATCTGCAGCCAGATGCAATGAAAGCTTGTTGATTGAAAAGCAAATGAACAAATGAATGAAGGAATAGAAAAGAAGGAGCAGATGGGTGGGAGGGGGAAACAGGATGGGTGCCCAAGTGTCAAGATGCCAAGCGGTGGGCTGGGCACGCTCAAGGTGACCCCGTTGCCAAGCTGTCAGTGTGAACATCAGCACGGTCTTGCTTGTTGGCTAAGGGGAAGAGAAAAGCCTATGGCCCTGTGAACTTAGCAACCAGCTTCTCCAAAAACATTACAATCAGAAGCTCTTGTTGCAGCCAAAACACAGGTGCAGAAAACAAGCGGGCGTTCGCACATGCACGTGCACAAGGTGTGCAGAAGTTGAAGGCTCAGCATGCCACAAATTCCGCACTCCCTCCAAGCACACCTTATGCCTCATGTTACAGATGTCTTGAGGGAGGAAGGGAGGGACAATTTAGCAAATTGGGAGGTGCAGCAGGGGAAAAGGAGTCATCCAGCCAGAATTCTCCCCATCTCTACCCAGAAACTCCCTCTCCTTGCTTTGTTGACGGCGCTGAAGCTTGGGGGAGGCATAAGTGAGCCTGGTGTGGGACTGACCCTCAGCCTCCAGGAACACTATCGGCAGGAACACAGCCCGTGTGGGATGCCTGGGGTTGCAAAAGAAAAGTTATTTCAGGTTCAACTGAGTTATAATTTATTTTTTCTAACTGATCATTACTGCTGCGGCTCTATAAATAACCACCTAGGGAGTCTGCTTTTCTGCTCCCAAATCCTCAAAAAGCATTGCCAGGTTCTCTGTGGTTTCTGGCCTGCCAAGCACACAGCACATTTCTTTTCTGTGCAGCCCTTCAGGGAATCCTTCTGCAGTGCATGCCAAGGAATCTGCTGAGTTCTGCCCAACTCAGTCCTCCCCTTCCTGATCCAATTCCTCTCCTCCAAACTGGCCATCCAGCCCTCCTCCCCCATTCCACAAGAGGCCCCTCTCCCTGGACACAGGTGGTTCCCAAGCCAAGGTCCCGGCTTCTCTCTGTTTACTCTGCTTCCATCCAACTGCAACCCTCCATGCTTAGAAGACAAGAGTTATTTGTACTACAGAAATCCAGCTGTGGCATCATTTGAGGTCAAGCCCAGGAAGAAAAGAGGGTTGGTCTGATGGTATCACCAGTAAAATATCAAGGGTCAATACCACCCCAGGAAGGGTGGCTGTGGTTTACATGAAATCAATTTAAGTGATTTAAAGAAGAATGTATTTCAAGTACAACTCAGTTTAACCAAGTATAGAAAAAAAAAAATCATGTTCCTGATGATGTTCTAAAGGATGTACGTTTAGGCCCTTTCTAAATAACATGGGGTTTTCTCCTTAAACAGAGGAACTAGACGGGAACTAATATTCATCAAGACCCACTCCACACCAAGCAATTTTGTTTCATTTTCACAACATGATGCCTATGAGGTATGCATCCTCATGCCCATCTTGTAGATGGGAGTCCTGAGAAAAGGACTTGCTCAAAGTCATGCAGAAGGAAAGAGGTAGGGGTGAGACTCAAGCCCAAGTTTTTCCCCTGCTACCTCCTATTACCTCTCTAAGCTAGAAGACTGGAGTTTCAATGTATGTTTATTTTTCTAACTTTCAGATTACTTTTGCAGCTCAGAAAGCAAGGACAACCTGGATATTTCACCACAGTTCCTTAACAGCCATATAACTCTTTGGAGTTAGCCTCTCCAACTAGTTAACTGTGAAATCTCAATCAATCAATCAATCTCTCTCTCTCTCTCTCTCACCATTTATTACGACAATGACCATAAAGGCTATGGTCATTCAGGTTGCTTTAATGGTCTAAAAATGAGAGCTTATGTATTTTTGAATAGTTTTAAAAATGATCATTCCTAACATTTACAAAATAATGGAAAACATAAGTTTTACCCAGTAATCAATGCTCCACGGAAGGTTAGGTGGCCCTGCAGATGCTACCACAGCACTCTGCTCTGTTGGGACACCTTTTCCACCATATTGGAATGGACTGTTTCCTTGTCTGACTCTCCTTCTAGGCCGGTGATCCCCAAAGCTTTTTGGTCATATGCCCTAACAATAAACATTTGAGTGTACCTGCCTATGTGCACATTTGTTTATTTATAAATTATATTCATGCCCTGTCATTCACAAAAATGGGAAAAAGGATGAGATGTGTGTGGGTCATCTTCCTATGTGTCTATCTACTTCTCAATCATAATTTCTTCCTGCCCCACAATGGACCATCTCACCTTCCATGGTCTCCAACACCGACATCCCACTTTGGAGACCACTCTCCTAGGATATGTGCTCATCATCCCTCATTTATTCATTTCCCACTGTCTCCAGTAACACCTACCCTATGCTGGGTACTATGCTAGGTGCTGGGGATAGTGGGTGAACCACATGGACAAGGATCATGTTTTCCATAGAGCTTACAATCCAGCGGGTGAAACAGTGTCAGATAATGTCAGAGAGAGAAAACAGCCACAAGAAAGTAAAACAAGATGATGTGATGTTAAGTGATGGAGAATGTCTACAGGGGTAAGAGGGAAGTCACGATGGACCAGACCAGCAGCTCAGCAAAGGCCTCTGTGACCTGCATGAGGAGGGGGTCTAGTGGGAGAGGGGGTGCCTGGGCAGACAGAATGTCAAGTGCAAAGCTTCCGAGGCAGGAAAGAAGGCCATTGTGGCTGGATTATAATACATCAGTAAGAAGAGAGGCTGGAGAAGCTGGAGAGGTTGGCAGCTCAGGCTGGAGAGTCCTGACCCCACTGCTTACTGGCTGGGTGGCCTTGGGTATTAATGCTATATGCTGCCCAGGGTTATTAAAGGAATTATGTAAAGGATTGAAAGAGTAAATCTATGAAACATCAACATCAGTTAGAAGAATGCCCAGCACACAGTTGGCATCAACAAATGACTGCCCCTAGGGTCTGTTTACTTATTTATCATTAGTCTCCCCTGTGGCATGGAAGCTGGGCCTGGCCAGTTTTCTACCCTGCCGAACCAGAGTAGCTGGCACCATGCCCAGCCTATAGAAAGAACTCAATGAAAATTTGGTAAATGAATGGGTTTTAAAAATGGGTAATGGCTAAGGAAAATCAGAATTTGGCTAAATATTAAAAAATAGATTTTCGTAAACAATTTTTTCTAATTATAAAAGTAATGTCATGTCTTCAATATTTTAAACAAAAATGGGGTCATATTCTACATACCGCTTAGTACCTATTTTCCACTCCACATGTCTGTTACAAGAGGCAGGAGAATGTAAGGGTAGGGATGTGGGCTCTGGAGACAGATTGCCTGGATTCACATCCTACCTCCACCACTGGCCACCTAGAGCATCTCTCTGAAGTTACCAAGCCAAAGGACATTTGGGATTTTTAAGGCTTTTTAACACATATTGCCAAATAGTCTTTAAGAAATAGGTGTGAGCCCATCTCCTCAAACCTTCATCTACGCTGACTGCTAACCTTTAGACAATCTTTGCCAATTTGTTAGGGGAAAGAACAACCTTTCATTGTTCTAATTTGCCTTTCTTTAATTACCAGGGATGACTAACAGTTTTTCATTTGCCTTGTTCCTCTTGCGAATTGCCTGTTCATGTTTAAAAAGGAAGCCCGTTTTCATAATTAGATGCAGCAGAGTAGGTGGCCTCAAAGTGAACTCCCTACCGCTGGGAAGGGTTGAGCAGGGCCAGGTGGTTGCCCATCAGGGAACTGGGCATCTCTGTGCCTTGTGGACAGCAGAACTGGATGAGCTCTGAAGTCCTTTATTACACTGGGATCATTTCACTCTTGTCCAGACCAGCAAAGGTAGCAGGCAAACCTCAAAGAAAAGATGGCTTGCGGATCAACAACTGGATTCTGAAGACCTCCACCAGGATTTCCCAAGGTGGATTTGATGCCTAAACATCTCTCATAAGCTTCTGCATAAAGACACCCCAGTTATATCGGAGAGAAGAGTCAAATCGACATGGTTATGCCTCTAGTAGCTACAGCATGCCACAGTGGGGGAATTCCTTAAATCTCCCCCTTGACAAGATGGAAAACCTTCGTGGTCATAGATCAAATCCTACCACAACAAACATGTTCATAATCAAGGTCAGCATAGCACAAAGACTCCTAAGGTGGGGCCAGTGGTCTGTTTATCTCAAGCTATAACTTTTTTCCCTGCTTTGCATTTGGCTTTGGTACAAGAATTTGACATAAACACCCTCCTAACCCCACTCCCCTACAGGTATTTACATAGCAATTTTCTCCTGAGCTGGTCAAAACCCTGCTAGGACTTGGAGAATTCCATTGTGTTTGTAGTAAGCAGACACCTGGAGCCAGATAGCTCTTAGAGAATAAACTATTCTTGGATTGGAAAGGGATCTGAATGTATCTGACGCCCTCCTTTTGCAAAAATTTTGCAGTGTTTTCAGAGGACCTTCTACATTTTCACTAAGGGGATATTTCCCCCTAATATCTCCACCATTGCCATTGTTGGAGTTTCCTGCTGGGTCTGGCCCCCACAGGTATAATGCCAGCTGGAAACAGAACACTCACATCTCTTAAATTACTCCACTAACGAAGAAGTCACACGTGGAATTAGAATTCTGGCTAATTTTCCTGTGGGCACACCTTAAGCACACAAACCTGAAAGCAGCAGAGCAGCGAAACTGGCAGCCAAAATAAAGCAAAAAGAAGAACATCTTCCAGGAGGGAGGTGGAATCAGATTGAGGCAAAGCCAGGACTAGGTTCTTGGCAACGTGATTAAAATCCCGAACTACGAGGGAGGAGAGGCCTTGCTGCCAGCCCCTCAGCACACTCGAGCCAGGGCACTGGAGGTGGGTGGTGGTTAAAAGCTGTGTGCCATTCACAGCCTATAGCACTGCCTGTGTCCGTCAGTATGGGCAGAATGGCTAATGACTCCAAATAAAACTCCTACACCATGCTCCATCTGGGGACCATGTTATAGCTGAATACACAAAGTCACTTTGTAGCTTGCCCGATAAGTCCACTTTAATTCCTCCAAAATAATTCATGGAGGCCTGTGAGCACACTGCACCAGGCCAAGCACTAGGGTTATAAAAAAGAAATGAAAAAAGAAAAACCTAGTTGCTCTACTCTAAGGGCTTATGATTTAACCAAGGAGATGAGATTCACAATGGTAGCTGGCAATACGGTAAATCAAGGCACAAAGAATCCAGGAGTGTGTTCTGCTAGAGGCCCAAGAGGGCAGCTGGCATTTTCAGGAGGATGCAGGTCAGCCTTTATGGGAAAATGGATTGAGTTTACCTTGAAGGGTGGGGAAATTTTAGGCAGGTGGCTAAGAAGTGAGCTGGCCTCTGGGGATGTGGGGAGACTGTGAGCGCCGCATGAGACAGGCTCTGCATCCTGCACATGCTGCCTGCATTTCCAGCCCTGGGAGGAGGATTTGTGCAAGGGAGGCAGAGATGAGAGCGTTGATAGGAAGGAAGGAGGCCAGATTTCAGAGAGGTCTGAATCCCACACAGAGAAGCTTGGGCTTTCTCCAATAAGCTGCAGGGAGCAGTTGGAGACTTGTGAACAGCAGATTAACATAATTAAATAAAAACTTCAAGACTTTAGCTTTTTGTGGGGATGCAGACTAGACGAGAGGTGATGAGAACATTAGAAAGCTTTTACAGTGTAGACCAGGCTGGCCACGGTGTTGGCAACGGGAGAGAAAGAAATAGATCTGGAAGATACCACAAAGCAAATATCTAAAGGGCTTGGAAACAAATTTGGCCGGGGGGCGGATGAAGGATGAGTCAGGGGCAGTTCTGAATTTTAAAACTTGGGGGATGTGAGGTGGAGGTGGCATCGTCAGACATAAAGACACAGGTTCGAGCAGCTTTACAAGAACTTAAAAAGGCCAGACCACCCAAAGGTGGCACTGACTGGAAGCACGAGGCTACGGACAATGCTTCCTCATTTCAAAGGGGAGTTAACAAGTTAAGTGAAGTTTTATCCACCAATGAAATGGCTGTCTGTCCAAACAAATAAGCAACAAGTGTGGGCTCTGCACTCCTCTCCACCTCTCTTGCTCCTTCCGTTGATGCTCCCCTAACATTTATCTGACCATAAGCTAAGAGCAGTCATGAGAACAAGATAGAAATCCTCAGAAATCCAGAACTCTAATCCTTCCTTCTGCTGAAATACTGTAGGGCTTAGTTATTTTCACACTTATGCATATGCTTCAGTGTGTAAGAACTGAGTCATTGTTTTCTTTTCTCCTCCCCTCTCCCCTCTCTTTCCCTCCTCTTTGCCACCCAGCACCTCCTCTGCCTCCACCCCCAAGCCACTGCAAACATCCTGGCATGCATCTCTCCCCATCCATTTCTGCATGGCTGTCAACATTTCCCATTCCCTCCAAGCTTGCCTCCTGCCTCCTATTTCTTTAGACACACTGGGAGTCTAAGAAATGAACTACAGATTCAACAGGACTGTGGACCACAGATCTTGACAAAGACAGGCAGCTTGTTGTGAAAAGAGAATTGGAGGGCAGGTCAGAGACTTAGGTTTTAGGAGTCAGGCAAGGGAATCAGATAAAGATCCCTGAAAACAAGGGATATCATCACTGCCCAGCTTTACTGACGTAGAGACAAGTTTTCTCACTTGGCAGATATAGACGGAAGATAAGCAGGTTCCCTTTCAGATGGTAACCCCAAGTGCAGTGGCTCACAGCTGCAGTTATTCTGAATGGCAGCGGGAGGGAAGGAAACAATGAATGCACACACACACAAGAGCAATGCTTAAGGTGAAATGGACTTGAACAGTCTCAAATGCACACCTCCTCCAGTTCCTGGAAGGCAAGGATGAGTCAAACAGAAGTTGAATTTCACAGGCGTTCCTCCTCCACTGTCACATACGTTCCCAGACGCAGAGTCATCTGTGCACATGTCACCCAGCATCGACTGCTACCAGCAACTGCCTCCTGGGAAGTTAAGCTGCAGGGTCAGATCTGCTTCTGCTGGGGAGCTGAAAGTAAACTGCGTAAGGTGGGGGTGATCCCAGTAATGTGAGGGCAGGAAAAAGCAGAGAACGCTGGAAAAGGATGGCAGGAATTAACATGGCTCTGAAGAGAGGAGCCAAGGATCACCTGATCTGTAGAGCCTGGAATCTGCAGTTATTTCTAGTTTCCTAGACAACCCTGACTAAACTAGGAAGACATCTGAACTCCGGCTCAAAAATAATATAGGTTCTTGGAATGGGACAAAAGAAGAAAGGAAAGGGGAGGTGATACCATGTGCCAGTTCAGGGAGTGGGGACCAGACCTTCAGAGAAAGGAAGGTCTTCCCAAATGGAAGCTGAAATCCCAGTGGGCATTATGCTTTCTGTACTTTTGCATTTGTAGCCAAGAGCATGATTCTAATTCTGGTTCTCCAGCGGAGGTGCGGGCAGCACATGTGCATGAGTTCGTCAAAATTGATCTAACGGCACACATAAGATCTGTACATTTCACTGTATGTAAATTAGATCCTAGTAATTCTACCTCTCTCAATTAGTTGGTTGTGTGACCTTGGACAAGTCATTTAAATTTTTGTAGTCCAGGATTCTCCATCTGTCAAGCTGAAGCTAAGAAGCTGGCCTCTAAGTTTCTCCCTGGCTCTAAAATTTACGATTGTGAGAGCTGATTATTGCAGGAAATGAGCAAATACATCCAGATTAAGAAGGGCCGCAACTATTGATAGAAGCTAAGAAGAATTTCTGAATGGGATTAGCCATCTGCAGAAAATTCCCCCTAAATCATCCATCCTGGAATCAGACGTGGAGAGAGGTGAAGATTCCATCCTCTGCACCAAAAGGAAGTGGCAGCCCCTCCTGGCTCTGCATTTTCCCCTCCTTCCCATCCGCTCTCCCCTACAGACTCTCTAAATTCTTCCACTGGAGATTCCCCAAGGGCTCAGGATTGGGACAGGCCTTTTCTTCCCTTCCTTCCAAATTTCCTTTGGGTTTATAGCACCCTGGTCGGGTTCACAGGAAGGGAAAGGAGAGGGAAGAAACCATTCACATTTGGGTGTGCGTAGCAAGCAGAGAGCTGGAGGGTTACAGAAACTTAGAGGAGGTCAGAGCCAGACAATCATCTCCCCATCCTATGTCTTATGGATAAGAAAATGAAGATGCAGAAAACTAGTGTGACTTCTCACCATTTCTAAAGCCCCGGAAAGAACAGATCAAGGAGGCAGCTGTGGCCATCTTCAGGCTGGTTCTTTCACATAGAGATGCTCCTACTTACTCCATAAATAGTTTGTCATGGGCAACTTTCAGACAGAGGAGCTGGAACTACCCTAACCGGGCACTGGAACATGTGTAAGTAGACCACCTGGCTCACCTGTTTCTCTTCTCAGAGGGGCTCTGAGTCATGAGGAGAACCTCTGGATATGCAGAATGGATAAACTGCTTCTGTCAGGATGGAAAGGAATTCACAGATGTCTTGCCAGCAGCTAACCAGTGACACAGCTGAATGGTAGCAGGCCCATGGAAACACTCTGGATAAGAAAGACTATCAAAGGAGCATCAGGTCCAGATTGCAAATTGCTTTAGCAGCTAACATAGGCATAAAGACAGAACGACCCACTCTAATCCAAGGGGGTTACGCTTCAGCGCTGGCTGCCTCTGACTCTCACCCTTGACCCAGCCCATTCATCAGTATGTTGATAAGCAGATTCTCTTCACAGAGCTCCTTAATCTGGTTTCCCAGGGAGGTCTTGCAGAGATTAATGAGAGCACTGTGCTTCCTGCCAGTTTTTGAGGCTGGGACAGTTAAACAGCAAGGGTGAAGGAGCTTGTCATAAAGTACACAAACCATCCCATCATTGGACTTGACCCCATTAGGTGGTTAACTCAAACATCTTCTCAATGTAGACACTTGGATCTATTTTTTTTATTCACTCTCTCCTTGGTAGCCAGCAAAATTAAAGCCCTTCCTCATATCATCGTTCACGCCATCTTTTATAATAGTCACAGCCACAACAGCAGCTGGGGCTAAACAAAGATTAGGAGCAATAAGGATCAGATGGGACAGACAGGAGATCTGGTCCTACCAAGGGGCATCACCAATGAGCTGGACCCACTGTGCAGCCCACCTGTCAAATGCCATTTGCCACCTCTGGCGGTGATAGCAGGGGCAGCTGGGGCTGAATCCATGAATCCTGAGGTCTCACAGAAGTACAGCCACCCCTGTCATCTAGCCCCTCCCCTCAGAATATGCTCTGGGGAGCTGTCACATCCCACACTGCAGGCTGATGGAAGACACAGACACACTCTTGGGTCCTGGCATTATCGCTGTTTCCTCTGGTTACCTTTAAAGAAGGGCGTCTCTGAGTGCTGGGTCCTCCACTGGAAATAATGTGGGGAAACTGGATGAGCTCTGCAGAGATGAGAATTATTTTGAAGCAAAGTAAGAAATGACCAGGGAACTCTAGATTGGAATACAGCTTGTGAATTCCTAGGTAGGTGTAGACTCAAGAGTTTATAGGAACTTATATTTGCTGTTATTTTTTAAAAGTCTTAAAAGTTAAAATTTACAGCAATAGCAAGAAGGAGGACAAAGTGCAACAGCTTTAACTATGAGCTAATACCAAGGTTAACACTATCTGTCCATTACACGTAGCTTTGGGATTTGGCAAAAAGGAAAAAAAACCACATAACACGGAGCTTTGAGCTCATAAATAGGTCCCAAAGACTTGACAAATAAACTAACAAGGCTTTTATGGTAGAAGGGAGCATCGAAATCTGAGGCCTTCTGTGCCTTCTCTCCCCGCTGCTGTGATGGCAGCTGGCAACTGGGCCCTACTGTCCATTAACAAAACAGAGAGACGGATAACTATCCAGCCGAGGCCAGCTTCCTCACACCAGGCAGATCCACAGTGGACTCTCAGGAATCTTCAGCACCCTTTACACCAGCAGTGGTCAAAGTGGGGGGTGCAGCTGCCTTGGGACTGAGAGATGGGGATGGACACATCTGCAGGGAGGGGTCAGGCTCTAGCCCCTTTCCCCAGGCCACCACTCCTCAGAGGCTGGTCCTCCACCCCAGCTTCAGGGACAGGGGATGCATGGTGGAAACCACTGCAGCTGCTGCATTAGCAACCTTCAAGAGCCAAAGATTCTCTTCTCTCTAGCCAGAGAGGGAAGGCAAACAGGTTAGGGTGACCTGCAGCTCAGGGTCGGCCCCAGGCCAGGCCACTGCCTGTACTGACTCCTGGGCCTCTATGCAGTGCACTCCACTTTCTAGGGCAGGCTGCTTGCCAAGGATTCACAGTGGACCTGGCTGCTCCCTGTGGGACTCACTGGATCTGGACCCAGGACCAAGCCTGCTTGCCAGGAGCAGAAGGTCAGGTTGGTTTAAAAAGGTAACCTCTGTCCTTTCCCAGTTCCGTTCCTTTCTCTTCCCCAGCTACCTCCTCCTCTTCTCCAAATCAGCCTTCTCTTGGCTCAGTTTCTGACCTTGGGTATTTTCCCCAAGGAACACATCCGACCATCAGGCACTCAAAGGAGCATGAGCCTAGTCTTTTCCTCAAGCAAATCACCCCGGTACAGTCAGCAGCTGCAGAGCACAGGGAGCTCCTGGCATGCTAAAGGTCATTTACAGATCACTGAAAAATCTGGACAAGATGCTAATGTCCCAGCTCAATGCCCATGTCCTGACTTAAACCTTGACTGTGTCTTAAGGACACTCAACGTCAGGATACCTATGACAGAAAGAGGGACTTCTGAGTATTTCAGGCATAACAGGCAAAACAGACATCTTTAAAGCTTGCAAAATATATGATTCTGTCATTCCTCTGCATCCTCACCACCACCATGATGGAGAGCCAGGGCCAGTCTTTCCAATCATCACTCAAGCTTCCAGTGGCTATTGGGCACTCTCCCTCTTAGAGAGGGGACACTCCAGCAGGAACTCCAGGTAGAGAGCTGTTCTGCAGTGGGCATTTCTAGCTCAGGGCCAGCCTCCGAGACTCTCCAGGAGTGGCATGAAATGAGGTGGATGGGGCTTCCTTGTCCTGGCCATCATGTGCCTACAGCAGGCATTGGCAAGCTTTTTCTATAAAGGGCCAGAAAGGGTTATGGACCATCTTCTTTGATGTTTTTATTTTACAACTCTTTAGAAATGTAAGAATCATCCTTAGTTTGAGGTGCCATATAAAAACAGGCGGCAGGCAAATTTGGCTCACAAGCAGGCTGCAGTTTGCAGACCCCCTCCTAGAGGAAGATGCTGAGGCCTCACCAAGCAGCCCCTCCCCACCTTCCCTCTCTAGCCTGACTCCTCCAGACTCATTCCAGCTGCACGTGGCACCTGTACTAGGCCGCAGGATGGCCTTCTTGCTGCAGGCATTTCAATGAGAAAATATGCTGCATGGATCATGAGTGATTCTGTCTCCCTCGTGCTTAACCTTGGAAGCACAAGGCCCTGCTGGCCTCACCTCAAGGTCTCACCTGCCCATACTCATGCGACCTTGTCCACCATCTCTCCACTACGAGGTGCCATCTGGTAAATGGCCTAACTTGGGTTCTTCCTCCCACGCCTCCTGTGTAGGTTCAGGGCAGGGAGACCAAGGTAAATCCTGTCAGTTCTATCTGAAGGCAGAGCCTGGATCCAATCACTTCCCACCCCTCCAATGCTATCACCTAGAACACAGCCACAGCCTCCCATCTGGACTCCCTGCTTCGATCTCTGCCCTCCCCCCTCCCCTTCCAAAAGCTCCCAGAGGCTTTCCATCTCACTCAAAATAAAAGCCAATGTCTCTGAGCAGTGAAAGCCACCCACCATGGTCATCCAGGTCCTATCACTGACCTGCTGAGCCCCAACTGGCCCGCATGGCCACCTGGCTGGCCTCAGTGCCTCCTCTTTCCCCTAGCTGATACTAACTCCAGCCACACTGGCCTCCTTCCTACCCTGCTTTTCCTCTTAGCCATGAACACCATCAGTAGTTATATAATAGTTTGTGGGGGTTTTTTTTTTTTTGGTCTTGTTTTTCTCACTCAAATATAAGCTCTGTCAAATAGAGTCTGACTTCAGTGTTACACTCCAGGGCCCAGTGTCAGCCTTGGGTAGGTGCTCTACAAATATACAAATATTTGGAGAATGCATGGGGACAGGATGCCCTGCTGATGGGTGAGAGATGGTGGCACTGTCATGACACTGTGTATCAATTTGCACTTGGATACTTTTATGCAAATAAGTCTCTTGCTCTTAAGTCCCCTCCTCCCCCGCCTTAGTAGCCAGATGAACCGATAAGACACTGAAAACAGATACACCCCTGGAGACACTAGTCTCCAATTTTTTGTTTATATTCAACCCTAAAGCAATAACAACAAACTCATATTCCAACTGAACTAGTCAATTATCTCAGGGGAAAACAACAAACGATTGCTTTATGGTTTAGAGCACACCTGTGCGTGGCTCTCCCGCACTCACCACAACCACCCTCCCATGAGCACAGCAAGGAAAGAGAAAGCATGGGCTTGCTCAGCAGAGGTCTGGGTTTCAAATCCTGACACTGCCATCTATAGGTGGTCTGATTCTGGACATGGTACCAAGTACACTAGGCCTTAGCTTTACCATCTGTTAATTGGGGATACTAACACTTATTTCGTAAGACTGTTGTAAGGCTTAAGTGAACAATTAAAACAAAACAGACACCTAAAGCATAATGACTGTGCACATTAATTGCTCAATAAATAGGAATTTCTCCCCTTTTGTAAGTGAGGAAGCAACAGTTCAGAATGTGAAATGATTTGCCTGAGATCAGAAGGCTTGTTCCCAGCAAAGGTGGGGTTCAAAGCAATGGTTTCTGTGGATGTATTTTTTCCCTAGCATCCAGCCTCCTTCCTGTTCATGTCTACACCCTATAGGCTACTTATGTCAGTAGAATAAAACAGGTGATGGCTCTCCCATCGACCTGCTTGTTGAGGATTTTGGGACAGTTCCATTCTAGGCTAATGCTCATTACTAAAGACAATGCTCATTAATAAAGACAACGCTCTTAAGGAGGTCACCCCCTCACACGGAGAAATCTGTGTGTCACAAGCAAGGGATCAAAAAAGCTAAGAGAATTCACCTGCCCTGGATATCAACTGCCCTTAAGAGATGCAAACTAAAGGTGACTGCCTTCCTTTCCCCAAGAGACAAACGGAAACCCCACTCAGTGTGAGAAGAGCACATGCCATGGAGGCCCCAGACCAGTCAGTGCCCAGTGAGGAGATGACAGAGCCTGACGCAGCTACATCTGAGATCAGATGCCAAGGACACAGCAAAGACTGATGAAGCCATACGTGAGACACCAAAGTACGAAACTCACATTCAACTCAAAGGTTTCCATGTTTGATGACTGTTATCTCCCTGCACAGTGTTTTTCTTTAAGGAGCACATGTGTTCTATAATCCTATAAAGTAAATTTTTGAAAAAAACAAAATGAGAAACAAAGGGACACACAGAAACTCTTGCAGGTGACGGATATGTGTATTACCTTGCCTGTGGTGACAGCATCATGGGTGTAAGCATATGTCCCAACTCATTAGACTGTACACATTAAATCTGTACAGTTTTTTAATATCAATTATAACCTCAATAAAGTTGAAAAAATAAAGAAAATTTTTGTAGAACAAAAGCCTTCTCCCATTAGCTTTCATCATGACATTGAAATGTGTTCCTCTTGAAACATATTGGCCCCTGACATTATAAAAATATAAATTATTAAGGAACAAATCTTACAAGTAACACGTTTGGAGGACAAACAATAAAGAGATGGCCTAAACAATGTCTAAACAGATTTGAAACGGAGCAGAATGTGAGTGCGTCTGACTAAAAGAGGAGGCTTTTCTCAAGTGTCAGTCCTGAGACAAGGACCCTGGGACTGCTGACATCCCAAACATAGTGCCCCTATGACTCCAAGAAGGGAAGGTGCTGCAGGGGTGACGGTCCCTCCCCACCCCACCATCCTCATCTGGCTGATCCCTGCTCATGCCTCAGACCTTAGCTGAAATATCACTTCCCCAAAAAAAGCCCCCCAGCACTAGATTGGGTGACTCATTCACTCATTCACTGAGTCATCCATTCAACAAGTGATTACTGACCCCCTAGTATGAGTCACATTCGACTTATCACTCTCTCTTTTCAACGTTGCAATTAAATAATCACACACACAATACTGATTTACTGTCTGTCACCCTCCCTAAACTGTCAGTTCCAAAAGGACAGAGATTGTATCTGATTTGTCATTTCATTCCCAGCGCCTGACACAGTACGTGCAACATGGTAGGCATCCTGTCCATACTGGCCGGGTGAACGTACAAATGAATGAATTAAAGCATTTGAAAGCTCCATTCATATTCTAAAATTCCAAAATGCACCCTGCTGTCTACTTTACACAGGGATAATTGATGTTACAATCAATATGACTTTTAAATTTAACAAACGAAATTGTTTTATTTATTAATCTACTAGTAAGTGAAAACAATAAGATGTAAGACAACAGGAAGAAAGTTACTCTCCCTGAGAGGACAGAACCTGCAGGTGTTATCCTGGGACTGGCAGAAGCAGCATAGGGTCATCGCTGAGGGGAGTGTGGATAGAGTCAGGCTATCTGGGTTAGGGTCTTGACCCCTCCACTGACCAGCTATGTGACTCTGGGCAAGCAACTTAACCTCTCTGTCTTCCAGTTTTCAAATCTGTAAATTGAGAATAAGAATATCAGCTTCAGATAATTTCATTAACAAGTAAATGGATTACGACACGTGAACTGCTTAGAACAGTGCCTGGCACGTGCTAAGTACTCACTAAATGTCAGTTGTTTTTATTTTCTGGAAGAATGGGAACAAGATGGGTTAAAACCAAGGACTTGGACATACTGTCACTAAATTCACAAACCACTCAGACCAAATCTCCAAGATTTCCTATTACAAAATGAAGTAATTCAAAGGCAGGTGGCTGGATGGGTTATCTACTCCAACTTCCAGACTTACTGCTTTACCTATAGAGGTGATGATGCCTTATCCATCTGAAATTAAGGGCCAGGTCAAACAAACCCTCAAGGTTTCTCCAGGACTGGAGTCTGGGATTTGATTTTATACACCCCACAGTGCCCAGCACAATGACGAACATGCATTTAAAGCTTAGAAAATGTTCACTGTGTTAATTTACAATGAATACCATTTAAAGCTAAAAAAAAAAAAACCCCTGCATATTCTAAAGTATATTATCTAGCATATGTGCTAGCCCCAGAAGAATAAAATGCAGAAGTGAACAGGAGTTGCTTCATGGAACTGAAATTAATTATACACAATTATCTCTGAGATCTTTAAACAGTAAGTGAACAATGAAAATGTAGATTCAGAATTCTCCTGGTAATGAATAAGATGATGAACATGTTTCCACAGAGGGTGGGATCAGGTTGATCTGCTGAAATAACCAGATAGCAGGATAATTTCACTATCTACGTGAAACATTATCCAAGAATCTGTGCGTTACTCGACAATTAAATCAGTTCAAATGTCTTATCAATGATTTCATAGAACAACCTTCAATGAGTTAACAGGAACCCGTAGATAAAAGACAAGAATAGGGCTACGTCAAGAAGCTCAAAATCCTCAGCTGCTGATAATGCAAAACCTTGGCCACATTGATGAGCCCAAGACCACCAGATCTCTTTATACTGAGTCATTTTTTAAAGAAAACTTTTATTTTATATGTTAGTTTTCCTTATAAAAATAAGTTGTATTGAGGTATAATTTATATACAGTAAAATGCAACCATTTCAAGTGAACAGTGGGTTTTGACAAATGTATATACCCAAGTAACCACTACCCTAATCAAGATATAAAAACTTCCATAATGCCAGAAAGTTCCCTCATCCTTGATAAAAGAAAAACTTCAGCCGAATTAAATTTAAAGGAGTTTAATTGAGAAATGAATGACTCGCAAATCAGGCAGCCCCCAGAATCACAGCAGGTTCACAAAGACTCCAATGCAGCCATGTGGTGGAAGAAGATTTACAGACAAAAGAAAGGGAAATGACATAGTACAGAAAACGGAAGTGAGGTACAGAGTGGCGGGATTGGTTACAAGTTGGCATTTGCCTTATTTGAACACAGTTTGAACACTTAGCAGTTTATAAATGGTTGAAGTATGGCCACAGGGATTGGCCAAGACCCAGCTATTGTTACAGGCACATACTCCTAAATCTTGTCTACCTATTAAGCTAGGTTGCAATTCATCCACAAGAACTCAAATATAGAAGTACGGAGTCCTTCTCAGGCCATATGCAGTTTGCTTTAACACACTCTTTCTCGGTTAATCCCTGCTCTTATCTCCCTCTATCCCACCCCAAGGCAACCATAGTTTTGACATTCCCCCTATAGATTAGTTTTGCCTATTCTAGGATTTCATGTAAATGGAATTGTACAATATATATATACTTGTTGATATCTGGCTTCTTTCAGTCTAATGCTTTGAAAATCCATGCATGTTTTTGCATGTGTCGGTAGTTTGTTCCTTTTTATTACTGAATAATATCTATTTGGGTGGACTGCAAGTTGCTTATCCATTCCCCAGTTGATGGGTATTTGGGCTGCTTTTAGTCTTGGACTGTTTTGAATAAAGCTCTTATGAACATCCACGTACAAGTCTTCCACCAACATATGTGTTCACTTCTCTTGAGTAAATACCTAGGAGTAAAATCACTGGGTCATATGCTGTGCATGTTTAACTTTCTAGGAAAATGCCAGATTTATCCTGAATAACAGAAATGATCAACTGATTTACTATTAAAGGACTTACTGGATTTTATAAGGAAAAGAGGAAACGAGACGAAAGAAAATGTAGTGCATCTGAAAGCACATGGGGGCTGCTTTGCTGAAGGGGCTGGCAGGCGGCTTCCCAGGCAGGGTCTGCTCAGGACTGCTCTAGCCAGATGCCTCCCCTGGTGTTTACTTCACCCACAGGAAAATGGCCACCTTCACCCCACCTTCAGTGGACGTGCAGCCCCTTCGGTGCTCCTCTCTTCATCTGCCTTCAGAGGTAGTCCTGATTAACCTGTTGCCAGCAGAATTTTCTAGGAGAGACAGGACTTGGGGGTACCACTAGGCCCCGGGGACATGCACTCAGCTGGCCCAGGCACCGATAACCTAGCATGTCCTTTTAGAATTTGGGGGATCCCGGCACCCACTGTTCTCAGCTTTGGGCCTCAGCTAAGGCCAGGACAAGCATCATTTAATGTCATGTCATATAATTAGTATGGAAACTACAAAAACCTATATGTTTACAAAACAACCACTGATCTACATTATTTCAGAGGTAATGATACTTTTACATGAGATAACTTCCCAAGACACTAAGCTGAAATTAGATAAATTTAGGTTTTCTGTATTCTCGCTGACTTGTGTTTTTCACACTGGCTTTATCTTGGTTTCTGAGGGAGAATCAATTCTCTTTAACTCTCTTCCAGAATACCTCACTACCTTCAGAAAGGAAGAAGGAGGGAAAAAAGGACAGAGGGAAGGAGGAGGATTAGAATTCCTCATATCAGAGAATCCCAGAGCTTTGAAGCTTTAAAGTGAATTCAAGAGTGGGATTCAAGAGACCAAACCATGGGGTCTAGGGGAAATAAGGAACCCCTCTCCCAGAAGGTGGAGAAGCTTCTCAAAGCAACTGGCCCAGGCAGCCTTGTACTTGCTTCATTCTGGGGTCAGGAAGAAGCTGCAGGCCCTCCTTCCCACCCTCGCTTCCCTTCTCCTCCACACTGTCAACTCTGCTCCAGGAAGGGGCAGTATCCCCAGTGTCTGCTGGGCCAGCACAGCCATCTCTCACCCACCTGAGTTCATAATGACTCCTGTGTAGAGCAGACTTCCCTTGGCTTCACTGAAACCATTCCTTCTTGTCTTAGAAAGCAATCAGAAATATAGTTAACTGCCTTAAAGTTCCCTTATCATTGAAATGAACTAGATCACAGAAGTGCCTATTTGCATTTTTTATTCTTATTCACTGGGTTTTTAAAAGGAGCCAAGAGAGGGGAGAGGAAATGCATTTACTTGCTGGGATTTCACTTGGGATGTTCATGTTCGTCTGGAAAGCAAAATAAAGGCATGAAGATTGCCCACTGATTTCCTTTCATTTGGAGAATTCTGCTTGAGTTAGGCTTAGCTGGCTAGCACATAAACCTGTCAAGAGAAAAGTCTTCCTCTTCCTGGGCCTGGTATGTCTACCACCTGGGGCTTCAGAGACAGTATTCTAGGAGATTCACAGTGTCTAAGGTTCGAAATGTGGACTTCAGCAGCAGGGCAGCTGCCAAACGCTTTCCTGCCCTTGCAGAAAGCCACCACCAAACTCACCACCACCTCCCTCACCGTGGCCTCTCTGTTTCAGTATCTGAGCAGCGGGTGAGGAGGACTGGATTCTAGAAGATAAAGAGAGACTCCACGGTACAGAAAGTAAGCCCTCAATAGGATTCTATTAGAAAACAGCTGGAAGGAACTGTGGAGTCACTCAGTCCCATGGCTGATTTTACAGACAATAAGCAAACAAACAAACAGAGGCCCTGAGGGATTTAGTTAGCGGTCTCCAAGTGCCAGTCCCTGAGGAAAGGATTCTCCTCCCCAGCTACCTTTCCCTTCTCCAGTGTGTCCACCTCAGGAAAAGGGCTTGCATCCTCCCAGCTGCTCACACACAACTTGGGCTGGCCTTGGTGCTGGCTCTGTCCTTTCTCCCACCAGATCTGCCTTCCGCCCTCGCCACTTGTCTCTGCCCAGGGCTCACTTGGAAGGACCACATCAATGAACAACCTTGGCAGGTCACAGGGAGGGATGGAGCGGGGGAGAGAACAGCAAATAGGCTTCTGCCCTGCAAGAGAGGGAGAGCCAGAATACCAGCCTGGCTTGGGCTGCTCCCGAAGGTCCTGGCTGCTGCCTGCAATGCAGCGCCTTCCTTCAGGGCTCCAGCACCATCCCCTGTCCTCAGCCTTTAAGGCTCTACTGCTCTCAGCCCCAGCCCTGCCCTTGAGGCTCCCCTGTACCCTGTCTTTGTAGATGGTGCCTGGGAACTGTCCCGCTTGGAGAGTGCTGTTTGCTAGGATACACACTGACTCCCATGGCTCCCCTCCAGCTCCCCATCCATCCTGCTCCTGGCCACGGCCTCTGGCCTGAAGGGCTGCAAAACAGCCTTCCAACTGGGTTCCTGGCTTCCCTTCTGGCCCCTCTTCATCTGCTGTCCCCAGCAGCATACAGAGCTATCCCATGAAATATAAGTCAGACCATGTCATGCCCTGGCTTAAAACCTCTCAATGGTTTCCTCTGGCATCTCCAGTAAAAATCAGAACTCCTTGCTGACTTTTGAGAGCTGCTCTAGACAGGGCTGCTCTCTGCAGCCTCCTCTTGTGCCCCGAGCTTCAGGACACTCCAGCAGCTGTGGGGCCTCCTTTCCCTTACTCATGACCCCAGGCTCTGCCCTGTCTCTGGGCCTCACACATGCTGTCCCTGTGCCTGGCAGGTGCCCCGTCACTGGTACAGGCTGTCCCCACCCCTCTAGGAGAGCCTTGCCTTAGCAGGGTACATGCCCTGCACCTTCTTCTCTCCACGAATTTTTATTCTCTATCCCTGGACTGTGCTCATTTCTTTCCAAACACCTAACAAATTTGTAATTATGTGATTTTTTGTTTACTTTTTAAATGACTCTCTCCCCCACCGGGATGCAAGTTCCACATGGGTACGAACTAGGTCTGTCTTGTTCTCCACCTGACATACAACAGCTACTCTAGTCACATCTACAAAACAGCAACTGGGTTTGGGTTCCTATAAAGTGGACAACTCTCCTTTCTGGGGAAGGATTGCTTCATAATCTGAGATTATGTTCCTTCTACTTTGTTGGGGAGAGTGTTAAGTTTTTTTTTTTTTTCTTTTATGAAAGGATAGTAAGAATAAGGGGTATTCATCAAAAATTTTTAAATGATAACCTGATATAATTCTCCAAAATGTTTTTAAAATTTTTGAGTCTATGATATCCCAGATTAAGCAATGTTTTGGGAGTCACAGTGTTGGGTCCTAGAGAGGCAAAGAGATAGGTGAAGATAGTGACAGAGAAGAGACCGGCTTTGCAGTCAGACTGCAGGGCCTGGGTTCAAGTCCCAACTCTGCTGCTTGGTAGCTGTCAAACTCTGAGCGAGTTGCTTAAACTCTCTGTGCCTTAGTTTCCTCATCTGTAAAATAAAGATAATAATAGAACCTGTTTCAGAGGACTTTATAAGAATTAAGTGAATTAATACTTGTAAAGTTAATAAAACAGTGCCTGGCCTATAGACAATGCTTGACAAACATTACTGCTATCATTATTATCTATTATTATTATTATTGCTATTGTTATTATTACTAAACCCAGGTCTCCTAAATCCCCAACCAGGACTCTTTTCCCTTTAAAATGTTATCTCCCAGCATTGTCTCTTTAAATGTTATCTGGCCACTCTTAAATGTAAGACTGAAATTCAGCACTTGGAAAACTATCCCACTCCAGCCAAGCACATTTTTTGAATAGCTAAACACTAACCCTGATAAAATGTATCCATTTAGGATAGAAATGTTTCTACAATATGTTACATCTTGTCTACTTTCTAACTGGGTTTTTTGAGATGAGTATCATTACAGAAATTATCTGCTGTGCAGCCTGGAAACAGCAAAAGGAAAACTCAGCACGTTCTACAGACGTGGGTTCAAAGCCCTGCTCTGTCCTCCCTCCAAGCCCTAAACCCCTCCTGAGTTTCAGTTTCCTTACTGAAGAAGTGGGAAGGCCATGTGCATTGAGAGGTTACTGTGGTTTTGAGTCCAGTGAATACACACACTGCTAAATCCTAAAACTCTTCTTTCTTTTTTGGTTAATAATATTAAACTCATCCAGGAGAATACCTTAATTTAAGACTCCAGGCAGAATTCTCCTTTCCCCAAGCTCTGCCAACACCCAAACCCCTCCCCAGAAGACAGCCTGGTTCACACAACAGAGGAACAGACCCCTCACGACTCTGCAGGGGGAATTCCTTTCTGGGAGAGAACACATGTCCAATAGGGCCAGTCCCCACTCAGGCTGCTGCTGTCACTCAGCCAGAAGGCAGGACAGGCTTTTGAAGCTGTGATATTTCTGAGTTTG
This sequence comes from Homo sapiens, assembly GCF_000001405.40. NCBI lineage: Eukaryota > Metazoa > Chordata > Mammalia > Primates > Hominidae > Homo > Homo sapiens. The sequence goes on from NC_000001.11 coordinate 41,877,370, forward strand.
GTTTTGGACAAAAACACCATTCTTCCTCATAGCCTTTCACACCCTGATTCAAGCAATTTTAACTGAATTCTATTTCCCTTCAATAGAAGGCTATTTGAAGATACAAAAACCATATTTGTGAATGAATTCTAGGATTGTATTTGCAGAGTCACTCCTGTTGGATTTCGTGCTCTATACCAAGTGTATTTCTACCTCTGGGCCTCAGAACCATTTCTCACACCCCCCAACAATATCTCATGCCCTCATATCCCAAATATGCAATTACCTATCAGTTGTGAAAGGTAAAAATAAAATTCATATGGGTTTCATAGGTCAATGGTTCATGTTAAAGGAGACCCATATTAAATAATATTATTAAGTAGATATTTATAAGGCTAAGAATAAAAGGTGGGGAAATGGGTGGGATTCATCTTATCTTTCTAATGTTCATTACCTAGAACCTGGAAACCAAATCAATGAATTTTCTGACTACAGACTCAACAAATATCATTTGTTTTTAATGATAATCAGATAATTTAAATCAGATAATCTAAATCAGGTAATTTAGAAATATCTGATTTCTAAACTAGTCCTGGACTACACTTACAAAGAAACAGCACTGCTATAGAGAAAGGATGAAGACATAAATTGGAGACAGGAAACAGGACCAGATTCAGAACACTATTCCTGCATATGAGATTTAAAGAAATATACATACATAATTTTACAACTCCTACAAAGCCTAATTTTATTTGTAAAATATACCAGGGTATCTTAGCAAGTTTCTTTGGAACCACGCAACTAAGAGTGCTTTTTAATTAATTGCACATCTAGCAATCCACAAATACGAATTAAGCACCATGAGTTGGCACTGAGGAGAATTTAGGTCTGTTCTCCCACAGAGCAAGCAATTTGCGAAACTTTGCTCTAAAACACATAAAAACCCTGGCCTTAGCTACCAATTTTAAGGATGTTCTATTCTGCAAGGGTTCATCTTCATTCTCTCCAAAAGGATATGAGGGTCCTGCTGTATTTCAATGGAACCAGACCCCCAAGGCTCAGAAATCAATCATTTCACAAGAAAAAAAGGGTAAGATTATATCTAAACATTTCATTAGCATAAATCTGAATGTGTGATATTTGGTCATTTTGTCTTAGTTTACAACCACCTTTGCAAGTGATAAAATATAGATTGATGGTGGGGAGAGGGTAGGAGAAGAAAACACCACACTCACATCACGGGATCTAAATTCCACCAGCAGGGGTGGGAGCTGAACTGGCCTAACCTGAATGTATGTACAAAAGAATTCCTTCCTTCCTCTCTCCCTCCCTTCCCTCCTCCCTCCTCCTCCCTCTCTTTCTAACTCCCTCCCTTCCTTCCTCTCCTTCCCCCCTCCCTCCCTCTCTTCCTCCCTCCTCCTCCCTCTCTTCCTAACTCCCTACCTTTCTTCCTCCCCTTCCCTCTCTTCTTCCCTCCCTTCCTTCCTCCCCATCTCCTGCCCTCTCTTCTTCCCTCCCTCCCTCCCTCCCCTCCTTCCTTTTTTTTCCTACCTTTCCTTTCCATCAACAAGCCCAGGTGATGGCAGGGATACCGCATACTCCACTTGTCTCTTCCACGGCTGGGGATGGCTCTATCAGCACTTGCCCCATTTTTAGGTTTTACTTCCCAGGTCATCCCAGATTTATAATCCATGCATAATGCAGGCACCTAAGCACTTCTGGGCCCCTACTAGAAATCCAGAGGCGAACAAGGCCCAGTGCCTGCCTGTTCTCAAGTCTCCATGCAATGGGCACCCTAGCGGAAAGAACACACTCTGAGATTAATCTGGCATTGCAGGGGACTTGCAGGACCTGTTCCAGGTGCCTGACATTATCTATCTAGAAGAGGTCTCCCTTTCAGCACAGTTATTGCCTACATGAAGGTGGCCTCTCTCAACTGCACAGGATGTGCCATTCGCCAAGGAATACTAGGCATCCCTCCATCGTCCAGACAGATCTCAAGTGAGATGCTCAATCCCTATAAGGGTTGGTTTCCCCTCAGTGGATTACAACACTCAGATCCCAACTTTCCACTGCACAGGATACCTTGCAGCCATTTGGTTTTGAATGACCTTCTCTTCCCCTCTTCCTGAAAATATAAGTTTCCTTATTGAAGCCAATTAAAGCCAATTCTGCTTTAACATATTCTGGAGCACTTCACAGCATGCTTTAAATTAAGCAGGAACACCCTGGTCTAGTGGTACTGCCTCCAAGGCAGTCCTCCCTTCATCTCCCTGCCTCCAGCCAATACCCTGCTTCTCTGTCTCCTCAGTCCACCTCTGCCTGCTCTGTCCCTGGTTTCCTCCACCTAGAAAAGTGCATCCAACTGATTTTAAGTACCTCTGACTTAGGGGTACCACACTGTGAAACCTCTGCTTCTATTTCCTCTTCTATACCTTGCATTGCAAGAAAATCTAGGCTTTTTATTCATTTTTTAGAAAAATTAGGGAAGTCACAGCCTAGGTAGTTACTAGAAGAAACAGGCAAGGCCAAGAAAAATAGCCAACTCACATAGAGCTCTTCTTAGGTGCCTAGCATGGTCTTAAGTGCTTTATAGATACTGACCATTAAACCTCACCACAGTCCTATGATGTAGATATTATTAGTGTGCCCATTTTACAGATCATGAGCATGAAGCCCAAAGAGGCTAATTAGCTTGCCTGGGATCATCCTCTCTTTTTTCTTTTTTCTGAGATGGGTCTCACTCTGTTGCTCAAGCTGGAGTGTAGTGGCGTGATCATAGCCCACTGTAGCCTTCACCTCTCAGTCTCAAGCGATCCTCCTACCTCAGCCTCTTGAGTAGCTGGGACCATAGGCATGCCACCATGCCCAAGTAGAGATGGGGGTCTCCCTATGTTGCCCAGGCTGGTCCCGAACTCCTAGGCTCAAGCAATGCCCCCACCTCAGCCTCCCGAAGTGCTGGGAGATTACAGGAGTGAGCCACCATGCCTGGCCCATCCTCTTAATAAATGGTAGGGCTGAGATTTGAACCTAGGGGCCTGACTCAGGAGTGAGTACTGCTTACCAGGAAGGGAATGTGGTCAGCATGACAACAAAGGCATCTCTGTCCTCCTTAAATGCAGCACCAACTCTGTAAACACACAGCAGGAGCTCTAGATACACCACGTTTGTACACATTTACTGAGTCTACATTTCCATGTCACCTTCAGGAAGAGTGGATTGGCTTGGGTGAGGAGAAGGAAGAAGAGCGGAGACTTCCGCCCTTGAGAGATTCTATTTTAATTTTTAAGAAAACACTGAACAGACCAAGCCCTGGATTTCAAGATCAGTTTTCGAGGTCTCCAGACATGAGGCAGTCATCTGAAAAGGAAGACATGACAGAGGAGTCTGACCTCTGTGTGGCCTCCTTGCTCTCCCTGCACTGCCTTCAGATCTCCCAGTGAATAGGAAAGGAGGGGAGACCTGCATCTGTGGGGCGAGCATCCCCTAATCCTGATAGGCTTCAAAAGGTTGCGAAAGGGGCCACATTCTCTAGTACTAAGACAATGGCATTAAATCTAAATTTCTTGATAACCAAACTAAGGCATAAAGGCCAGTTAACTATGTCTAGTTCTAATATAACACTCTGGAACATGCCCTGTGTTATCTTAGCCTAGCTTCCTAGAAATACTGAATCGCAATATTCCACAATGCAAGTTCCTCCCACTAAAGGCCTCTTTGGAGAAAGGAGTTGGCTGTGACAAAGGCTGTAGTATATAGAGGATGATCGTTATGGTGGTGATGACAACAGTGCTGATAGATTAGACAATAGCAACAATGACCATGAGGGCAACGAAGACCATGAGTTGTGCAACATCTAATACAGGTCAGGGGTGAATACTTTTGTGCTGACTGCTTTTCAAGCATTATTATGTTATATCTTCACAACAATGATGAGAGGTGGGTATCAGCACAATGCCCCCTTTGAAGATGAGGAGGAGTTAGATGAGAAAGGCCAAGTCTCTGGGGCAAGTTGCCATAATTTGGGTCATAACATGAACCCAGGCCAATCTGACTCCAAAATTTCACATTCTTATCCACTGCTCATCTCTCTCTTCCTATTAGAAAACCTTATTATAGAAAGTTCTAAAAACGATATGCTGATTAGTCAAATTTTCTGGTAAATACATAGTAATCAGTTCCAAATACTCAATTGAAAAAAATTGCCAAAATGTTCATGGTCCCCAGTCCTGCCTTAGTAAATATAGCACACTAAATATAAATCTAGTTCTACTTTATTAATAGACACATGATGGACTATCTCCCAGCTATTTGCCAGAACAATCTGTTCTTATTGTAGAGTATTTCAGATGTAGGTACAGCATTGAGAAGGACCATACACTCAGCCCAGGGCATGCTCTGAAACTACGGTATTAAACATTAAAATCTTTTTAAAAATGTGTTTTATTATTTGCCTTTTTCTTACAAAACTTCAGTCCAAATTATTTGGGTTGATAAGTAGAAGTTTCACTGTAGTAAACTGTACCAATGGCTGCCTGTGGTATGTCCAGAGTGTAAGAGAGTTGATGAGAAACAACAAAAGAAACAAACAAAAACTTGAAAATATAACAAAACTTGGCATAAAAATTAAAATGACCAGCCCCCTGATCCTAAGGAAAGTCCATTTTCTCATAGGGGCAGTCAGTATATTTTTATCTTGTGGCTTAATGTTTTTGTAGACACATTAAATCATAAAAATCCAAGAAACCATATCTCACTCCCAAACCACACAATGTATTTTAAGGAATATGTCCCTTTTCTAAGAAACTGCTTGATTTTCAGGAAGTGGTAAAGTGGCAGGTGTGTTCCCATGATCAGCCAGAGAAACCAAATAAACGTTCCACTGGGCAAACCTGTTTCTCACAGATAAACAGCTGCGAGCTGCACGCGGGAGGGAAAAGGATCGTAAAGACTGCCCCTATGTCTGCCTGACACTTTCTGGTTTTCTGTTTCAATTGAAAAGGAAGATGGCAGCCTACAACTGAGCAGACCCTACTGTGGCCAGGCCAATCCCAGCCCCTGCATGGGACAGGAGTTTCAAAATCCCAGCACTAGACAGAAGGCTGTGGTCATCTCTCCTCTAGGTAGACCTGGGAAGGGATAATTAAACTAGGAGTTGCAGGAGAAGCAGATTTCCCATGAAAAAGACATCATCACACAATTAATAGCTAGGCTTGATAGGAAGGGGAAGGAATGTCCCTTTTTACTTACTTCCAAGGCAGCCTCCACCTTGCTTCTCATACCACCCATCACATTGGAAACAATCACCAGTCTGTATCCTCAGCAGACTGTGAGCTCCTGGAAGTCCCCTGGGCACATAACAAGCACTCAATCAATGAGAATTATTGTTATTACAGTGTGTGTTCAAGAAATATCTGTTGAGTGAGTGGAACAGAGGAAGGAATGAAATAACTTGACTTTCCATTTGGAAAGTGTCTTGCTAAATCCTTGCTGTTAGAGTTCAGGAGTTGGGATAGGATTTCCTATACTGCCACTTTGGTTTGTCATGTTGTAAGCAGGGTTAAAGGCAAATTTTTAAAAATATGAGACAGGGCTGAACTGGCTTTCTGTCTAGAAATTCTAGATTAAAATAAGGGTCTGTCTAGGAGCGGGGAGCCAGCTGGCTATTTAGGAGGCTTGGAGGTTAAAGCGAAGTCTAAATGGAGTAAGAGACACTATTCCAAGGGGTCCCCTGGTCACACAGAAAATACAGGGGCAGCATTCAGACTACCCAGGAGTCTGCAGGACTTGGTATGAAAGAGCAAAAAGAAAAAAATATATAGACAACCTAGGAGGTCTGAGGACTCACAGACACTGACTGGCTGGGGTGGGACTGGCAGGAGCTGCTGGGAAGGCTGGGGCAGCTTCTCAGTGGTCCTGGCAGTAAATACTATCCAGGAAAAGTGTGCCTTGCAGTGAGAGAGCTGCTGGGAAAACGGCCTGGACAATCAGACTGCAGTGCTGTGAGCTAGATTGCCCTTCCCCTAGCCAAGAGGTGTCTCCCACCACCCTTCCCCTAAGCAGCATAAGAGTGAAACGGGGTGGACAGCTAATGCCCACTGACCTCCTGCTATGGACCACAGGCACTCTCCTGCGAAATGCTTGTGAGGTTGGTGACATCAACATTACACTAATGACAAAACTGAGCCTGAGAACTGCAACTCACCTGCAATGGTACACCTGACAGCAGAACCAGAACTTTCACTGAAGGCTTACCTCTCCAGGGCCAAAAGAGAACCTGTGACCCCACAGGATCGAGCCTGCCCCCTCAATGCCTGTCAGAGGCAGCCTGGTGGGTGCAGAATGTGATAGCAAGTTGCTGTTGGCACGGCCTGCTCTTCTGACAGCTCTGCAGGTTATTTCTCACAACTTTGCTGCCAGCTTCTCCCTGCCTGTCGCTGACCCCTGTCCCAGAGCCACCTCCATCTGGAAACACCCACCCCCCAACTCTAAAGTTGTAACCATACATACTTAAGCTAGAAAATTTAAAAGGACAAAGCAGAAAGGAATTAAGAAAAAAATGGAGTAACCTATTATTTTACAGAGAAATAATTTTAACATTTTGGATTAATTCCTTCACATACTTTTCTTTTGAGATGGAGTCTCACTCTGTCACCCAGGCTAGAGCAGTGCAGTGGCGAAATCTTGGCTCACTGCAACCTCTGTCTCCTGGGTTCAGGTGATTCTCGTGCCTCAGCCTCCCTGGTAGCTGGGATTACAGGAGCACACCACCATGCCTGGCTAACTTTTGTATTTTTAGTAGAGATGGGGTTTCATCACGTTGGCCAGGCTGGTCTCGAACACCTGGTCTCAAGTGATCCACCCACCTTGACCTCCCAAAGTCTTGAGATTACAGGTGTGAGCCACCACGTCATGAGCCCCCTCCAGTAATTTTCTATGCATTTAGATGCAGATACTGTTTGCCTGTCTTTAAAATGGTGTTGCACCAGACTAACTGTTTAGAGGTCCACTTCCCTGCTCAGCTGAGCACTGACACATGCAACCTGCCACCTGGGAGGATGGGCAGGCATTCCCGAAATGCCATCATGGCTGCTGCTAACCATCCCGGGATTGCAGGCAAGTGCGGCTGATGCAGAAGGACGTTGGGGAATGCGGACATCAGGGGTTTGCAAACTTGTGTTTCTCCCTCCACTGCCCATCCTGCCAGCCTCAGAAGGTTAGCCATGGAGGGTGGGCCAATCCCAACATACTCAAAAATTTAAAATCCTGAAGGGTTAGCATTGGAAGGGATTTTAGAGGCTATCCAGCCCAATCCCCTCACTTGCAAATGAGGAAAGCAGAGCTGAGAGAGATTTAGCTTGTGCTGGGTTCTAACAGTGGCTCCTTGCCAACCTCAGGCTCCTCCTGGTCTACCGTCTGTGCCTGGACTCTGCTCCAGCACCCCCACCCACCCACCCACCTGCCCCACTTGGCAGAGGGCAGCAGCCAGAGAAGGCAGGCCCAGGTGGGGGACAAGAGTCTCAGGACTCACCTTTCAAATTTAAAGAATCTCTCGTTACCATCACCATAACTCTTAGCCCAACCATTCCTCTTCAGATCCAAGGATATCTAAGTCTGACTGTGGAATTTTGTTGCGGAGGATTGGATACAGCTGTCAAATTCCAAAGGCATCCAGTACCCATGCTCTCCACAGAGCAGTCCCTTATTATACAAGCTCTGCACCAGCTGAGAACCATGTTCCAGTCTCATATTGCTCAGAATCTCCTCTGAGCTTCACATAACTCAGGCACAATCTCCCTGAATCATATGGCATAGGAAAGTCATGAGCAGTAAGACTTGGTTCAAGAAAAAATACCAAGTTCTGACCACTCAAAGTACCCTTAGGTGCTCTCATTCATGTGAGCTTTCCGTTTCCTGCTCTCCAGCCCCATTTCTTATTTGGGTTAGGGATCCCCTAGGGCTGCTCAGTGGTAGGGGGCCACTGAATTCAAAGCAGGCCACTGTACTCGAAGTAGATGGCTAGGAAAAAAAAAAGGGCCAGTCACAGTGGTTCATGCCTATAATCCCAGCACTTTGGGAGGCTGAGGCAGGCAGATCACTTGAGGTCAGGAGTTTGAGACCAGCCTGGCCAACATGGGGAAACCCTGTCTGTACTAAAAATATAAAAATTAACTGGGCATGGTGGTGCATGCCTGTAGTTCCAGCTACGCGGAGGCTGAGGCATGAGAATCACTTGAACCCAAGAGGCAGGGGGTGCAGTGAGCTGAGATCACCTCTGCACTCCAGCCTGAGTGACAGAGTGAGACTCCGTCAAAAAATAAAATAAAATCCTTCCTTCCTTCCTCCTTCCCTTCCTCCTTCCCTTCCTCCTTCCCTTCCCCCTCCTCTTCCCCTTTCCCTTCCCCCTTCCCTTCCATTCCCTTCCTTTCCTTTCATTCCCTCCCTCCCTCCCTTCTTCCCTCCTTCCTTCCTATTTCTGAGCACTTCTTTCCCAGGCACAAGGTAAACGAGCTTTCAAATATAGCACACTGAATACCCATGATAATTCTATAAAATGGATCCTATTCTTCCCATTTTAAAGATGAAGACCCCAAGGCTCAGAGCAGTGAGGTGCAGATTTACTGTGATGCTAAGGAAGAAAGTTTCAGGGCCCTGCCAGCATGGACCCCTTTCAAGGCCCTAGCAATATATTCTTAGAATCATGTAATTTTTAAATGAAATTTGCAGTAGTAAGATATTTTAACTGCAATTGATGAAGAGCACTGTATCTTTCAACTCTGATGTCTCCTCCTGATACATTTCCCCTCATGTTCATATTGAATGGTGTTACAGTAGCTATAGGTGTTTTGGGATCCAGCATAAGGGAAAGTTAATTTGGGGATAAATTTAGTTTGGGTGTAGTGGGATTTATGTCTATTGTTCACAGTCACGTTAATGCAAAGTCAAGTGATTGTTAGCTGTCCCCATGGCTTCCAGTGCTAAGCTTTCCACAACTCAATGGCTTTGAGACTCAAAGGTGCAATACCTGGCACCTGAGACATAAAAATAGGGGAGAAAAAATAGGATTGAAATATACAGAGCGGTCCGGGTGCGGTGGCTCACACCTGTCATCCCAGCATTTTGTGACACCGAGGCAGGCGGATCCTCTGAGGTCGGGAGTTCAAGACCAGCCTGACCAACATGGAGAAACCCTGTCTCTACTAAAAATACAACATTAGTTGGGTGTGGTGGCACATGCCTGTAATCCTAGCTACTCGAGAGGCTGAAGCAGGAGAATTGCTTGAACCTGGGAGGCGGAGGTTGTGGTGAGCTGAGATCGCGCCATTGCACTCCAGCCTGGGCAACAAGAGTGAAACTCCATTTCAAAAAAAAAAAAAAAAAAAAAAAAAAGAAGGAAAAGAAAAGAAAAAAGAACTATACAGAGCCAGAAGCTAGAGCATAGAACTTTCTTCCAGTCTTTGGACATGTGGAATTGAAGGAAAATTTAGTTTTCACTGATGCCTATTCGAAAAAGAAAGTTTTCTCCTATCAGAAATGTATTTGATAATATAATGAATACAGTTATAAATATACCAGACATTTTCCCCCTTTTTGGTGGGAATTACACAAAATATATTTTATCAAAATTCCTGTATTGTAGGACCCAAACCTATGGCAGTAAAACAAAAAAAAGTGGATGTCTGTGTCTGAAGCCATGTTTTATGCAATGTAACTATCAATAATAAAAAATAAATATTGTCAGTCATGCTAGAAGAAAAGCTAAATTTTCTTTGCAACCTCCCTTTAGAAAAATTACAAAATCACTATCATATGAAGAGGTGATCAAAGTGTATTCAGCCAAAATATATTCAGGGAAAAAAGTATTATGGAGGTTTCACAGGCAAATAATAAAAATATTTTGTTATTTTTCTGGATTTTATAAAGTTTGTGATACATGTCAGGTTTTAAAAACGTATATTGAATGTGATTTATTTTCTTATTCTAAATAAATATTCACCATGGTACCTAATTTTGTATTTGTAATTTTATATTCTTTTTCTTAAAGAGGTCCCCCAGTTGCTTAAACTTCAAGCCCTACAAAATCTCAACCCATCCCTGGAGGTGAAATAACTTTCCCAGCCAGGAAGTGGCAGACCCAGGACTAGAGAACTTGGTCCCTGACTTTGGGATCCCCTGAACTTCACACATTTGTGCCCAGTCATCCATAGGGCAGCCTGGGCTACAAGGGTCAGGGTGCTAGTGGAGAAGGTCAAAGGATGATGAATTTGTAAACTGGATACCATCACTGCAGCCAGCACATGTGGCTTCTACCTCACCTGAGCAGACAGCAAGAGGTTTTCTGAAGACCTGAGTATGCAACTGACAAATCCCGACTCTGTTAAAACCAAGTGCCCAGATTAAAGATAAATAGCCCCAAATCCCCAAACAATATAATTGAATCTGGTTTGATTCTTCTGGGTGTCACATTCCCTAAACTTGCACTGTCCAAAATGGTGGTCCTGGCCACATGCGGCTATTTAAATTAATAAAAATGAAATGAAATAAAAAATCCAGTCCTTCAGTTGCAGTAACCACGTTTTAAATACTTAATAGCCACATGTGGCCAGTGGTTTCTGAGTCAGACAGTGGAGATATAGAATGCTCCCATCACACCCCCACCCCAGGCTCTACTGTTAAGCCCAGCTGAACTTTTTTTTTTTTTTTTTTTTGAGACTGAGTCTCTGTCGCCCAGGCTGGAGTGCAGTGGCGTGATCTCAGCTCACTGCAAGCTCCGCCTCCTGGGTTCACGCCATTCTCCTGCCTCAGCCTCTCAAGTAGCTGGGACTACAGGCACCCACCACCACGCCCGGCTAATTTTTTTTTTTTTTTTTTTTTTTGTATTTTTAGTAGAGATGGGGTTTCAACATGTTAGCCAGGATGGTCTCAATCTCCTGACTTCGTAATCTGCCCACCTTGGCCTCCCAAAGTGCTCGGATTACAGGCATGAGCCACCACGCCCGGCCTAGCCCAGCTGATTTTAAACAGTCTTTACTAAGACATATCTAAGCCCTTCTTCTCAAGAAGAGTGTTTGCAGGTGAGTGTGGCCGATATGTGAGGAGAGAGGAGAAGGAGGAGAAAGGAAGGCCTATCCAGAGAGAAGAGAGGGACAGCCCAGCTGAGAAGGGGCCAAAGAGGGGGAAAAAGGAAATAGAACCTAAAGTGACTGAGGTGTTAGGCCTTGTAGAGAATAAGGGCATCATCAGATGTGAGCCAAGGAAATGATTCAGATCACACCTGACAGAATAAGGAGGATAAATTAGCTCCAGAATCAGTTATCACATACCTCATGTACCCCCCAACATACACACCATATACCTCACACCCCCCACACACATACCACACACACACATGCCCCCCACACCACATACCTCACACATGCGCACCCCCACATACCTCATACACATACCAAACACACACACACCACATACCTCACACATATACCACACACACATGCCCCCATACCACATACCTCACACACACACCACATACCTCACACACATACCCCACACACGTACACCATATACCTCACACACCACATGCCACATACACACACAAAGACCACACATGCCACACACACACACAAAGACCACACATGCCACACACACACCACATACCACATACACACACCACATACCTCACACGCTACACACACACACACACACCACACAACACATACACCACACACACCACACATACGCCACATACCTCACACACCAAACACACACAAGCACCACACACACACCCCCCACATACCTCACACATCACACACACCTCCATATACCTCACAAACACACATATCTCACACACACACACACCACATACACCACACACCCCACACCTCACACAGTCCCACCCCACATCCCCTGCTACACACAAACTCACACACTTTAAAGTGTGCTTTGCATTCCAAGTCTTTGCTGGGAAACCTTAGTTGCAGCTTTACGTGGCTGGAATATCAAAAGGCAGGAGTTGTGGAGTCACTGACAATAACATCATCCACCTTCTCAATGTCCCCGACACTGCCACCTCATTACCCAAAAGCCACTGCCATTCCAGACCTACGCAGAGTCTGAAGGGCAGCACCCCCTTCTCCTTGGGACTGGAGGGACACCTTGCCTCAACTCTCCTGCAGGGCCTGAGGTTAAACTCTCCTGTATTCCACCATCAAAGGACAGCATGGGGGACTCTAGCCCTTTTAATGGGCTGCCAAGAGCAAAAATTCACGCATTCTAGAGTATGAAAGCCCGGCAGGGTGGGCCTTCATTTCCCATATGTTAGTGTGTATCGATGGAGAGGGTAGGGAGCCCTGTGGGGAATGAGGGCACCCATTGTCCCCTGCAGAGCAGTTGTGGATGGAGCTCCTGTAGGAATAACGGACTCTGATTACCACGGTGACACTCCCAAGGTGATGGCTCTGGATAGGGTTTGCAGTCTCCTTTATACTCATCACTCCCATCTAATCCTCACAAGAACCCTGCTCCCCACTTAATGAACAAAGAAGCAGGCCTAGAAAGGCAAGTGGCTTGCCCGGAATTAACAATAATAGTTTAACCATAATAACATTGCCCCATCTGCTCACCATCCAATGAACAACTCAAGTGACAGCACAGTGGTTAAGAGAACAGATTCTGAAACAGATGTACCTGGTTCAAATCCTGGCTCGGCCAATGACTAGCTTTGTGCCACTGGGCATGTGATTCAATTACCCTGTGCCTCAGTTTCCTTGTCTGTAAAATGGGGATGATGATAGTCCCTACCTCATGGGTTGCTGTGTGGTTTAAATAAATTTTCACATGTAAATTACTTAGAACCAAGCCTGGAATGCTCAGTCAGCACTCCTTAAGTGCTGGCTGCTTTGGTGCAGGCTCTGAGCACAGAGACAACCAAACATAGCACCTGCCTCCAAGGTACTTACAGCCTAAAGGGAGAAACAGAAAAGTGAACAAGAGCTAGGGTAGAAAAGATGCTCGGGGCACAAATGAGGGACCTGGAATCCAGGAAGGGCCTGATTCCTGGGCCAAGTGACAACTGGGTTGAGTTCTGAAGAGCCACAGTACAGGCACTGTGACAGCCCTTATTTATGTTTTCCAGCTTTTATTGTAGATTCATGTGCAGGTTTGTTACCTGGGATTATTGTGTGATGCTGAGGTTTGGGAGATGAATGATCCATGGCCCTTTTTATATAGTTTGTCATTTAATCCTTGGACCATTTTACAAATGAGGAGCCTGAGGCTCAGAGAAGTTAAGCAGCTTCCCCCGGAAAACCAACTTGGTAAGTGGTGGAGCTGGGATTCAAGCCCACATTTGTCTGATTCCAGAATCTTACTCCAAGTCTGGGCAAGGCGTGGGCTGGCCAGGCAGCTGCCTGAAGGGCAATTGTCTATAACCCTGGGGTCAGGGGGATGAGAAATGTGAGGCCTGTTAACCCAGGTCTCTGGGCAAGCTTCCTTATATAACCTGCACATTGTCAACGCTCCACTCAGGCAGCTCTCCCATTCCTTACTACATAATTATTAGATAATGCATAAGGGAGAGGTTTGAATGACTAGCCTGCCTGGGAGGCTGCCTCTCTACGGTCCTGCTTCCACCACACGGGAGCCCTGAAACGAGCAGGCCAGCTGGAGAGGTGGCCAACACATTCCTCACCCAGAGGCTCCGGGCTCCCCAGATGGCCACTGCCACCTGACCACACAGAGTCACTTTGCCAGAAGGACTGCCCTGCTTTAGGCCTGATCTGATCTTTTTCCAGGAAACTCGTCTGGTGTAAGATTTATGTGTCCAAACTTGCCAGCCTTCCCCTTTCACCCTGGACTAACAGGGACAAGAATTCTAATCAATGTGCAGGAACACAGAAAAAAAACAGGGAAACAGCAGGCAGGCCCAACCCCAAAAGCCCCAAACTTATTTCCCAATTTTGGGTTGCACATGTATTTCTACTCACATAAGACAGTTTGCATCCAACTGGGGGGAATTTTGAGTTTCAATTAAACTTTGCTAAAATACAAAACTCATTTCCCCTTAACTGTGCTTCCTGACAATGAAGTGGTGGTGTCACGGGGCAGAAGGGCTGATGGTGTGGGTTACCACAGCAAGGTCCATGCTGCAAAGACGGGCTGCCCCTCCTGCTCTGGGAGTCAACGCTTCCTGGGTCCACCAGGCCCAGCATTTCCACAGGCTGTCATCGGTGTGTCCCCAGCACAGCACCTAGCTAGATCTCAGCAAATGATTTGAATGTGTGGGGCTCCCTCCAGGTAAGAAAGGAACCCCTGCTCACGGCACTCCCCAGAAGTCCTTGGTAACTCACTTTCTCTTTCTGTTCTGAACATCCATTCGGGCTGGTTTAAAGCACAGCTCGCTCAAGAGGCAGCCCTCCAGAGGAGATCGGGGTTAATTACGTTTACTGACAGCTGTCTTCTTTCTCCTACAGTCACTTCTTCCCATGTCCTGATTTCATTGCTTGTGAAAAGAGATGGCCTTCCAATGGGAAAAGGCAAGGAGTAAAACTCACGAGAGAAAGCGTCCTGGAGATTTTAAGGAGAAAGGCACATCGGTTCTGCCAGCACAAGAGCTGCCTGTTTCCCTATCAGATATCAACACTCATTTAGTGCAAGGGTGAATATCACCTTTCTATTGAAAAGAAATAGAGTACCCTAGGAAAATAGCTTGCATCAAAACAAGAGAAAAGTAGGTTCTGAACCAGAACTAAAATATTTGGACACCGAAGCTGTGACTACTGATGCAAAGCCATTAACCCATAAAAACAAACATTCAAACAAGACACTGCATAGCTCTCTTTAAATGAGTCCAAACACCAGAGCTTTATCTTAAAACAAATAAACAACAACAACAAAAAATTCCTTTCCCCATCCCATCTCCACCCACCCACTAGGAGTAAAACATATTGCTAGCTCTGAGACTTTTCTAAGAACTTGGTCAGAGACACTGAGCGGCTGGTCAATATATTTCTTACAAATGGGGCTTTGAGAGCGGAACTAGCAGCTGGGTGCCAAGAACACAGTGGCTCTGCTCACATCTCACATATGCCCAGACGCTCTGAACCACAGCCTACCACTGCTGCCACAGGTTCAAGTTCTGAAACCCAAAGAGAGCACAGAGAAGGCAGGAAGAGAAGAAAAAAAGACCCAGATGTTGCAAATCAGAATAAGTGCTGAGTGAGGCAGTATCATGACATGGCAACGATAAATGTTGAACGTTGGCTCTCCTCTTGTCAGCTGACCCCTCTGCTCTGGGACCCTTCACACTGTGACTCCAGTTAAATCAACCAGCTGTGCCTCCAAGAAAGGCAGCATGGGTCAGTGTGGCTGCCTGGACTCTGCTGCTGACAGCTGCAGAGAGAAACTCAAACCAGCCACATAGCCTGGCCCACCTTATAGTCTGAACGTGCCCAGCCAAAAAGAAGAAAAGAAAACAGCTCAAAAAACAGCAAAGGCTGGGTACGGTGGCTCATGCCTGTAATCCCAGAACTTTGGGAGGTTGAGGCGAGCAGATTGCTTGAGCTCAGGAGTTCAAGACCAGCCAGGGCAACATGGTGAAACCCTATCTCTAAAAAAAAAAATGCAAAAATTAGCTAGGGGTGGTGGCACACATCTGTAGTCCCAGCTACTCGGGAGGCTGAGGCAGGAGGACAGCTAGTGCCCGCAAGGTTGAGGCTGTAGCGAGCCATGTTCGTGCAACTGCACTCTAGCGTGGGTGACAAAGCAAGATCTCGTCTCAAAAAAAAAAAAAAAAAAAACAGAAAAGCAAAAAACCCACAGCTGAGAAGCCTCTGGCTCAAACCCACATACAGAAGCTTGTCGGCTGCTGTGTGTACACATACCAGCCACCATGATCCTGGCCTTCTCTGACCATTGGTCTGTAAGGAAATAAGGTGATAAGTGGGAACTGGGCTCTGAACCCTGGAACTGAGAAGTCAGGCTGCTGCAAAACTCTCCAGGATATTAATCCCTCTCTCTGCCCAGTGGTTTTCAACTGGGGGCAGTTTAGCCCCCCTAGGGAACACTCATCAATGTCTGAAGACATTTTTGGTTGTCACATCTGGGGGTCAGGGGGTTGCTATCGCTACCTAGTGGGCCCTGGTAGAGGCCAGGTTTGCTACTATACCTCCTACAATGCCCAGGACAGCTCTCACAACAAGGAATCATCTGGCCCAAAATGTCAATGGTGCCAAGGCTGAGAAACCCTGCTCTAGAGCCTAAGAGTGCTGGGCTCAAATTCTAACATCACTGCTGACTAGCCCAGGGGCCTTTGTATAACTTACTTCACCTGTCAGAGCCTCAGGTTTATATATATGTGTGTGTGTATGTGTTTGTGTGTGTGTATATAGATATACATATATATTTATATTCATATATACATATTTTTATATATTATATATTTATATATTAAATATGCATATTTATATATAATACATTATATAACATATAATATATATTATATATGAATATGAAAAAATTATATATTATATATTATATATGAATATGCATATATAATATTTATTTTTTATATATATATATATAAATTGTCTTTCTGAGACGAAGTCTCACTCTGTTGCACAGGCCAGAGTGCAGTGGCATGATCTCAGCTCACTGCAACCTCCACCTACTGGGTTCAAGTGATTCTCCTGCCTCAACCTCCTGAGTAGCTAGGATTACAGACACTCGCCACCACACCAAGTGCAGGGATTACAGGCATGAGCCACCATGCCCAGCCTATTTTATATATTTAACAAAACTTATGTAGCAGTTTCTAAGTACCAGGCACTATTCAAAGCAGTTCATACATATTAACTCATTTAATCTTCCTAATCACCCTATGCTGTAGTGTTAACCTGACCTCCCCACTTTACAGATGAGAAAACTGAGGTGAAGGGAAATTAAGTAAATTGTCCAAGATGACCCAGCTAGTAAGAGGAGGACACAGGATTCACATTCAGCAATCTGGAGCCACAACCTACACTCTTCCATTAGCTCACTCACAGGGCTGCCTTACAGATCAAAGTTTACATTTATTATCTACCTTAGTCTCTCCTATCAAGGTGTGCAGCAAATGTGGCTTCTCAACCTTCATTCCATGTTAACCTTATACTGTTTACATTACCCTTGAACACTGAGACCAAGGATCTCACCACTTGCTTTTTCTATTTTCCTTCCATCACCCAGAATGGCAAACATTCAAACATTTCCACTCCCGAAACATGCAGCAACGCCAGAATGTTTATCCAGAAATTCAAAATGAGCTCTAGTGAGGCTGGCATGAATATACTCTAACACAATGTTTTCAAATATCGTGGCTCAACAACAATGACCAGTGCTAAGGTTGCTGCGAATGACATCTTAGGCCTGAAATTGCTCTCTGCTGTAACCCAGCACTGAAGGTGACTCTGGCCTTTGCATGCTGGCTTTGAAAGGTCCCAAGTCTGTCTACTTGGAAATAAATTAAAATGTTGTCTATATTTAACAGATAACCAGGCCTTACTAAGCAATCTAAAACACATACTCTAGAAGCACGCTGCAAGAGCTCCCTTCCTGGCCACTTTGCAGAAGAGAAACTAACCTTGCGCAGCAAGTCAGGACCCTCCCCCACAACCACCCCCCAGAAAACACAACAGTCTCACAAGTTTTAGTATGGTCGCGTCTGTAAGCAAAAGTAAGGAAGTCATAAGATAAGCCCCACGCTGGAAAACTTGATCCTTTTATGAAAGGATGGACAGGCTCACTGATTCAGGTGAGAAAGAAGCCCAAGTCCTGAGAGGTGCAGCTGCTGAAGACCAGGGTGGCCCCAAGCAGGCTATGTGCAGGCTCCCCTGTCCTCTACCTCTCAGTGAAGGATGTCCAGGAGATCCCACTCCTTTCCCCATGAACCCAGTTCCCTTCCATCTGCCCACTTTGGTCTCCCTGCACATAAACTCATCTCCCCCTACACACTCCACGTGGTCTGGCCCCAGCCTTCATTCCACCCATTTTAGTAGACTGCTTCCACAATGGGCTGTTCAGATCCAGGGGGTCCAATGTTCATATCAGGGCTTCAAATGACCTAACATTACCAGAGGCAAAGGTGCTTAGGTTAACCAAAAAGCAGGACCAGACTGTTGGCAACCCAGTGTGCTAATGCAGGCCACCCAGGCCAATCAGAAGTACTGACCAGAGAAAGGCACATTTCAGACTAAATAAATATTTATCTTTTTTGAAATTACTTAAAGATTGCAATTTGTTTAGAGGTGTAACTGGACCCCCCGCAGGCCCAAGGGAAGGCTGTTCTAGCTAACGGTAAGGAGAGGAGTAGAAGGCAAGGTGGAGGAGGGCCTTCTGAGGCAGGAAGTGAGGCATCAGGACAGGGTGTGGCTGGGAACATCCCCCAGGAACACATCAAGTGACTGATAAACATTTATTTGCTTTATATTAGGAGAATGAGAACACGGCCTATAGAAAACTGGGAGTGCTAAGGGCAAAGAAACGGCTTAAAGACAGAGAGACTATGTTTGAGCAAAGTGAGAAAGGCCATTCATTGGTACCCTCAGTTATTAAAATAATATATAATTCACCGCTAATCACGGCACTGCCCGGATGAATATTAATTGAATATTATATACAACATATTACACACTGAGTGACTCATAGTTACTTCTAATGAATATCAATATATTTTGACACATTTAACAACGTGGAGTGGTGGAGGGGGTACTTCTAGAGCCAGGCTTCCTAGGTGCGATTCCCAGCTCTGCCACTTACTAGCTCTGTGACATGTGGCGAATCCCTGGACCTTTCTATGCAGCAGTTTTCCACTCTGTAAAATGGGAATAAAAACAATGTCTACCACAAAGTAAAACTCTCAATACATAGTAGCTTTTGTTTTTTAAAAAGCTTCAGGATTCAAGTTGATGAGTGAAATGTATGGGCATCAACCAGATTATGAGCATTCCTCTTCTTCAGAAGTTAGTGCTGAATTATCTGGTCCTTCCTTAACCACTGTGAACTTGCGTGGTGTCCAAAGACAGAACCTTTCCTGTCAACACATGTGGAGGCAACTGCATTAGGTGCCCGGCCCACTGCTTTTCTGACTGCCACTTGGCCAGAGCTGAAATTCTACTCAAGTCTGTGAGTGAGGCCCAGCTCCTTTCCAAGTTCCTTGTAATCCCACTCAAAAAGGCATGCTTTTTACTTTTCTTTTCTTTTTTTTTTTTTTTGAGACGGAGTGTCACTCTGTGGCCCAGGCTAGAGTGCAATGGTGCGATCTCGGGTCACCGCAACCTCTGCCTCCCGGGTTCAAGCGATTCTCCTGCCTCAGCCTCCTGAGTAGCTGAGACCACAAGTGCGTGCCACCACACCCGGCTAATTTTTTGTATTTTTAGTAGAGATAGGGTTTCACCATGGTAGCCAGGATAGTCTCAATCTCCTGACCTCGTGATCTGCCTTCCTTGGTCTCCCAAAGTGCTAGGATTACAGTTGTGAGCCACTGCGCCTGGCCAAGGCATGCTTTTTAATGAACTCCAGTTCTCCTGTCTCAAAGAGGTCTATCACATGGTCTTTGGAAAGAAGTGGTCCCTGCTGTGACAGAGGATCCTGACAGCAGTCATGGAGCGCTCGTTAAAGAAAAAAATGATTCAATGGCGCTTGCTAACGAACTATAGGGCAAGCTTTATTTAGGGAAACCACCAAGATTGGTGTAGGGACCACCACAGTGGTGTTTTGCAGTCAGGGAGAGAGATTGGGATCAACTCCAAATACAAGGAAAAGTGGGAATGCATAGCCAACGAGAATGGTGAAGGTCAGTGGATGGAAAATTACTGCAGAAACATCAGAGGTAAGGGGGGATTCTGGCTAAATTGGCCTAACAGGATTCTTGCTGAAGGCAGGCAGGTTGAACAGACATCACCTGGGGCACGGTAGAGGATGATGCTATGGTCTGAATGTTGGTGTCCCCCTAAAATTCTTATGTTGGAACCTAATACCAGTGTGATAGAATGAAGAGGTGGAGCCTATAGGAAGTGATGAGGTCATGAGGGCTGGGATTAGTGTCCTCATAAAAAAGGTTGAAGAAAGCGTCCCTACCCCTCCACCATCTGAGGACACGTAGAAGGCATCTTTTCTGAAGAACAGGCCCTCGTCAACACTGAATCTGCTGGTGCCTTGACCTTGGACTGCCCAGCCGCCAGAATAGTGAGCAGTACATAAATTACCCATTCTAAGGTATTTTGCTATAGCAGCAGGAACAGCGTAAGACAGATGAGGAACCCAATCAGATATCAAGGGTGATCAGATATTGAGGATGGAGGATTCTGTCTAAACTGGATTCGTGCTACAGTTGGACAGAGACAAACACAGAAGCTCAAAAGTTGACCCCTAGTTGAAAAAAATCTCAGAAGAGCCTAACGTGTGGTCATGGAGAGAATCTTTGTCAGGCCCCAGATCAAGGACAGCATGTGGTGGGTGAGATCCACACTCTTAGGGAGAGGAGATGCTTTGAATGACCTAATTCTTTATTGCTGGGAGAAGGAGGACCCAGGGTAGAAGGAAAGACCTGAGAGAGAGGGAGAGAGAGAGAGAGAGAGAGAGAGAGAGAGAGAGAGAGAGAGGTGCTGGGAGAAGGAGGACCCAGGGTGGAGGGAAAGGGCAGACCAGAGCCTCAGAGCCTGCCATCCCCACTGGCATCATTTTGCTCTCACAGGGCCCCTGCACTCTGCACAATAAAGGAGTTGTTTAACCTCCCAGCATCCTGGGGGCAGGAAATATTGGTTTCATCTATTTGTTGTTTGTTTCAGTCTTGGTGCATCTTGGAACCAAAGTTCTCACTGTATGGACACAAAACTAATTTAGGTTCTTTTAATCCAACATAAGAAAAACTTAGTTTCCTCTAGCCACCATCAATCAACACAAAGCCAACAGGGCGGAAGGGAGGGCCCTTGCTTCCTGGCAGTCTCCCTGGAGGGGGAGGGGGCAGGAAGTGATCTAGAATCCAGTCTCAGAAGAACTGCTGACAACACCCTCACCAAAACGCATCATCATCTTGCACTCATCTCTAAGTAGTGCCTCCCACAGCCTAAGAGCAAAGGCTCATAACTTCTATCCACAGGGTTTCTGCCATTTACCATTACCTCCCTGTCCTGGCTCAGGCAAGGACCCTCAGGGCTGAGATGCATCTTCAGGTCAGCCTGCCCACATGTAAACAGATGATACATGCACACGTGCGTGCACACACACCCACCTCTGCATGCTGGAGATACACAGGACGTGGAATAAGTCCTCTCTGAGAATTTACGAAGGCACCTGGCTGCCATCAGCACAGAGTCATCCTCTGTCTGAGTTCTGAAGGTAGCAGTGTCTCTGCAGGTAGGAAGAGAGACAAATGGAGCTTCCTTCCAGCTGAAGCAAGTAGAGGCTTTGTTTTCTCTCTAGAGGGTTGTAAGAATTTATTGTTTTGGAGAAATAACATAAAATCTAAGAGCGCTGGTTCCCAGGCTAGAAGACAGACCAGATCTATTCATTCAGCAAGCATTAAAAATTCACTGCTTAATTAATACACCAATTGCTCCCTCCTTGCAAAGAGGAAGAACAGTTCAGCCCCATGGGCTGGCATCTTTGCCACTGAGGTCTGCACAAGATGCGGATGGTGAACACATGCTACGGCCATTTTGGATGTTTCCTTGTAGCATCAATGAGGAAAGAAAACAAAACTGTTAAAAATAAAACCTCTGCCACTATATCCTGAATTATATCAGCAAGCTCCTTTTTAACAAGATGTTATGTCCAGGAAATGTATCCATTTACTGATTGTTCCTGAAGAAATAACTTGTTCACTAGGAAATAACTTAAACCAGAAATGTGGGCTCTCATCTGATGTGGTTTATGCATCTCTAGGTGTTTTCAGTGTCTCTTGTCTATTTAATGGACTCCCAGAAGAGTAGGATGTCTACCTAAAAAGAAAAATTAACGTTTATACTCTCCTGATGATGTTTATGTGGAAGAAAACAAACATTTGTCAAATGTCTGTTTTTTATTTTATTTATTTATTTATTTAGAGATGGAGTTTCGTTCTTGTTGCCCAGGCTGGAGTGCAATGGTGCAATCTCGGCTCACTGCAGCCTCTGCTGCCCGGGTTTAAGCAATTCTCCTGCCTCAGCCTCCCGAGTAGCTGGGATTACAAGTGCCCGCCACTAGGTCCAGCTAATTTTTTGTGTTTTTAGTAGAGACGGGGTTTCACCACGTTGGCCGGGCTGGTCTTGAACTCCTGATGTCAGCTGATTGTCACTCATCCATTATACATCATTTAATCTGCCATGAGCTTAATAAGCATTATAGAGTCTAATCACCTAATGAGCACGCTCATGAAAGTGTCACCTTCATTGAATCATTTAACTCTCCTAGTAGCTCTATGAAGTACTATTATTACCCCCCAGCTTATAAGATAGGAAACTGAGGCTCTGAGAATAATCTGCCCAAGATCCTGTAAGTAGTAGGTCTAGAATTCAAGCCCAGCCTGATCTTTCTCCAAATCTACATTATTGTCCCTGAACCAAAACATTCTCAGGCCATGATCTTCTCCCCTGTCAGCAGAATCTGGAGCATCTCAGGGTTCATGTTGAATTACAAAGCCCTGCCCTAAAGCAGATTTATTGGAAGTCCAGTGCTTGTGAGAGTTATTCTGAAGGGAAAAAAAAATAAAATACATATATATATCTCAGAAAGCCTTCTCTGCCCAGGCCAATGCAGCCAGCTCCCTGCTTAAGAATAGCTGCCCATGGGCAGGGTTTCCTGGCCAGCAATTCAAGATGTGCCTGTGCCGGCTTTACTCTTTAATCTCAGTTTCCTCACCTTTAAAGTGGGTCCCACAAGCCCTGTCCTACAGGGCTGCTATAAGGATTTAATGTGATGAGAATCCTAACATAGCTAACAAAGTGCCTGGTACTGGGTGGTCAGTAAATGACAGTTATTGCTGCTATTACTTGGTAGACTCCCAAAAGTTATTCTCACATCCAGTGGAGGGAAGAGGAGGGAGCAATCCTCCCTTGGGGGTAGAGTATTTTGCATCAACAGGTTTTAGAATTTTTGGTGCAAGGTGAGAGTCAAAATCTAACAGACTTCGTTTATTATATTATTGCTTTTACGTTCTCTTCAGACAACGTACCCCCTTATTGCCTCTCCCTGGGCTGGGCCTCTCTATCCCTTCCCTCTCCCCACTCCCTGTGCTCCCACCTAGATCTCTTCCAAATTTCCCAGTAGAGAGGGAATAGAGAGGCAGTGGTGGTATCTTTCACCCCACATCCCAGTGGTGATCACAGCACTTCAGGGAAAAAGAAAGCAGCCTTCACACATATGGGCCTCCCTAAAAAGCTTCCCAGGAAAAAGGAAATGTGTGTGGAAAGGCCATAACTGGGAATGAATCATCTGTTAGGAAGGCTGAAGGAGAGGGAGAAAGGGGAGTGGCCGGAGGTGAGGCTGGAGAAGTAGGCAGGGCCCATCGCCTGGGGTGGTGCATACCTTGGGAAGAATTTTCAATTATCTTTAGTTCAGCAAGAAATTACAGACATGATTAGGGCCCATGCAAACATTCTGGAAGGGTCAAGGCAGGATGTGGGGGACCGGTGAGGAATCTCCTGCAGCAGTCAAGCAATGGTGGCCTGGAGAGGGAGTGGACGTCAGGATGGATAAGTGGATGGATTCATGCACTCGTCCTTAGGAGGAGGAATGCACAGGACTTGGTGACAGCTTAAGTGTAACAGGTGGTGGAGAGGAGAGGGTGAAGTCCGGCTTCTGGCCCAAGCAGCTTGGGGGACAGTGGTGCCCCTTCCTAAGACAGGGTGCATCTGAAGAGGAGAGACTCACAGGCTGAGGAAGGGGCTGGGGTGTGGGTTGGTCATGCATGTGGGAAGGTGCTGAGCCGAGTTATGCGTGTGTTGAGTCATCTAAGTGGAGATGCTAAGAAGGGGGCTGCATTTACAATCAGTTCTTCCAAAGAGGGGTCCAGATGAGATGCATGGAAACTAACACCAGGGGACGTGACACCTTCACCTAGGGGAAGACTACATTGTAAGAAGAGAAATCCTCAGACAGAGTCTAGGGAGCTGCGATCCTCAATAGCCAAGCAGAGGGGTGGTGGAGGCAGCAGAGAAGGCTATGCAGGAGAAGCCTGAAAAGCAGAGAGAAAACCAGGAGAGGCTGGTGCCTCAGAAGCCCAGGGAAGAAAACAAGATGCAGAGTTTTAAACTTCACAAAATGCCACTCAGAGGGCAAGAAAGACAAAGTTAGGACAATGTCACTGGCATTTATTAAGACGCAGGTCAGAGGTGCTCTTTTCAGGAGCAGGTGTGGCTGGGCATGCAAGGGCTGAAGCGGAGGAGGGAGGTGACACCATGCACACAGCCCAGGAGGCTGCCTCACTCACACCCCACTTGCTTAGCCCCACTCACTTAGCCTATTTCCTTCACAGCCATTATCTTAATGTGTGCTGTCTTGCTTCTTTGTTTACTTGTGAATTGCCTTCTTCCCTTAAGGTCTGTTAGGGCGAGCTCCTTGTCTGCTCTATTCACAGCTGTACCCCAGCACCTAGGAGGATGCTTGACACAGAACAGGGATTCAATACCTGTTGGGTATTGAATGAATGAAACAGAAGCAGAGTAAAGTCTGGCTAAGAAGTGAGGAGGGGGAGAGCTGCAAAGCCCAGAAACTACCCACAAGAATGAGCCAGTGGTGAGGAGGAGGGGTGGGTTACTGTCCCTGGGAAGTGGGACCCCCAGTTTAAGTGGAGGCTTAGGGCAGAATCCTGGACACTAAAAGGAATGCTTAAAAGGGAATTTGAGGCATTTTCTGGTCTGAAAGACATCCGGCCCACATTGCTTTCACTTAGGTCATGTTCCCCCAAAGGAAATCCTGAGATAAGGATTCCTAGATGAGTGATTCATTGAAGAAATGTCCCCAGAGTGGTCGGTAGGAGAGTGGAGAAGCAGGACAGAAAGGGGAGAGGCCAAGCCAAGCATGACCTCAGGCCACATCCCAGCCTCAGCCTGACCCCAGGGAGGGTCCTGGAATGTAAACCGAACCTCCTGCAAGTTTGTACACCCCCACCCCCCACTGCCAGGGCAAGGTGGCTGACCTTTCATATTCCCACCCTAATTAATATTGGCTACAGACTGTCATGGCCAGGACAGAAACTCCCAGCCACTCCAACTCTCTTGGCAAGAGGGTAATCCTTTGAAGAAGGCGATGGGGCAAAGCTTTAGAAACAGAGGCTACAGAAGCTGCAGGATGGGCACACAGAAGTGGCCGAAGTGATCCAACGCCATCTGAGCAGAGCGCCGGCAATGTCTGCTACTAAATTGGGATAGAGTTTTTTATGGATTACCCTGGAAGAGCACACCAAACAAACCACTTCATTCTGAGGGCCTGGACGGTGCAGGGATAGCTACCATTTAGAATCGTTTCAGTTTCTATTCCGGTAAAGAATCCTTCAAAGAAAGACATCGAGGCTCTTACAGTGCAGAGAGGTGCTCTTCTTGGACAACTATAGGGTGTGAACGTAGCACAGCTACTAAAAGTGAATGTGACACAACAATTAAGAGAGTATGGTGAGTATTTAGAAATACTTAGAAGTCAAAGCATAAAAAACTGGATAACTTGGGTTACATTCCTGAGACATGTTTATTATTATCACAGTACTGTGATATTGTAGAATCTGGAGAAATAAAATCAATTGAAATAAAATAAAATACATCTACCAACTACCATTTACTGAACACCTGCTATGGATCCAACTCTGTGCTAGAAATGAAGCAGCATCTCCCTTGCTCAAAGCTGATTTTCAGGCTGGGAACTAGATGGGGCTCCTGAAGCAATTCAAGAACAAGGCAAAAACAGATCTATGGAGGTCACATAGGATGATGATTAAGAGTTGAGCCAGGCTCAGCAACTGCCTAGGATCACTCCCATTTCTGCTGCCAGACTCTCTGTGCCTCAGTTTCCCCATCTGAAAAATTGAGATACTAAGAGTCTTTACTTCACAAGATTCCTGTGAAGGTAACAGGAGGTGATGTGTGCAAGGTCCTTAGTATGGTGCTGATGAATGCAGTGAGCACTGAGGCCTTGTTATTCTGCAATTATTACTGGAGGTGAGGCTAGAAAAGACCACACTTGCCCGACTTGTCCTACCTTTCTCTCCTCAGGAGGGACCAAGACATTTATGCCTGGTTATGAGGTGACATTAGAAAAGAAATCAAAAAGCATCTGTCCTTGTTTCTTGAAGCCAGATGCAACCAAGCTAAGCCTGAACCAAGAGTTGATGGGCAGCTGGGTGGTGTGCTCCTCTGTTGAGCTGGCCAGGAGCTAAGGCTGATGGCTTTCTGTCCAGGGAGCCGTTTAGACTCAGAGTACACACATGCTTGCCTCTTAAAAGAGTATTGGGTCAGCAAGGATGCACTGGGAAAGCCATCAGCATCTTTGCATCCCTACTGACCATTTCCTGCCCAGCACACTGGAGCCAGTGCTGACCATTTTCCTTTTTTTTTCTTTTTTTTTTTTTTTGAGACAGTCTCTTTCTGTCACCCAGGCTAGAGTGCAGTGATACAATCTTGGCTCACTGCAGCCACCTCCTGGGTTCAAGTGACTCTCATGCCTCAGCCTCCTGAGTAGCTGGGATTACAGGCATGTGCCACCATGCCCAGCTAATTTTTACATTTTTAGTAGAGATGGGGTATTGCTACGTTGCCCAGGCTAATCTCGAACTCATGGCCTCAAGTGATCTGCCTACCTCGGCCTCCCAAAGTCTTGGGATTACAGGCCTGAGCCACCGTGCCTGGTCCTGACCATTTTCTGATTGGCAGCAGCAGGAGGGCCCCAGGGTCAAACAATGCAGTCACACAGGCCTGTGCTTTAACTGTGCCTCCCCACACAGCTTGGTGACCCCGGGCCAGTGACTTTGACCTCTGAAGCCTCAATTCCCTTGACTGTAAAAGAGGTCCTGACCTTGGCTGCACATTAAAATCACTGGGGGAGTGTTTAAAAGTCCAAATACCCAGGGCTTGCCCAGACCAACAAAATCAGAACCCCCTGATGAGACCTACTGCTGTAAGGTAAAATGGTCATCTTCTACTCCCAGAAGTGGAATTAAGGGAGACTATCCATGGAAGGTGCTTACCGCCATGCTTTACACAGAGTGCGCCGTAAAAGGAGGCCGTGATATGGTACCATTTGGAGTTCCCAGACTCTAGAAACACCTCCCACAGGCCCACAGAGGATTGTACTTGAAACTTCATTCATTGTACTTTATGCCCCACTTTGGTGAGTATCAAAGATCAATTGTGCATTTTGATTTCTCTAGTTCTTTTGATCACCCTGGTCCACAATCATGTTATTCTTCAAGAGAGAAAATGGCCAGACCCAGGAAGTGCTTCTCTGGATTAAGGGCTGTGAGGTTAAATCTTTGTTTCCATCTCTGCCCTCAAGGACCTCCAATCCCCCATCCTAATAAGAGAGCTGCCATCCACAAGGGTCCTTGGCCCTTGGCTTGCAGAAGCGGGATGAGCATCTACAACCCTGGCTGTGATGAAGGCTGCCCTGACAGTTACATTCTTGATAGAGTTGCAGGACAAATATTTCTGAACCTGTGGTTCCTTTGCCGTGTCTCTAGTCAACATAGGGCTTTTAGCCCTGTGGAACATGAAGATTTTTGTGAACTAGGGTATAAGGATTTAAGAGTGTAGGTGGGGCCTCTCTAGGCCCTGCTTCCTACATAGTTGATGTGTCTGGACCCACAACTGAGAGAAGGAACAAAGCAAACAGGTGGGATCCCTTATAGTTTATAGTTATGTTTTTCAGAGTAACAGACATTCAGGGAAACAGAAACAGAACTTTAGCTCAAGCAGCAGGAGGGGGCAGCCAGCATCTGAGCTGGAAGAAGAGCTAGCAGGTGACAAAGGAAACAAGCACTCTCCATGCAGTGTTAAGGCAGTGCTTATCATCCAGTGGGAACTGGGGTGCCAGGGTGCCAGGCAACAGAGCAGTTGATGGAGACAGTTCCAGTGCCATTATGAGCTGTTAAAAGGGGATCTGACGTGTGCATTCCAGACCCTGATACTACTTCTTGTCCAGTCATTCAACAACATAGTATTCCCTATAGGCCCAGCATGTCTGTCTATGTATCTGATTTCACAATCCCATGACATAGGTACTGTTATCCTCACTTTGCAGCTGAGGAGACTGAGGCACATAGAGGTTAAGTAACTTGTCCAAGATCACACAGTTAGTATATGACAGAGTTGGGATTTGAACCCTGTGCTCTTAATTTCTATGCCAAATTGTCTCTAGCTTAGTGAGGGTGTCAAACAGGTCAACAGACAATTAGAATATAGTACAGTCTAAGTGACTGCTAGGGACTAGCACAGGTGGTGGCATCCAAAATCCCATTCTTATCTGATGCTCACTCATAGGAAGAAAAACAGAAGTACCCACCTGGTGACAGGCTAGCAGGCACAAGGATAGACAGAATGTGCACCTGAAGGAGTTCACCTAGGAGAGCTGAGGAGGCACAAAGACCTGCATGTGAGTGTTCGTGGCAGCTTCATTTACAATAGCCCAAATCTGGAAACAATCCAAATTTCTATCAACAGGTGGATGGATAAAAAATCTGTGGTGGCCAGGCGCGGTGGCTCACGCCTGTAATCCCAGCACTTTAGGAGGCCAAGGCAGGTGGATCATGAGGTCAGGAGTTTGAGACCAGCCTGACCAACATGGTGAAACCCCGTCTCTACTAAAAATAGGAAAAATCAGCCAAGCGTGGTGGCATGCACCTGTAGTCCCTGTAACTCAGGAGGCTGAGACAGGAGAATCACTTGAACCTGGGAGGTGGAGGTTGCAGTGAGCTGAGATCGCACCACTGCACTCCAGCCTGGGCAACACAGCAAGACTCTGTCTGAAAAAAAAAAAATCCTGTGGCATATCCAGACAATGGAATACCATTCAGCCACACAAATAATGAATTGCTGATCTACACAACATGGATGAATCTCAAAAGCACCATGCTAAGAGAAAGAAGCCAGAAGCAAAAAGGGTGCATATTTTATGATTTTAGCTATATGAAATTCTAGGAAAGGCAAAACTCTGGTTTTAGAAAACAGAGTTTTGCAAGGGGATGGGGGTAGGAGGGACGAACTAAGTGTGACAGGCATGAAGAAACTTTACGGGATGACGGGAATGTTCTATATTTTGATGGTGGTGATGGCTACACTGGTGCAGATACTTGTCAAACTCATTAAATTGTACACTTCAAAAGGTGAATTTTATTACATGTAAATTATACTCAATTTAGAAAATATTTTAACAAGAGACTTGATGTCATGCAGTCAAAAGTGAACTGTGCTATGCTCTGAAGCTAACGGTGAGAGTTACATACGTTCTGCTTCCTTTGTTTTTTGTTCCTTGTTCTTTCTTTCCCCCTTTCCTTTTTTTTTTTTTTCTCTCTCTCTCTCTCCCTCCTTTCTGTCTCTCCTCAAAGTCTACCACCTCCTTTTCCAAGCCAAGCCTAGGTGACAGGCCCCTGAGCTGCAAGTGTTTCCAGCACTGCCATTACAAATTAGTGGAAATGATCAGACCCCCAGGCAGACTGGTTCTCAGCCTGCTTCAGAGGGGCAGATGTTCTGCAAAACCAGCCAGTGACCCACAGAGAAGACTGGCAAGCCCGCAAGGCTCTCATTGGACCCCTCTGTGGCTTCTGCCTCCCAGGTAGAAAGCATGCATATATTAGATTTAAAAAGAGGAAGTGCCTTTCCAAAAACTACTCGGCTTTGGGAGGGATAGAGGTCATTTGTCTTTGTCCAAGAAAAACATGTTCCTTCCTTGTAATCCTTGATAACCCCTGAATTGTTTTCTCCAAGATAGTTAGGGACAGGGGTAGGGGAGAGGGGCTACAGTAAAAGAGAAAAGGAGGTAGAGAGGACAGAGGAAGCCAATGCCCTACTACTCTGCGGTAGCAGCAAGGTGAGCTCTTACCACCTTGAACTCTGGGAAAGATGGTAAAAGAGGGAACCCTTCACCAACCAGTGCCCACATGACTACCTAAGACAGCACCCATATGAGGTGCAACCATATGAAGGTTCACTTCTCGCTGGATGAGAAGTGAACAGAGAGGTTAACAGGGCAAAGAAGCAGCAGTAATGGGAAAAGAACGTGAGACTGGCACGGTTCCCTCCCCTGGGCCTGCGGGAGGCCCATGGCAGCCAGAATGTCCATCTGCTGTGCCCCACCACTAGTAGGCTCACAGGAAGGGAAGAGAACAATGACAACCCAACTGTCCCTTGCGCAGAAGTTACACCAAGAAGTGAGCAGCAGGACCCGCTGGCCTGGCAGTAAACCACATCAGAGTTATCAGTCGGAAACCTCTTGGACAAAGAGAGTTTATAAAGTCCCTTGGCCAAGAGGCATGGAAGTTGAGTTCAGCCAAGCGCAACTCAGACACATGGGCAATGGAAGGGGAGCTGGGGATGCCAGCTGCCATCCAAGTCCTGTTTGTTGGAAATTGAGAGAGATAGTATTGGAGAACTAGATGCTTTCACTTTATTTCTCCAAAAGAGAGCTGGTCTCCAGGTGGTGAAGCCTATAATTCTATAAAAACTGGAGATTGGAGAGATAGGAGGGTACAACTCTGGCCCAAGACAGAAATAAGCAAAAACAAAACAAAACAAAACAAAAAAATAGGCATCCATAAGAGAAAAAAGTGAGTGGTTCTGGGCATCTAGTAAGTGGAAGAGGAAAGAGACCATCTCTAATCCTAACTCACTCTGTTCCAGGTTTGGAATAAAAGCTGTATCGGGAGAAATAACCTGTTAAAGTAGAATTGTCAATGTGTAGAACTGAAAATCGGCCAAAAATCCATCAGCTTTCTCAATTTACTAAGAAAGAATAATTAACTCCCTAGTACCTGATATACTTTTGCATTTAAAGGCTAAACTACCTATATCTACTCAATATCATTCACTTCTAGTAAGACTCTTATTGGCAGGTTTAAAGCACCCCTACCCAACCCACTAGCACCAACTTGTCTTTTATCTTAGCCTGGAAAGAACATGTATGGGTTACATTACTAAGAACATAGTATCATTGAATGAATCATTAAATAGACCAGTCACTGTAATAAATACATGTGGATATATACATTCTGTTAATAGACTTGGCATAGTCTTTCATGGTTTCAAGTGTTAAGGTTTATTGTGGTATTAAAGAAAACCTTATAGACTTTCATTTTCTGAACGATAGTGGATTCAATATATAGCCAACTCTACTGAAAACACTAAGCAAACTGGATACTATAGAAAAACTCTTTTGAAATGACTGATGAGCTGGCAAGTTAGTAAGACGTATTCAGTGAGCAAAAACTAAGCAAAATCTGAAGCCTAGTATAAGAGCCAATCCCTGAAGCTAGCTTGAAGACAATAGCCAACAAAGTGACCTTCACTTTTATCTTTTGTGGCCTCACGGGAAGAGGAGACAGGATAAGAATTTCCCATAACATAAAGGATACTATCACATGGATCCAGGAACTCCAATGAATACCAAGTATGAGAAATAAAAATAAATATATACCTAGATACGCTTTGTGAAACTATAGAACACCAAACAATTTAAAGGAACCAGAAGGAAAACACAGATTATTCTCAAAGGAGACACTCTTGTCTGTAGACAAGACAGTAGATTTTAGAGGCAACAATGGAAACAGAGGACAGTTGAATAATATCTTCATTGTGTTGGAGAGAAAATAACTGGCAACCTAGAATTCTACCCTAATTCTACCCAGTAAAAACCTCTCTCAAAAACAAGGGGAAAAATAGTGTATTTGCAAGCAAACAAAATCAAGAAGTTGTCACCAACAGACCCTCAATAAAGAAAATTCTAAAAGCTGTACTTCAGGCTCTATTGGAAAATACCAAAATGAAGTTGGTAGACCTACATTAATATTAATCAGAATAGACTTAAAGACTAAAAGAATTACTAAGGAAACAAGTTTTGCTTAATTATAAAAGATTCAATTCACCAGAAAGATAAAACAATTCAAACCTATAGGTACCTAATAACAAAGGCTCAAAATATATAAAACACAAACTGACAGACCATAAGAAGAAACAGAAAAATCTACGATCATAGTGGGAGATTATAATACTTCTCTCAGTAACTGATTGAACAAGCATACAAACATCAGTAATGATATAAAAGACTTGGACAACACAGTGAAGAAGCTTGATCTGATAGAGTTACATAGAACACTGCATCTAACAATGGTAGGATCCACAGAACATTATGAAAAGTGACCACATACCAAGCCTTACAGTAAGCTTCAATAAATTTAAAAGGCTGGGTAGCACTCAAACAATATTTGACAACCATGAGGCAATTAAGTTAGAAATTAGTAACAAAAAGATAATAAGAAAAATAAACAAACATTCAGAGGATTAAAAAGAAACACAGCTTTAAGTCATAAGTCAAAGAATAAATCATAGTGAAAATTATAAAGTACTCAGAACCAAATTATATACAAATATTACATATCAAAATTTATGAAGTTAGAGTAAATATTGTATAGCTTACAATGCTCATAATGGGGAAAAAAGCCTGAAAATTAAAAAGCCAAACACTTACCTTAAAAAGCTAAGAAAGAAAAATAGCTCAAATGTAAATAAGTTAGATGGAAGAAAATAATAAAAATTAGTATAGACATTCATAAACTAGAAAACAAAAGATGGAGAGGATCACAAAGTCAAGGATTAGAGATAGTCTCTAATAACATTGAGAAAATTCTTAAAAGACCATTTAACAAAATTATAGAAGGTATTACAAATGAAAAGTGGACATAACCACAGATCCCACAGAACATTAAAAAATAACAGCATCTTATAAGTAGCTTCAAGGTAAAAATTTTGAAAACTCAGATAATATGGATAAATTTCTAGAAAAATCTAATTTACCAATATTGATTTAAGAAAAAAATTAAAACCTGAATACCCATGATCTATTGAAGAAATTGAATCAGAGGTTAAAAATCTTCAGGAAAGAAAGAACTCCAGCCTCACAGAATCTTTTTTTGAGAACAGATAAAGAGGAAATATTCTATAACTTACTTTACAAATTCAGCAAAACCATGATACAAAACCCTGCCAAGGATAAGATAAGAAGTGCAAATTACAGTACAACACACTCATGAAGATAGATATAAAACTTCTAAATTTTATTAGCAAAAAAACCTAGCAATGTATAAGAAATGAACCCATTACAACCAAGTCAGGTTTATTCTAGGAAAGCAAGGTTAAGTTAACATTGGAAAATTAGTTTACCAGATATTAACAAATTAAAGAAAAAAATTATATAAATCTCAATAAATGCAGAGGAAGTATTTAATAAACATCCATGTATATAATTTGAAAGAAAAAAAGCTCTTTGCAAACTACAGAACAGGAGTAGTTCCTTATCCTAATAAGGAATATCAAATCCATAAAAACTCTCATTCTCAAGGGAAAACGTTGAACATGAAAGGCAAAGCTTAAACGTTTAGAAGACCATACAAGAACTGTCCTTAAGGATGTCCTTTAAAAGACACAAAATGTTCAATGATAAAGGAAAGATTGATAAATTTTATTACATTGAAATTAAGAATTTCTGCCACTGTAAAGATACTAAAAAAGATGGTGAGAAAAAATAACACAAATAAGGAGAAGGTATTTTGGCAACACAGAGAAATAGTCTCCTGCATATATAAAGAACTCCTACAAATAAATAAGAGAGATGTAAACTACCCAATTTTCAAATAAATGGGCAAAAGGCTTAAAGAGGTACTTCACAAAAAAAGAAAATCCAAAAGGTCAACAGCGTATGAAAAGATACTGACCCTCTTTAGTAATCAAATGTATATAAATTGAAAGCAGATTAGATACTGTTACACATCCACAAGATGGGCAAAAGTTTTTGACAATATCCTACAAAATATAAAGTTTTTGCAAGATTAGAGAGCAGTAGGAGAAATTGCAGCTGGATATAGAAATTGGTTAAACACATTGGAAATTAATTTTTGATTAAAGTGAAACTCATATGACACCATAGAATTCTGAACTATCCTAGCAGCACTGAAAATGCCCATAGTCTGTGGCCAGTAATTTTATTACTATGTGTATTCCCTAAGTAAACTTACACACATACTTAGCAGGGAACTTGAAAAAAAATGTTTACAGCAGCACTATTTATAATAGCAAAATACTGGAAATAAGCTAAGTGTTCATTAATAATAGAATAGACATATAAACTGCCATATATTCATTCAATGGAATATTATGGTTCAGCAAAATGAAAAAATTTCAGCTACACCCAACAATGTGAATGAATCCAGGACGAAACATTTAACAACCAGTTGGTACAGAGTCCAATCAAATGAAGTCCCAGCCCTAGTGCCAGAGCTGGTACCCAAGACCCCCTGCCATGCCAGGTGTAATCCCTTTAGAAAGGAGTGGACTTGGAGAAGTACCATAGGAGCACCTGGGAAAGACCCAGGTAAGCAGCAATTTACCAACTGATATGGAAATATTCCCATTGTTTGTCAACCAGTGAGCCTTACTGGTGTGGTGTGCATGGACTAAACGTGAGCATTAAGAACAAAAGAATAAAACAGTGTGATTCCATTTATATGAAGTTCACAAACACGCATAACTAGACAATATATTGTTTAGGGATACAAATGCAAGAGGATAAGACAATAAAGAAAAGCATAGGGGAATAAAAGGTACAGAAATGTCCAGAAGATGGTAATCCCTGAGAAGAGAAGGAATGGGATAGGGTGGAGGGAGGTACACAGGGGATGTCAAAGGTTCAAGTAACATTCTTTTTCTCAAATTGACTGGTGAGTACATAAGTGTTAGTCATAATGTTATTCTTTAGACCTTTCTACACAGTTTGTAAGCATTCGTTTGCATCTAGGGGCTATTTCATTAAAGTTATTTCAAAAGATGGTCACAACACAAATTTAATAAGAAACTCTCATATCAAATTGCTGCAGTTCCTGCCATATCTTTTCTAGTTGCTGGGCAAAGATGCTCTCCTCAATTGTAATTGGTGTGCTCTTAAACCCACTTAAAATTCTAAGAGCTTCTCCCCAGACCACTCCAAAACATTCTTGTGAGAATCTTTCCAGTGAGGTACAGCAAGGCCCAACCTCCAGGGCACATTATGCTCTGGCTCATTTATTTGATACAATCATAATCATAGTGGGTTTTTTTCTCAAACTTTGAAATCTTCAAAATGAGGGCATGGAGCAAATGACTACATTCTGCTTCTCTTGCTAAGATTTCAATGGTGATGCTCTCATTTTAAGTTCTTTACCAGACGCTTCAGCTGTGCTATGCCCAATTCCCCTCATCAAGATTTGCTGACAGTCAGGGGAAGTTTCTAACACTGTATTAAGTGTATACTGAGGGCCAGGGAATTGGGGGGAGTTTGAGGGGCTGCACACATGTGCAATTTTTTAGCAAACCCAGCAGATGCTTGTAGATTCAACACTTTTTCAGTTATTTGTGAACAACCCCTAATAGCCACACCACATGGCAATTTGTCTTTTCTCTGGAGCACAAATGTGAACTGTATGTTGCAAAGCCACAGCAAAGAACAAGTCACTTAGCTAGAGAGGGAGTCTTCTCAAAGACCCAGTAACCCCATCCCAAGATGCCACCAGGGAAACAGAAACTCTCTGGAGGTGAAAGAAACTTAATTTCCTTGAGTGCAAATTGAAAAGGCAAATAATTGGTAGCCTGTGAATAGTCATAGGAACCTCTTCACTCTGGAATGGAACCTGATTCAGGAGGAAGTCAAGAGCCTATGCAAATATTTCTGCATTTGCAAACTTGGGGATTTGCCAAGGGCTTGAGATGTATCCACTGAAAATGTCAAGCGTCTACTGTGTAGAATTTTGATGGAGGAGGATTTCAAAATTCTTCTTCTATTTAAATCCAATCAATTCATGTTTATCAGGGCATCTCTGATCTTTTTGTTTTTAAGAGACATATTTGCTCTATTGTCCAGGCTGGAGTACAGTGATGTGATCATAGCCCATGGCAGGCTCAAACTCCTGGACTCAAGAGATCCTCCCGCCTCTGTCTCCTGAGTAGTTAGAATTACAGGTGTGAGCCACCATGTCCATAATTTTATTTTTATTTTTTTTAAGACAGGGTCTTGCTATGTCGCCCAGGCTGATCTCAAACTCCTGGGCTCAAGTGATCCTCCTGTGTCAGCCTCCTGAGCAGCTGGCATTACAGGCATGAGCCACTGTATCCAGCTCCTCTGATCTTAAGATAGTTTCAACATCTAATGCTAAGCCTGGAAGTCCAATGAAAGACTCAATAGACTAAAATTGGTGACTGAGATTCGGAGGAGCATATCGTGTGTTTATAACACTGCTTTTATTTTTTCCATATCTTTCTACTATTTGTTTATTAGCTTTTCTTTGGATCTCAGTTATTCATACATAACACATGTTTAAAAAGTTGATCCTAAACCCCAATTCAAGGGTCCACCGATGCTCAGAGATCTCAAGATTTCTGAGACTAGCTTCCCTATACTTCTCCCTGGCTTTGCTCCCCAAATCTGAAAGGCATTTTCAGATCACCCCTACTTCATATTTAGATATAAAGCTTCCCCCTTTATCCACAAGAATTCCAGCTGCACCTGGCATTTCAAAAACACTTAGTAATGAGGAGGGGAGACCCATCAGTCATGTACTCACCACTTCCATTGTTGTCCTGCCTCCCAAGCACATATTTCCAACTGTGAAACCTCCCAACAGGGCAGTCCTCTGGATAGTGTGGTTCAGTCACTTCCCACCACCATGCCTCACCTCCTCTGCCTTCCAAGCCCTCTGGGACTTCAGGGAATACCTTTTCTCCATCATATTACAATTAGATACAGGGAACCTTTGGAGAGTTCTGAGTATTTGTGATTATATTCAATAACCTGTTACTGACAGTTTCTTTTAGTTAAAGAATTTTTTCAAGTAAGTTACCAAAACAATGAATGTATGTACATCTAGAAACTGAGAAATACTCTTCCATGACTTTTAGTTAGGTCCTCACGTTTTCCACATATGTATTGAATTTTTAAAATACTATTTTAAAAGGGTCTACATTTATTTTCCTCTACTTTTGTTTTTCCTCTTGCCTTTGTTTTGGAGCAAATTTTAACTGAACACATTGTCAGAGGGTCAGGCCAAGTTTGGCACTGCTCGTGTATCTCAGCCACCTTCCAGTTTTCAGCACGATGTCTGAACTGAAAAAACACCATTGCTTACCATAAGGGTGTGGCCATGACAGCTTGAACAACATCCGGGTAGTGGTAAGTCTACATTTGCTACACAGATGTAAGAAACAGATAGCAGTAGGGTCTACCTCTCCTGCTCCATCTTTTCCATCACCAGGTCTCTTCCAACTCCAGAATTAAAGTCATCAAGTTGGAACAACTCTAAGTGTGTTTCCTGATCATAACAAGACAGGTTGAGGTTCATGAATATTTTCTTTAGTATTAAATGTTAGAACATAACCACTAATAATAACAGTAGCATAGTAGTTCCCTGATAAATTTTGACAAAAGATCATAAAGTTCTCAATTTCAACAGCAGGGCTTTATAGTTGTAATATAATTTTGACCAGTAAGCCACCGGCTATCCAGAAACCTCACAGGTGCCATTATCATGGATAGTTGCAGTTTTTTCTCTAAGAATCATGCAAAAAAAAAAAATCTTTTGGGGATACTTCAGAACTCTGTCTTTTTAAATTGGATGAACAAAATATAATTTTAACTTCTATGGATACATGTGGGTCATTGTGAGCATCAGTTACTATGTTATAAAACAGAGTACCAAAGATCCATCAAAATACATAAAATTTCACTGAATTGCTTACATTAAATGCTCATATCAGCTTTAGAATTCCATGCCTTGAATTCTTGTGCCTTTTAAATTTTTTTTTAGTTTTTCTGTTTTTTACTCTTACTTCTTACTGATACTTGATAAAAGAGCTTTAATAATCCTTGCACAGTACAGTATCAGTTGCTTCCAATTTGCTAGGTGCATTTGACAAACTAATAACCAAGCCTCTTAAAACTTGAAGTAAATGCAGAGGCCTGAAAGAGGGTATAAAATTTCCTCCAATGATCAAAATTCATAAACTGTAGCTCATGGACTTATGACCTTTCTCTTGATTTGCCATCTAGGTCCCAACTGGATAAGTGAAATTATGTAAATGTGAGTTCCAGATTGTTGTGGTATTATCCTAATACCTATCAACTACATAGCATGTTACTAAACGTATCTCATTTTTCTTCTCAAGATAGTTCAGTGGTCTTGGTAAGGTTATGATGGTTACACCTACTTTACAGATAAGGAAGAAAATTGGTCACGGGCTTTGGCCAAGTCTGACCCAGAATGCTAGTGCTGCCTGTTGATACAGCCAGTGTTTTCCAGCCCTGCCCGCCTAGTGCATCTGCAGATTTGTAAATACACTTTGACTCCACAGGAAACAGGATGGAGAACAGCATGTCAGGGACTCCTTGATGGGCAGGATGGAGGGCAAAAAAGAGCCTTAAAGACATTAGGGAATTCACAGAGTAGGGAGTGAGAGACAAGTTAAATGCTATCCAGTTGTCACACAGCTTTCTTAATGTTATCTTTCATCAAATCATGTCCTAGAACCTGCCAGGACTTCAGACTAAATGCATCTTCTTCTTGCCTGTACCTTTCACACACTAAATGTCTCAACAGCTCACTTGGCAAGGACCCAAAGGCAGCACACACTTCTCCACTCCAAGGAGGGTGGCTGCCACTAAACACAATGGGCGGAGACAGCTCAACAATAGTGCCAGTTGAGCACATCTTGATCCACTGCCACAGAGTTCACAGTAGTAGTTGGCCCTCAAAGCAAACCCACTGGGGTGTTGAGGGCAAAAAAACAATCTTAGCCTTAAGGGGCCAGACTTTGCCATCAAATTAACAAATCTGCCCAACAGCCCCAGGCTGAGGCGCTCAGGGGTGTGACAGGAGGGCCCCTGTTAACAATTCTGTATCCTGTGGGTGCCTTAACTAGATGGAGTGGAGAGGAAGCAGAGAGCTAAGTGTCACACCACCCTCTCCTCCTGCCTGCAGGTGTCTTAGTTGGACAGCTGTCCACCTTCCTTGCAAAAAACTCCCACAATCTTTAAATGCAACTATGTAAAGGGCCTCCAGCCTCTGCAAGCCATCACAACTTTAAAGAGCATATGTCAAACAGCTCAGACGGCATCTGAGGTCTATTCTTCAGCCCCACAGTATAGCCCAACCCCAGAGCACAAGTGACACCCTAGTGGACAGGAACTCCTCCCTACACTGGCTGCTCAGCAGGACCATGAAGAACAGCTGGGACCTGGCCTATTACCTTGGCTTCAGGATTCATTTTCTGCCTGGAATTGGGAAACTGGAGGCCCTGCAGGGGTCCTTCTC
This sequence comes from Homo sapiens, assembly GCF_000001405.40. NCBI lineage: Eukaryota > Metazoa > Chordata > Mammalia > Primates > Hominidae > Homo > Homo sapiens. The sequence continues at coordinate 41,916,884 of NC_000001.11, forward strand.
CTGGGTCCAACTGTCTCCAGGGTGCAAGAGGGGTGAAATTACCAAATGAAAGTTCAGATAAGCAATTACTGGCTGAAAGAGACACAGGAGGGTCTTCAGATCAACACTGACCCAGAGCTAATACCACACTGTCCTCAGAGGGACACACGATCACTGACCTGTATTCTTCACATTTAAGTTGCTAGAATTATTCCTCCTTGCCCCCACTCTCTCCCTGCCCCCAGCATACACATAATTACATAAAGACGTCTTAAACAACTGTAGCACCCAACTTCTTCAGTCTGGGGGAGAGCCAGGAGATGGTGGGGAGCTGTTTGGGCACACGTCTGATCATTACATAATCACACAAACATGGGCTGGAGAACACTGCCATGCAGATCAGTTCAGCAAACACCTCATTCTCCCTCTTTCCTCTTCCCTCCCCCCGTAACACCCAAAATGCACACCAGAGTTAACAAAACCGAAGCACTCCAGGTAGCCAGTGGGCACCTGGCTGCTGTGGTTACAATGCCAAGGGCTACCAGAAACGTCAGCGTATACCAGAAAGAGGGCCAGGGTGCTGCTCACCCAGCGACCAGATCTGCAGACCCTCTTCCTGCAACCACTGCCCCCGAAGTTCAAGGAAGGGCCTAGCCACAGAAATATTCCTGACCTGCAACAGAAACCAAACCAGCTACGTTAAAGGAAACCAATGCCGAGCCTCCAAGTTCCTCTGCACCACTGCCACACTCAGGAGTCCTCAGCAGCCTGGACAATATCATTAGGGACCATTCGGCACCATCAGTGTTTCCATTTAAAAGATAGTAAAATGTGGGGCATAACTTGGAGGGGACACTCTCTCTGCTAGCAGGGAGGCAAGAATCCCCTATAGAATAGGAGTTTGGTTTGGGTTTGGTTGGGTCAGGTTGGGGGTTGGGAAATGATTTTGCTTTAGGAATATTTTCAGGGGGCTAGGATTAAGGGGGAAAAAGAAAGCTATCCCCTCTGTCTCAGCAGCCAGCATCATACGAATCTCACTCTCAACCAAGCAGGCTACTGCAGTCCGCCTAAACAATCCGGAGCAGCAGCCAAGGCAGCACAAGAAAACGCCGGTGCCACGGAACGCGATGCCTAAGCCCCCCAGCCGAGGCTCCTATGGAGCCGGCCGCCAGTGCGCGGGTGCAGAGCCCAGCAGAGCCTGCTGCAAGCAGCGCTGGAGCGCACGGCGCGCATAGGGTTACAGCCCCGCCGCCGCCGCCGCCGCCGCCGCCTGTGATTGACGCGCGGGGGTCACTTGAGGCTCGCGCCGCTCCCCAGCACCAGGCCGAGCAGCGCGCTCAGCCCACCGGGGGCACTGGCCGCCACGCGCAGCCCACCCGGCCGGCCCCTGCGTCTCGGCAGCCGGACACCTTGCCTAAGAAAGGCATACACAAAATGGAATCGCAGCTCGCTATTCTGCTTCGCGGTGCGGCCTCAGGCAAAAACACAATCACAAGGTAAAATACAGCGCAAGGAATCCATCCGCCGAATAAAAACCCAGAGTCCCCTACCTTCGGCCTTGGGATGGCAAACTGGTCCTGTGTTCTCTGACCCACGGATCCAGCCCCTTCTTCATGAATTATTCCGGCCAGGCAGGATTTTGTGCATTTTTTTCATGAACACCTGTTTCAAGTAAGGGGTAAAGACCTTATTGAAAGAATTGTCCTTAAAAAATAACCTGTGCATACGTATGTCCATCCAGGCATGCATGCGTGTTTGTATACACACATATGCACACGGAATAGCCATGTACATTGAAGCACCAAACTAGGCAGCTGGATAATGGGAGAGTCGGCTGGTTGTGAGCATGCTCGCGCCGGGAACAGATCCACCCTCTGTTATTCCTCTGAATAAATATAAATCACGATCAGAAACCCAAACAGAAGCATCCCTCTTGAATTCGTGCTGCTGAAAAACACGGAATAAATTCAGCCTGCAGACACAGAATCTAATCAGCAGCTGTTTTCTGAATCCAGAGCCAACCCATGCCTCGCTTGTCTTTTCCACTAGGAGTCCAGACCTTTTTTGAAAGGGGGTTTAACCTTTTAAAGACACAGTACACCAATTATCACTTCGGAATAGCTGTCACTCCCAGCGCAGGAAGCCAGTCCCATGCCTAAAGGCACAGTAGGCTTGCACACAGTGATAAGGATTTCATTTATTGGTGCTTTTTAAAAAACAACATATATGTATAATATATGTGCATATATATGCACATATATATGCACACATATTATATATATATACGTGGAGAGAAAAAATGCAAATGCAAGTCATAAATATTTATTGCACTGATGAGCTTCTCAGTACTAATTGGCACGTTATGTAAACACTATGATCCTTCACTTCTGAACACCCATGTTCACGGGTCAGACGAGACAGGGCACTCTTGTCAGCAAGCGTGTCACACCTCACCAGCCTCTGGCTGCAGATCAGGGGCCGGGGAGCCTCAACAGTGCCTGAAGGGAGTGGGGTCTCTGCACCTGAGAGCTCAACACGGGCACTCCTTGCCCTGCCCTGCCTTGCTCTGCAGTCTCAGGGTCCATGTCCACAAATCAAAGAATAGTTCTGGCACTATTTCTAAAGTCGAACATAATCCAGAGCCACATCGCATTCCAAGACATACTTTCTTTCAACCAGAATCAGGAATCAGAACTACCACCTGAACCTTAGTTAGAGTCTTTACGATTCAGACTTAGGCCCTTCTTCAAGATTTTGTTATTGAGTTCTGTTGTTTTGTTTTTCACTTTTCTTTTAAGGGTCAGCATGGAGGTATGGAGGTAGAAAAACAGGGTAGGGGGAGAGACAACCTCCAGCCTAAATTTTTTTGAAAAAAATTATTCTTCGAGTACTTCAGCCACCCAGATGGTGTTTACTGCAGTTTTGTTCTGGCTTTTAAAGAGGTAGCGCTGAGAAGAAACAAGAGTCCTAACCTTGCTCACGTGTGTTAAGAAGGCAAATGTCTTTGACAGTTTCTTTTTCACCCCAGCCCCAGAGCTCCAGCATGGCGCTGTCTGCTCCTCCGCTGGTTCCCGCCTAAGAGCAGCGGCAGTGGCTCACCTCGGGAGCTACAGGGGCGCTCCTACAGCCGCTCCAGCATCACAGCCCATTCCCTCCCTTGCCTAGTCCTGCCAGGCAAACCGTGAAAACAAGTGCACTGTCACCCTCCCACCTCATCACAGGCGCTCCTGTGTGGACCCCTCCCAGCGACACACACACACTCTCTTCCTTCCCCTCTTCCAGGGCCCTTTGGCAGAAAATTATCATATTTCATGTGTCATCGCCCAAGCAAGCTGGGTCCATCACTGATTGGCTGGGCCCTGGCAGCCGGAAATGTCACCAGCCACACAGCGTGGAGCTGGCTCTCCCGCGGCCACCACAGACCTGAGCCCAGGAGGCTCTGTGACAAGGCACAGACCTACCACAGAGAGCCTGTCACTCTCTCCCTGGTCCAGCCCCTGCCCCCTGCTTCTCCATCTACCCAGCCCCCCGGGGAATAGGGGCTGCGAGGGGATGGTGAAGGAGTCTCAGTGACATTCCTATTTTCCCAGCATGTTTGAGAAGAAACTAAAGATGTCTCCAATCAGGTTTATAAATTTGGAGAACTTGTTTTTGACAAAAACATTCTGTCTTCACACTAAAAAAAAATCAGTAAGACTGGGTGAAAACAAGATGGTTTTTTTTTTTTTGTTTTGTTTTTTACCCCAGGAGAGTTTACTAGATGCTGCTGTTTATTTCCCATCTAACATCTCAGGCACCAAGGTATAATCATGTCACAGGGCTGTCCGATAATTCAGAAGGTGATTCGAGTCCATCCTCTTACCTTTAAAGAGAACAGCTCCAGAAAATGAGGCTTTGTAACTTGGCTTTGCAATGTATCATGATGCCACACAACTTTTTAAGGGTTAAATGATCTTTGTAGTGACCAACATGAATCACTTCAGCTGTAATTTAATCTTAGTCCCTCCTGCTGTATCTTCAGCAGGCTTAGTGTGACTCACCATTTAAGTCTCACCTTATTCTGTTCTCCTGAGTAAACTAAACTCTATCTCTCTGTCCTTTTCAGTAAAAGTTTTTCTCAACCCTTTAATTATGCTGCTTTAAAGAAAAAGCCTCCCAGAGTTACATGAGTCTGGAAGGTCATTTGGTCCATCTATCCATATGATGTGTCAGAACTCTCCACTATTTCCATACGGGGGCTTTTGGTTTGGGGAATGGTAAATTCACTGGCAATGCTGGGAACCAGGGAAAGATGCCATCAATAAAGCAGACATTTTGAATAATATGGGAAGATACAAAGTAGATGGGACATGGGAGGAAAAACTAATTAGTACTGATAAACTCATGATTCTGCAAAGACCCTGATATGGTTTGGCTGTGTCCCCACCCAAATCTCATCTTGAATTGTAGTTCCCATAATCCCCACATGTCATGGGAAGGACCTGGTGGGAGGTAATTGAATCATGGAGGCAGGTTTTTCTCATGCTGTTCTTGTGATAGTGAATAAGTCTCATGAGATCTGATGGTTTTATAAAGGGTAGTTCCCTTGCACACGCTCTCTTGCCTGCCACCATGTAAGATGTGCCTCTGCTCCTCCTTCACCTCTGCCATGATTGTGTGGCTTCTCCAGCCATGTGGAACTGTGAGTCCATTAAACCTCTTTTTCTTTATAAATTGCCTGGTCTCAGGTATGTCTTTATTAGCAGTGTGAGAACCGACTAATACAGACCCCTAAGAAGTAACTGTACAGGTTTCCAGAAAACAGTCTTGGAAAATCCCAAACTCAGAGAATCAGGATTGGAGGAGAATCATAGGCAGCAGTTTAAAGGCAAATTAAGGGACATCAGGAACATGGTCAGTTTCTCCACACAGAATGGCTGGACACAGAAATAGGTCCACAGCTTCTTTGGAAAGTGAGAGGTTTGTTCCAAATATAATAGAAGCCAAAGGTTGAATAGGGGCAGGATATCAGCTCCTTTTGAAATGCCACTGCTCTTCCCCAAAAAGTGCGCACACACACACACCACACACACACACACCACATGCACACAAAAGAGATTTAAAAAATCAGATAAAATATAAGATATAACAGAGAGATCCAGAATATCCAATCAATATTAGCCTAATAGGAGTTCCAGATGGAGGCATCATTAATGAAGAAGAAATCAATAATCAAGGAAATAACAGAAGAACATTTCCTTAACCTGAAGAAAGTCTTTAGGCCTTAGATCAAATGCTGTGCTAGGCAGCAGGACTACTGAAAGAATACACACTTCCAGATGTACTCTGATACTCCAAGAGCAAAGACAAACAATGACAAGCTTCCTCATAAAGGAGAAAAATCAGGTTGCTTAAAAGGAAAGAAAATCAGACTAATACCATACTTCTCATCTGTAACACTATGCTAAAAGACACTGGTATAATTTCTGTAGAATTCTAAGGGAACATTATTACAATTTAAGAATTCTACCAGCTGCCAAACTATAATTTCTCTTATGCAATGAAAAAGAAAGGTATGTTCAAAGACACAGAAATTATATCACCCAAACACCCTTTATTAAAAAAAATTTAAGGTTACTTGAAGATCTCTTCCAGCTGAGGAACAAATAAGGCAGGATAACAAATTCAAGAAAGGAGAAGATATGTTATATAAAAAATGTAATGAATAAAGCCAACAAAATATGTGGTCAAATATAAAAATAATTGAGAATATAGTTGTAAAATTTAATTGTTAGAAGTCTTGAAAGATAAGAGTATAAGTACATTTATTCCAGATTTGAATTCACATCTATATCTATCTCTTACATATATGTGTCTGGAATTAAACTTCCATATAATTATAACAAAAAAATAGAAAATCTCAATGGAAACAGGTAAAAATCACTAAAAAAGGAAGAAGGAAGGAGGGAGGGAAGGAAGGAAGGAAGGAAAGGAAGGAAGGGAAGAGAGAGATAAAGAAAAGGAAAGAAAGAGAGGATTGTTATGGCAGGCCAATAATTCCATCTGTTTCCTCTTCTTCCCAAGACCACATTAAAATGAAAATAAGGATTTTTTTTAGGTTGAAATAGATGATGACAAAACAAAAACAGTAAAAGAGTCATTGATCAAAAAAATTCACAAAGAATAATAAAGGAGGACAATTCATCAGTTAGAAATATATACTTTAATGCTACAGTAAACAAAATGGTATAGTACAAATAAAGAAGCCTACAAAGTGGATTGATGGAAGTCAAGAAACAAATTTAGCTATAATGGTTACTACATGGTAGTTAAGTAATAAAAACTGAATTTTAAATCAGTGGAGGAAAGAATGTGTTATTCAATAAATAGTGTTGGACTGTGGCTATGTATTTGAAAAAATATAAGTTTTACCTCTAACTGATATCTTGTTAAAAATATATTCTATTTTCATATAGGAAATTCTGCCATTTGTGAAAACACGGATAAACCTAGAGGACATTATGTTAAGTGAATTAAGCCAGGCACAGAGAAACAAATACTGTGTGAGCTTACTTATAAGTGGGATCTTAAAAAGTCAAACTCATAGGAGTAGAGAGTAGAATGGTGGTACCAGAGGCTGGAGGAGGTGGCGGGGGGAAGGGAAAGGAGCAACATTGGCCAATGGGAACAAAGTTTCAGTTATATAGGAGGAATAAGTTCTGGTGCCCTACTGTACAGCATGGTGACTACAGTTAATAATAATAATGTCCTGTATATTTCAAAATAGCTAAAAGAGAAGATTTTAAACGTTCTCACCACAAAGAAAGGGTAAATATGAGGTGATTAATATGCTAATTAGCCTGATTTGGTCATTCCATAATGTACACTATGCATATATTGATACATCACATTGTACCCATAAATATATACAAGTGTTATCTGTCAATTAAAAATAAAATAAGGCTTTAAAAATATTCTATTTTCACATACACAAAAATTCCACAAGGGAAAGATAGGTGTTATGATTGACCAATACTGTAAATCATAGAATTCTATGAAGTTTTTTTTTCTAATAGTGGAAAGAAAAGCATGTGGTCATCCAGTCTATGCTTAGATACCATTGTGATAGGCTAATTACTGGCCCCCAAAGATATCTACCCCCTAATCCCTAGAAACTGAATTTCACCTTATATGGCAAAAGATGTGACTACGTTAATGATCTTGAGATGAGGAGAGATCCTGGATTATCCAGGAGGGCCCTAAATGAAATCACAAGTATCCTTATAGGACTGACGTAGGAGACGGGCTAGAGGGCAACGTGACTACAGCGGCTGAGATTGGAGTGATGCAGCCACAAGCCAAGGAATGCCAGAGGCCACCAGGAGCAGAAAGAGGTAGGAATGGATTCTCCCCTGAGCCTCCGGAGGGAGCATAGCCCTATCAATACCTTGATTTTGGATTTCTGGCCTCTAAAACTGTAAGCAGAGAAATGGGTTATTTTAAATAACTGAGTTTGTGGTCATTTGTTATGGCAGCCATAGAAAACTACAACCACCATGATGAGAAACATAGTACTTCCTAGGGACTATCATTATTATTATTGCCAACAACAATACTTACTATGTACCTGGTGCTGCTAAATTATTTATATATCTTACCTCACAAGTCACATGCAAGGAGATGGTAGAGAGTTGGAGTTGTTACGGCCCTACCACTTAGTAGCAAAATGTCCTTGGGCAAGTTATATAACCTCCTAACACTGACTTTTTCTCATCTATTAAGTAGAGGTAAGAAAGGTACCTACCCACTGGGGTTGTTGACGATAAAGTGAGACCATCTATGTAGAGTGCTTAGAACAATGCCTGGGAATAAAGGTTCCATAAATGATAAGTGATCATGAGAATGTCCTTATGCAGCTGTAGTCTCTGTTCCAGAGCTTTTTCTCACTGATTTTTGTTCTTCTCTTTGGGTACATACAAAACAAGGGTATCTCCAAACCACCTGAATGTCCTTCAAATATCTGAAGCCATTGATCAGGTCATTAAGAGTCTGAGCTTCTCTAGGCTAAAAGTAACCAATGCCTCCAATCATTATTGTTCTTAGAAATTCACCTGGAGTCCCTTCCCTAACTTGGTCACCTCCCCTGAACACATTCTTGTGCATCATAAGATGTGACTCCAGACTCACCACCATGCTTGTTCTAGAACAGAGGTCTGCAAACTACAGCCCTTCGTGCAGGCTAATTTTTACAGCCCATAAGCCAAGAATGGATCTGACATTTTTAAAGGATTGTAAAAACAAAACAAAACAAACAAAAAACAGAAAAGAATGTATGACAGAGACTATACGTGGCTTGCAAAGCCTAAAATACAACTGACCCTGAACAACTCAGGGGTTGGGGCTCTGACTTTTCATGCAGTCAAAAATTCATGTATAACTTTTGACTCCCCCAAAACTTAACTGCTAATAGCCTATTGCTACTGGAAGCCTTAGTGATACCATAAACAGTCAACACATATTTTGTACATTATATGTATTATATATTGTATACTGACAAGTAAGCTAGAGCAAAGAAAATATTAAGAAAAATCATAAGAGAAAACATATTTAATGTTTATTAAGTGGAAGTGAATCATCATAAAGGTCTTCATCCTTGTGGTCTTCACATTGAGTAGGCTGAGGAGGAGGAAGAAGAGGAAGAGTTGGTCTTGGTATCTCAGGGGTGGCAGAGGCATAAGAAAATCTGCATATAGTGGACCCGTACAGTTCAAGCTCATGTTGTTCAAGGGTCAAGTGTATTCACTATCTGGTCCTTTCAGCAAAAGCTTGCCAACTCCTGTTCTGGCAGATACTGTTCTTTTATCAATGCAATAGAATATTGCCCAAAACTTTTTGGCAATCAAATTGCATGACTGTACATACTGTCTTAACTGTAAGGCTGCAAATGTTTCTGTCAGTATCTATTCCCCTCTCCCCTTCTTAGTAATAAAATTCTTAGCTAGGAACATGGCTACCCAGCCAAAGACTACATTTCCCAGCCTGTCTTATAGGAAGGTGTGGCCAGAAGAACAGGTTCTAGCCAATGGGATGTAAACAGATGTGAAATGTATAATTTCCCAGCCATACTCTTAAAGGGAAGGATCATGCTTCCCTTCCTTTTTCCTTTTGCCATTGGCTGAAATGTGGACCTGATAGCCATGTGGATGAGTGGTGCAGAGCAACGAGATAGAAGGATCCTATCCCTGGTGCTGCCATTTCACCCTATACTGTTTATTCTCAATCTGTGAGAGGGAAATAATTGTTTAGCTTATTGAAGTCATTGTTCTATTAGGTCTTTGTGACAGCAACTGTATCTGTGCCCTAAGCCATACAACTATCATTTTCAACTCCCTCGTACTTTTTATATTTGCAGCTACCAAGCCACACACCTCCCCTGACCTGCACTCACACAGTTAATTTCCTGGACCCCACTACAAGACCTTACATTTAGCCCTATTATGTTTCATATTATTCGAATCAGCCCATCATTTTGCCCTGACATCTGGGATCTAATTCTGTCACTCAAACTAGCTTCTATCCTTTGTAATTTCACATCATTCTTCAAAAGGCACTTTATTTGTGGCACTCAAGCTAAACACAGTGCTCATCAAAACACCTGATCAATATTAAGTATAATGCAGTGGGGAGGCTATGACCTCAGTTTGTAGGGGAAGGAAATAGCAGATCAAAATAAGGTCCAAATGAAGTAGAAGGAGGAAAGGAAGGAGATGAGCAGTTATGGAGAGCTTACTATGTTCCAGTCACTGTGCTGGGAACTTCCCCCATCGTGAAGTTTTAGTGCCTTAAGTACCCCTATTAGTGCCTTAAGTGGAATAGTCATAAATTTGTGAACAAAGAAAGGAATATTAAGAGAAATTTTTAAAGTATGTTAGCTAAAGTTTCTTGCAGCCTGAAGGTCCTACTTGAGGTTGTGTATCAAAAACCCTATGGAGTTTTAGGGAAAATATGGATGCTTCCAAGTTGCTACAGGAGGGTCTTGGCATATGTATATCTTTAAGGCTCCATGGCTAACTCTGACAACCCTGATAAGCCACTGTGAGTTTCAGCTTTCTAGCACACTAGAAAGTTTGAGGCAGAGACTCTGCTCAGCTACCAGCTCCTGGAGTCTGACTCAGCTTTCTGTCTCAGGCGAGGATGTAGCCTTGTCAGGCTGTTTGGGTTCAAGAACCAGGAGAGTCTGATGTTGGTAAGAATTCCCTTCTAGGAAGTATTAAGCAAAGTGATTGGAGTATTTCCCTGAGTCTTGTAAGCTTCTAGTACAAAAGGAGTGTGGTGTAGCACAAATGAGTTTCTCTGATCTGGTGAGATCCTCCTTTGGGTACCCATTTGACATCTCCCAATTGGGCACCCTTGGGAGCCACCCAATCCTGCACTGAGACAGGCCACCTGGCTCCTGGTCAGTTTGTGTACTCTGGCTAAACAAACTCTGTATGTGTGTTTTGGGGGTGGGGTGGAGTTCTCTTGTGGCAACCCATAGACTACCCAAAAATGCTGCAAGACAAACATACCAAAGTCATCAAAAAGTCATTAAAGTCATGACTAGAGAATAGTGAATAAACACCCCAAATCACATGTAATTTATTACATTCACCTAGGGTAAAAAACTTATGTGCCTTCAGGGCCAATCAAATAACGTAAGTGTGCAAAGTAGCTTGGCATAAGCAAAAGAGAACTGGAGTGTTCATGCCTCTCTACATATCTACCTTTTAAAAATGAAAAAGCTGAAAGCTGTGTAGCTAAAAACAATTGGAATCAGAAGATGGACCACCAGTTTGCAACCCTTCTCCCCGATAATCACAGTCCACAAAAGCAAGGAGAAAAAAAACTTCATACCTCTCTTAGAAGGATAAAAGAATTATCTTTTAAAAACGGCTTGTAGGCAGGGCACAGTGGCTCACGCCTATAGTCCCAGCACTTTGGGAGGCAGAGGTGGGCAGATCACGAAGTCAGGAGTTCAAGACTAGCCTGGCCAACATGGTGAAACCCCGTCTCTACTAAAGATACAAAAAATTAGCCAGGCGTGGTGACGTGTGCCTATAATCCCAGCTACTCGGGAGGCTGAGGCAGGAGAATCGCTTGAACCCAGGAGGCGGAGGTTGCAGTCAGCCGAGATTGCAGCATTACACTCCTGCCTGGGTGACAGGGCGAGACTCCATCTCAAAAAAAAAAAAAAAAAAAAGGCTTGTAAAAGCATGTATTGCTTTTTAAAGCAATTTTTAAGAAACAGTTAAATAATATCCCTAAAAATAGGATGTCTTTAAATGAGTTGGGTCAGATGACCCTATTACAGTAATTCTCAAATTATAGTCCAAAGACTACAGTGGGTTACAGGAGTGCCCAGGTGGTATGCAAAATGTTCTTCCACAAGTCTCACTCACAGTCTAAAGTGTCCCTTATAGCACAGAGGATTCTTCATTTATTTCTTTCAGGGCTACTTCATCAGATGCTCTCCCTACTTTTTTTCTTTTTATTTTGAAATAATTTTAGACTTATAGAGGAATTGTAAAGATTGTACAAGTTCCCATACACCCTTTACCCAGTTTTCACTAACAGAAACATCTTACATAACCATAGTACAATTATTAAAACTAGGAAATTGAGATTGGTACAATAGTATTAATTGACCTACAGAATTTTCTCTAATGTTACCAGTTTTTCCACTGATGTCCTTTTTCATTCCAGGATTCAATTCAGGATCCCACATTGCATTTAGTTGACATTTCTCCTTGGTCTCCTCTGTTCTGTGACTATTCCTCAGTCTTTCCTTGTCTTTCTTGCCCTTGACCCTTTTGAAGAGTACTTGGCAGGTATTTTGTAGACAGTCCCTCAATTTGGGTTTGTCTGATGTTTTTTCGTGATTAAACTGGGATTGTGGAGTTTTGGCAAGAATGCCACAGAAATGATGCACCCTTCTCAGTGCATCAAACTGGGGAAGGGAGACATGCTGTTAATATGTCTTACTGGCTGGGTGAGGTGGCTCACATCTGTAATCCCAGAACTTTGGGAGGCTGAGGCAGGAGGATTGCTTGAGCAACTTAGTGAGACCTCACATTATCCCTTGGTTAAGGTGGTATCTGCCAGGTTTCTCCAATATGAAATTACTATTTTTCCCTTTGCAATTGATAAATATTGGGAGTCTCAAATACTTTGAGACTATGCACACACCATGTTTCTCAAACTTATACCCATTAGTTTAACAGCTATCAGGTGAACTGTCTGCAGCAACTATGACTGCAGTGTTCTAGGGGTGATTTTCTATTTCCTCCACTTCTCTCTATTTATTCACTGGAATTCTTCTGGTAAGGAAAAACTGTCCTTTTTCCCCATCAAATAATCAGTGTATTCAACTTTTATTTTTATCAAAACAGACTCATGGATAGTTATTTTATTCCTTCAGTTATAACCCAATATATCCTTACTTATTTTTTTGACCTAAATTGTTCCAGCTTTGGCCAATAAGAGCTTTTTCAGGTTGGTTCCTGTACTCTGCATATTCCCATTGTTGTTGTTGTTGTTCAGCACTTTCTTACTTTCTAGCACCAGAAGATGCTCCAGGCTCATCTTGTAGTTTGCCTACCCAGTCCTGGAGCCTATGTTTCCAAGAAGTCCTGGCTCCTTTTATTAAATAATAGCATTTAGAGACCAAGATTGGGGAACCTGATGTGCTCACTGCTACTGGGATGTCAGTGCTTTTAGTGCTACAGTGCTACAGGCCATCTCAGTAGACAGAGCTAGGAAACATATGTATGTATATTTATCCATGAATACACACCTATATTTCCGTATCTATCAGTGTATATGTGTGAGTGTGTGTATATGTGTTTTTATATATATATATATATATATATATATGTTTAAACATGAGTTAATACTGATACCTCTGACTCTAATCAAACACCATGGATTCATTCCATCATTCTGCTTTGCTTATTAGTAACTTCTTTCTCAGACAGACACCTGCGTCTTATTATCAATAATATATTTGCTTATCTGTTCATTCCTAGTATATATGTAAAATAGTTTTAGAATGGTTAACACATACCCCTGTGAAGGACAAATTTATCATGTAGAGTACAGTGTCTGTGTACAGTTATTTTTGTCTTTAGCCTTACAGAATTCCAAAGTTACTTAGGTCAGCTCCCTTCTTCCTCATCATCTTCAATGAATTTATGTTATACACGTGCAATGCAGTTAGATTCATTTGTCATATTCTGCATTACATCTTAGGTTCCTCAGTATCCTGATTGATTTTGTTCTTAATTTGCACACGGCAAAATTTACACTTTATGGTGTACAGATCTATGGGTTTGACAAATACATAGAGTTTTGTGCCATATAAAGCAGTTCCATCAGCCACAAAGTTACCTCATGTTGCTCCCTTGCAGTCAACTCCAACCCAAACCCCAACCCCTGGCAATGCATTTTCCATAAATGTAGTTTTGTCTTTTCTAAAGTATCCTATGGAATAGTAAAATATGAACTTTTTGGGTCTGGATTCTTTCACTTCGCAAAATGGATTTAAGATTCATCCATGATGTTGCATGAATTAATACTTGTGCCTTTTTACAGATGAATAGTGTTCCATTTTATGGATATATCACTTCTGTTCGCCTGTTGAAGACCATCTCAGTTGTGTCCAGTTTGGGTGTTTATGTGTAGAGTTGTTACAAATATTCATGTATGGGTTTCTAAGTGAACACAAAATTTCAATAACTTGAGTAAATACCAAGGAGTGGGATTGCCGGGTCATATAATAAGTATATCTTTAATTTTATAAGAAACTGCCAAACTACTTCGCAAAGTGGTTGTACCATTGTGCATTCTTAACAAGAACATGAAAGAGTTCCAGAGGCTCTGCATCCTTGCCAGCACACACTTAGTGTTGTCAGGTTTGTTTTTTCTTAACTGTAGCTATTCTAATTGATATGCATGATAGTTCATTGTGGTTTTAACTTTGATTTCCCTAATTAAAAATAATGTTAAGTGTCTCTTCATATGCTTATTTGCCATCATATGCTTTCTTTGGTAAAACATATGTTCAAATATTTTGCCCATTTTTTATAGAGTTGTTTACTTTCTTGCTGAAGCTTGAAAGTTCTTTATATATTCTGGATACAAGTCCTTCATTACATATATGATTGCAAATATTTTCTCACAATCTGTGGCTTGTCTTTTTATTCCCTTAACATTGTCTTTCACAGAGCAAAATTTTTATTTCAAGTTCAATTCATTAATGTTTCTTTTATTGATTGTGCTTTTAATGTTGTATCTAAAAACTCTTTGCCAAACCAAAGGTCATATTTTCTCCTGTGATTTTTTTTCTAGATGTATTGTAGTTTCATCTTTTACATTTAGATCTATGATCTTTTTCTCAGTTGTTTTTTAAGGTGTGAGGTAAGTGTTGAGGTTCATTTTCTTTCTTGCATATAGATATCCAACTGTTCCAACACCATTTGTTGAAAAGACTATCATTTCTTCACCCTTGTCAAAAATGAGGTGATTATATTTGTGTGGGTCTACCTCTGGGCTCTCAACTCTGTTCCACTGATTATTGTATCTATCATTTTGTCAACACTACACTTCCTTGATTATTATAACTTTGTAACAAGTCTCAAAATTGGGTACTGTCTGAGTCCTCCAACTTTGTGCTTTTTCAGATTTGTTTTCATGGGGACAAACTGACATCTTCCAATCCATGAATACAGTATCTGTATTTATTTTACTGTTCTTTAATTGCTTTCACCAGGATTTTCTAGATTTTAGCATACCTATCCTGAATATTGTTTTTGTTAGATTTATATCTAAGAATTTGTGGGTTTCGGTGCTACTGAAAAGGCTATTGCTCTCTAAATTTCAAAGTCCATATGTTCATTGCTAGCATGAAGAAATACAATTGACTTTGTATCTTGCAACCTTACTAAACTCACTTATTAGTCCTAGAAACTTTTTAATGATCCTTCGGGTTTTTCTACAAAGACAATAAAGTTACACGTGAAAAGACATTGTTTCCTTTCTTCCTTTTAAATCTTTTTGCCTTTTTTTTTCTTGCCTTATTGTACTATAGGACTTTCCATATGAAGTCAGATAGGAGTCATAAGAGAGAACATCTTGCATTGTTTTTTATCTTAAGGGGAAAGTGTTTAGTTTTTCACCAGTAAGTGTGTTGCTAGCTATAGCCTTTTGTAGATGCCCTTTTTGAGGTTAAGAAAATTGCCTTCTATTCATAGTTTGCAGATAGTTTTAATCATGAATAGATGATTAATTTTTAAAGTGCTTTTTGTAAATCTATTGAAATAATCATCGTTTTTCTTTTCCTTGGTTCTGTAAATATATTTAATTTTAATTTCATTGGTTGATTTTTCCAGTGTTGAACTAGCCTTGCATTTTTTTGTTTTGTTTTTTTGTTTGTTTGTTTGTTTTTGGAAGGCTTTTAACTATAACTTCAATTTCCCTAGAAGATATGGGATTATTGAAGATATAATATTTCTTCTTGAATGAATTTTAGTATGTCTGTCCTTCGAGGAATTGATTCATTTCACCTAAGTTGTCAAATTTATGGGCACAGAGTTGTTTGTTGCACTACCTTATTATTCTTTTAATATCTGTAGGGTCAGCAGTGATGTCCCTTCTTTCATTTCTGATATTGATAATTTGTATCTTCTTTTTTCTTGGTCAGTCTGCCTAGAAGTTCACTAATTTTGCTGATCTTTCAAAGAACCAGCTTTTGGTTTGATTGATATATCCAAATTGCTTTTTTGTTTCAAATGTATTGATTTTTGCTCTTATTATGTTCTTCCTTCTGCTTGCACTAGTTTTAATTTGTTCTTCTTTATCTAGTTTTTTTCTTTTTAGGGTGGATGCTTACCTTACTGATTGAAGACCTTTCCTCTTTTGTAGTGTAAGCATTTAACTCTATAAATTTCCATCTATACACTACTTTAGCTTCATTTCCCAAATTGTGATATGTTGTAGTTCTTTTTCATTCAGTTCAAAACGCTTTTTTAATTGCCTTAAGACTTCCTCTGACATATGGTTTATTTAGATATGTGTTGTTTCATCTCCATACATTTGAAGATTTTCCACTTATATTTCTATTATTGATTTCTGGCTTAATTCCATTATAGTTCATGACCATGCTTTCTATGGTTTCTAGTCTTTTAAGGTTGTTAAGTTTGCTTTATGGCCCAGAACATAGTATCATTTGGAGAATGTTTCATGTGCACTTTAGAAAGAAGTGTTGTCATGTAAAGTATACTATAAATATCAACTGGGTCAAGTTGGTTGATAATGTTGCTCCAGTCATCTATATTTTTGATGATTTTCTTTCCATTTGTTCTATCATTTACTGAAAAAGGAGCACTGAAGTTTTCAACTGTAATTGTGAAACTATCTATTTCACTTTTTGATTCTATCAGCTTTTGCATCATGTATTTTGAAACTCTGTTGTTAGGTACGTACATGTTTAGCATTGTTATGTCTTCTTGGAAAATCAAGCCCTTTATAATTATTTGATGTTCCTTTTTATCCCAGATAATAATCATTGTTCTAAAAGTCTCACTTGTCTGATAGTAATATAAAGACTTCAGCTTTATTTTGATTAGTGTTTGCACAGCATATCTTTTTCTATTCTATTACTTTTAACCTATCTGTCTTTATAACTAAAGTGGGTTTCTTACAGAAAGTGTATAGCTGGTTCTTAATTTTTCATACAATCTGACAATCTCCATCTTTTAACTGGTATGTTTAGACCATTCACATTTAATGTGATTATAGATATGGTCAAATTAAAATCTATTTTGCTAGCTGTTTTTTTGTTCCTTCTGTTTTTTTCTTCTTTTCTTTTATTTTTCTGACTTCTCTCGTTAGCCTGGTTTGGGGGTGTGTGGAGGAAATGGTTTCTATTGTTCTGATTAAGCTGTAGTCTTAGGCAAGCACTATATCACTGAGTCCTGAAGCAGCAGCCTTCCCAGTGATCCCATCCCTCCCCTGCTTCACTTCTGAATCCAGAATGTATATCCATCCTTTCCCTAGGTGTTAAGATTTTTTTCCCTGTTCCCTTATCTCAGATGTAATGGGATTTCACCAGTATCCAAAGAGTGATAATGTTTGCTCCCTTCTACATACATGTCACACTAATTAAGGCTTTTGTTCATAGGGGAGGTAGGCAAGAAGGGTCCAGGTAGAATTTCTCACCCCTCTCACAGCAGTTTCTTTTCCTCTCCTCCAGCAATTCACTACAAGGGAGATTTTCTGTAGACTCTCCCAACCATTTTTGTGAACCTGTGATGGGGTTCATGGAGAAATGAGTCTAAGAAAGAAAGTGTGATCTCCTTTTATTTATTATCCCTAGGGCTTTGCCCGCTTCTACTAGAGTTCATTAAGCCAGATTCTGCATATTCAACAACCACCTTAGCTGAATTCATATAGGTATGTTTCTTGCTTAGGTAAGTCAGAGCTCATATCTCATTTCTCCCTGAAGATACCTATCTCTTCCTCGATTTTGGGCCTACTGGGTACCCAGCAACCTTAGGACTCCAGTGAGCTCAAGAAAAGTTGTGAACTTTCTATTCGTAAAGATTTTTTTTCACCATAAGTTTAGGAACAATCCTTCCCAGCTGTCTACATCTTTGAGAAGAAACTAGAAGTCTACCTTCTTATAGGTACTTTTGCATCTTTTGCAACAGCAAACAGAAGAAGGTACAGCAGTTGGTCAGGGTAATCACTATTCTCTTGGAAACTTGCTTAAAGAGCTTTAGGAATGACAGATGTTCCAAAAACACCTCTATCTGTTGTTTTTGAGAAATGTAAGATATACGGGGAAAATCCTATAGGAGTTAAGTAAAGTACAAATAATGTACCAATTTTTCAAAAAGTGGAGGGCAGAATCTGTATAAACTATCAGTCAGTTATAATTCAGGACAACTGTCTTGTTGAAAGCATCTACCAGCCTGCAATTGCCTGGCAAAGAATATGATGCCACATAGTAAACACCATGGATGGTGAAGAATAAAATAACTCTAGAGGCTTTCTAGTCCACTTAATTTCAGAATTGTTCATACATGTCACCATTTAGTGAGAAATATGACAGGCAACTAATTACTCAAAATTAGGCTAATGACAAAAACATTATACTTATGTTTTATTATTTATTCTAGTTTCCCCAAAGGTAAGTCTTGTCATTAATCATTAACTACTCCATATATTATTATTATTAAAAATGATAATGAAACAACTACAATTTAGTGACCACTCACTACTAGCCAAAGACTATGCTTAGCTAATAGCAAACATGTTCTCATTTCACCTTCACAACAACTCAGTGAGAGAAGTGGGACTCAGAGGGACTAAGAAACTCGTCAAATCCACAGAATTAACATATGTTAGAACTAGAATTAATTCCCAGGTCAGATTTTAAAGTCCTTACTTTTAACTTCTGAGTCAGACTATCCCAGATGATGTTAATTATTTCCTGTGGCCCATTGAGTATTTCCTGCTGTCATTTACAATGCTGGAAAAGGTCCATCCTTGCATAAGAACACAAAAGCATCAGAAATGCCTTATTAGCTGAGTCCAGTTGTCCAGCCACAAGGGCATTCAGTTTCAGAATGGCAACAAGGGACTATTTGTTGAGTGAACATGACAACTGACCTTTCTGAGATTGGTTTGCAAAGAGGGCATAACTGTCCTCCATGTTTTTTAAATGTCTCTCTCACTCTCTCTCTGTATACATATATATGTATGTAAATATGTGTGTTTGTGTAAAATATTCTTTTCTTTCCTGTAATCCTGTATTATCTAGCAATTTAGTCTTCTTGAAATTATATATATATTTATATTATATATTATATATATTTTATATATATAATATATATAAAATAAACTACAACTAACTCTAAGAATAAAGAGCCCTCTATAAGATTTCTACCATCTCTAATGAGGAAACATAATGTGATATTCTAAGATCATCTTAGATACCTGGAGCATAGCAACAGCACAGCAATGAGTTTCAAAGACAACAATGTGAACAGCTACCACTAAATCTTCAGTTAGGGGAGTCGAGCTATACTCAAGTATATTTCACCTAACCTAAACAAACCTGTGTAAAATAAGATAGCAGACTACATAGGAAAGACAGTAACAAGCAATGGCAATTGCCTGCAAGTAAAAAGGAAGAGTGCTACAAAGAACAAGGAGAAGTAGTCAATTCAGGGAAATTCAGTTCAAGGGTAAATGTAAATCACCCTCTGTAACCCCAAGATGGAGGGTCACCTGCCAGAATCTCTGAACTATAATACAAAGCAGTAACTAATGCTTCCCAACCTATTGCAAGTCAAGATGCACACAGAAAATCAATCTATTCAGATGACTCATGTGCGAGTCAAGATGCACACAGAAAATGAATCTATTCAGATGACTCAGCAAGAGGCAACTGATCCAGGGGCTTCTGTCACCCCTCAAGCCCGGCCTGGCTTCCCTGAGAGGTGGAGATGGAGGGATCATATTTCCACACACCTGTAATCCATTCACAACACACCACTGAGCTTTTGTCCACCAGGTGGAAAGCTCTGCAATAACTTGTGTCAACAAGAAGTAGTTCCATTATGTTTGGTCTACTCCACTTAAGAAGGTGGGAAAATATAAAATATCACAGAGTAATATTTCCATCAAAAGTAGTTAAATGTTAAAACATTTTGATGCTTAGAGGGCAAGCTTCAGTTAGAAAAATTAACTCTTGGAATGCCTCATTTCCTGATGATGCACAAATACAAAGTGTGACTACTCTGTCTTTTATTGGGGTTCAAGGTATATCTATCAAATCATTCTGTTATCTCAAGGTATTTGTGGAGTCTGAATTAACCATATCAGTACCCATGATGGTTTTAAAGTATTATTATACTGGATGACCATATGCTCTTATGATGGGACACACTGGAGGTAAAGGGATTTCTATTAATAATTACACTATAATCACTGGTATAAGCCAGGGCTGTCCTAGGAAAACCATTTGGTCACCCCAGTATTAGATCATTCTCCCTATTTGGTCCTAACCTTTTTACAACAAAGAAAGCTATGTTTATATTCTTCATTAAAATCATAAATAAAAATAAAACAGTGCATGCTAGTAGCAATAAACTAAAAACTGAAATTTATAAAACAGAAAATAAAAGTGGTACCATTTATAATACCTGGAATCATTCTTTCCAGAGA
This sequence comes from Homo sapiens, assembly GCF_000001405.40. Taxonomy (NCBI): domain Eukaryota; kingdom Metazoa; phylum Chordata; class Mammalia; order Primates; family Hominidae; genus Homo; species Homo sapiens. Next base: position 41,937,110 of record NC_000001.11, read on the forward strand.
TAACCTCCATTAACAGTCTTCTTTCCAGTCCTCTTTATGTGGGGAGAACTGATCCCCCAACATTATTATCCAAAGTCAGACAAATGGATACTGGGTGGCCAAAAATAATAAATATATATTCTATACACAGAGTTCACATGGAGCCTACCCCTCTCCTGCAGTCCTGGGGTACAGCATGCAATTTGGTTCTAAACTGCTGGGCACAACACTTTCTTCCTGGTCATGATGTTGGTTCAAGGTGGTCACAGGACTCTTTTAGAGCCAGTGAGACACAAAGAAACTTTTGCTCAGACTTCTAGGAAGACAATCTAGGTACTTATCAAATTGAAACTGAGAGGATCGAAGGCCTTGACCTGCACTATCCAAAATGGTAGCCACTAGCCATATGTAGCTATTGAACACTTGAAATGTGACCAGTACAGAAATGTGATGTAAGTACAAAAGGCACACTGCATCTCAAAGACTCAGAAGGAAAAAGGAATGTAAAATATCTCACCAATAATTTTTATTTTGATTACATGTTGAAGTGATGATGCATATGGCTCATATTTTCTCTCTAGTGGACAATGCCAGTCTAAAACATTGAACCATTGGTACAGCCAGGCCTGAGGGTATCCCTGGTCATGGACTTTTCAGATATGTCAACTAATAATATCTATTTTGCTTAAGAAAGTTCTGATTGGACATTCTAGCACTTGCAACTGAGAATCCTAACTGGTGCATTGTATATGTAGAGTCATGCCATACATTCAAGACTGAACAACCAATCATGAGCACTTGTTCATGCCAGCACCTTAAGAGTAGTGTGCCCAGATCTGCACAAAGTATTCTATATGTGGACAAATCAACCATTGTTTTTATCTGTTAACACCACTGTATGTGTCTGGGGTGTGTCACCAGCTTTCTTTAAGGTCTTCCAGTGCCAAAGTCTTCTTCTCCTGGCCTTTGCACATACTTTACTTTCTGCATGGAACACGCTTTCCTCTCTTTCACTTGCCTGGTTCCCTCTCATTACTCAGGACGCAATTTAAATGCCATCTCCTCAGAGCTGAGTTTCCTGACCACTCTATTTTGAGTAGGTCACCCCTGATATTGTCTCTCATAGCACCACATCTCCCCTATATGGCATGGACCAAAATATGTATTAACCTCTGTAGAAGGCTGTTTAACATCTACCTTCTCCTTCCCCACCATACCATACCGTGCATCAATGCAGAAGCCATGTATATGTGGTTCACCCATTTGTCCCCAGCACCTGGAACAGTAACTAACACATAGTAAATGCTCAATCAACATCTACTGAATGCCAGGAATGAGTGTTAATGAGTCCAGGAGAAGGAGGAAGGTCAGGGGAAGATGAAGTAATGGGGGAAGGGAACTAAGATAATTCAGTGTAACCAAACCACTGATGAATGTTGATTAATGCCATCTAGAACACTCAAAAAGAAAGTAAGGATGAGAACTGACAGAGGAAGAGCAAGTCCAGAATGGAAGGATTTGAGCAGTTAGTGGCTGCCTGGACCTTCCTCCAGGCATAAAAGCAAATGGTCAGAGATACAAATGATGAAGCCTGCAGTTCAAATGCATTTCTGAACTCCACACAATGAAAATTATGCTGAGATTTTGCTTTCTGTTAGTGACAATCTGGTTCTTAGTCTCATTCTCATAACCTAAATACAAAACTATGGGGGAATCTGAGTCCTACTCTAGGAATTTTCATCAGACTCTGCTCAAAGGCAAGATCACATTCTTTGACTTCTGCATTGTGGAGCTTCTCATGAGGCTGATTGAAATGCTGCTGTTCATATCAAAGCCAGCCTTTCTGGACTTCATCGAATATCTAGATCCCTTCTATTTTCCTCTTCACATTCTTGTTCTCACACATGATCTTTGCCACTACCCTGCTTGCTTACCTCAGCTTACCTTATACCTCGGAGGCAGCAGTAACGGTTTTTACTAAAACCCTTTAGGATTGATAGATGATAGCCTCTAATTATTTCTCTGGAGATAAGGCCTCTCTTTAAATGAGAATGGCTCTTCTTTTTGTTTTATTGTGATATATATTTTTAATTCATTTATTTTATAATGGAAAGTTGATCAATACAAAATAATTCATAAACCAAGCACCCAATTTAAGATCTAGCATTTTATTTTGGAAGCCCTCTGTGTGTCCCTCTTTGGTTTCATTTCATTTTTTAAAGAATGAAAACCACTTTGTTAGTGAACTCCAGAATTTGGGAATAAAGGGGTTAGAACCTTAGAATTTAAAGATGTGGTGCTGTCCACCAGGCAGGTGCTGACGAGTCTCCGGAAAGGTGGGAGAGCCACCGCAGTCTCTCAGAGGAAAGAAGAAAGTGCTTAGTCCTTTTTCTTTTTATTTTTCCTTCTCCCACTTTGATCTCTCTTCTTTCTTCCTTTTTAAGAATTACTACACCTCTTCTCTTTGCTGGTAAGACGAGGGAAGTCAACAGAGCTCCACGATTCTGTCTCCTTCTTTTTCTAACAGATGGTTTCCATTAGGGCTTACCAGGTATTTTCTCTGAACAGAATCAAACATGCATTGAAAAAGTAAACATCAGGATCATAGAACTAGCAGCCCTTTATTTATTACATAAATACAAAGATTTTATAGCTGGAAAAGAACTTAGAGATAACTAAATCCAATCTTCTTGTTTCAGACCTAAGAAAACCAAGACTCAGTACTTGCCTGAGTTATTAAGGTTATTAAGCTAAATATATGTCTTCCCTCTCCAAATCATTGTTTTTATTTCCCATTTTTCTTTTTTTCTTTTTCTTTATTTTTTATTTCCCATTTTTCAATTCTCATTATTAATATATTTTCATTATTGATAATTTGATCACATTATTGATTATTTTACTTTAGTCTGAGGCACCTAGCCTTAGGCTATTAGTATTTTCATTTAGCAATATTAATTACAAAATGATTTTTGAATGATACCTAAAAGATACCTCACATTAATGTAAAATACTTTGTTTTATTCTTAACAGCATTTATCTCAGAAGTCACTAAATATTCAATCATATTTTTCTGATACCCTGACATTCTCTGCCTCATATTTCTACTTCTAATGAAATATACAATTGAGCTGAATTTTAAAAAATATAGGTACTTCAGAATATTCCTAAATGATGAGTGAGTCATTAAGTTATTTGTCATATCAGAAATCTACAGATTGCTAACATTCAATTAGTTAACCAAAAACCCCAAATGCCCACTAGGTGCCCAACACTGTGCCAGGCATTTTTCTTATGCACCCTCTTTAAAGTGAAAATGTTTGAATTTCAGATTTTCAAGAATATTTGCATGTATATATGTATTTGCTTATTTATTTTATGCAATAAATTTTATTTCTGTTATTCTCAAGGCACTGTGCTAGGCACTGTTGGAGGTGAAATGAACTCTTAAGAGAACATACTATCAAGAAAGAGACAAAAATGTTTACATAAATATCTACAATATGTGGCTTAGGAGAGTGATCCCAAACACAAATGACCACAGAGGCCAGGTAGTCAATGTAAATGCAAGAAACACGTTGTGTATACGGCAACAGGGAATGGGAAAGTTATGGGGAGCTATAAAATGAATGTTGCCTCTAAAGAAAAAAATTGAGAATGAAAGGAGAGAAGATTTGAGAAGGTGGGGGAAGTGAGAGGGCACAAGTATAACAGGAGAGCATGAAGAGAGAGGATAAAGAGAGAAGCTGGTAAAGACAGAGGAGAGAGAGGGGGAGGACAGGCGGAAAGGGAAGGAGGGAGGGAGCGGGGGAGAGAGAGAGACAGAGAGAAAGAGAGAAAACATCAACACTAAAAGGTCAGGTAGAAGAGGAAAACCAGCAGAGTATGGTGTCCCAAAAACCACAAGAGGGAACTTTTCAAAATGGTCAAATGTGTCAAATTTTGCTGAAAGTATCTATTGGATTTGACATCACTGAGGTCACTGACAACCTTGACAAGAACAGTTTCCATGGTGTGGTGAGTTAGAGGCCAGGCTGAAACATGCTGAAAAGTGGATGGAAGGCAGACAGCAGGAAGGCAACCCTTTCAAGAAGTTTTACTGTGAAGGGAAGCAAAGGAATGGGGCAGTGGGTAGAGTAGGGCAAGCAGTCAAGGAAGAGGTGGTTTTTAAAAAGACAGTTGATGTCGTCAGGTTTGTCTACTAATGGGAATGATCCAGAAAAGCGGGAGCCATTGATGGCACTGGAAGACGATGGCCAAGGAGCCGATCCTAGAGAAAGGGAATAGAATCCAGGCACACATAGGAAGAGTGGTCTATGATCTAAGGAGGGACAGACACTTCTTCCATCACACTACAGAGAAGAAGGAAAGGGGGTGTAAATGCCTGCATGGTGATAAATTTGGTGGTGGAAGTATGAGGGAATTCCCATCTGATGGCTTCAATTTTCTACATAAAATAGGGAAGGACATGGCTTGAGAATAAGCAGGGAGGGTAAGTGAAATTTGCAGAAGGGGAAAAAGTGTGAAGTAATAACCTTGGGATTGTGAAAGCAGGCCCACTAGAGAAACACAGTAGAAAATACAGAGCACCCGGTTATGATCTGGAATTATAAATTTAAGGCACAACCAGACAACTTTTTATTTTGTCCAGCAAAGTCCAGCTGATCAAAAGGGCATGAAGAAGCCATGAATTGCCCACACATCTTGAGAAAACACCGTTTCTAAGCCATAGATCAGGGCTGGGGCCTGAACTTCTGCACTTCTAACAAGCTCACAGGTATCTCCCTGCTACTGGATCGCTGGATCACACTTTCAGTGGCAAGTGTAATCCGCCAATTTCCTTTGTCATTCTTTTCTCAAGTATTTCAGTAGGGGACACAGGAGATCTGTCACCTCTAAGTCTGAAAAAATAATATTAATAATAAAAATTAAAACCTCAAAAATAATAGAAAAAGGGAGGAAGGACATGGAGAAAGAAGATGATTTGGTTTATCCAACTGTGGCTGTATTAGAAATATATTTTCTTGCCCTTCTTCTTATCTACATTTCCAGCTTTGGCAGTCTCATGCAGTCTCACAACTTCAACCACCATCTTTATGTGGATGTACGATGTCTTTCTTAGATCCAAAGGCACAATTAACACATCCATATGGGTGTCCCATGAGCAACTCAAATGATAACTTGTCACCTATATTTGCTCTCCTTGATCTTTTCATCCTTTTACTCTTCTCATTCTCACTGGCCTCCACATTTAAAGTTGTTAAGGCCTACTGATTTATCCCTAAAATATCAGTAGTTTCTATGGATGCAAATTAGAACTACACTAACACATCATTTCCCCTTGTCAGATATGCAAGAATCCAAAAGTTTGATGACATACCCTACTGGCATGACTGTGAAGAGTCAGAGACTTGCATGCATTGTTAGCAAGAATGCAGAGTGGTATAACCCCTATGGAACTTTTTTGCAATGTATGGCCAAATTACCTAAGCCTTGATCCTTTAAGTTAGGAATCTATCCCAAAGACACACTAGCAATATGTAAAATGATACATGCACAAAGCTATTTGTCAAAACACAATTTGTAATAGTAAATAAATGAAAACAACCCCCAAATGTTCATGAATTAGGGACTAGTTGCATTCATAAAACTGAGAATTATATGAATAATTCTCAGACACAGAAAGGAGTGAGGAAAATCTCTATATATTGCTATGAAGGAATGTAAGTGAAAATACAAAATTCAGAAGAATGAACATAATATGCTACTTTTTAATATAAACAGGAAGATATATACATATTTGTTTATATTTTCTTTTTTTTTTCTTTTTTTGAGACGGAGTTTCGCTCTGTCGCCCAGGCTGGAGTGCAGTGGCATGAACTTGGCTCACTGCAAGCTCGGCCTCCCGGGTTCACACCATTCTCCTGCCTCAGCCTCCCAAGTAGCTGGGACTACAGGCGCCCGCCATCACGCCCAGCTAATTTTTTATTTTTTTTATTTTTTAGTAGAGACGGGTTTCACCATGTTAGCCAGGATGGTCTTGATCTCCTGACCTCGTGATCCACCTGCCTCGGCCTCCCAAAGTGCTGGGATTACAGGCATGAGCCACCACGCCCAGCCACATATTTGCTTATATTCTCAAAAAGAAGAAATGGAAAGATAAACCAAAAATTAATAAAATGGGTTACCTATAGGAGAAAGGAAAGAACAATGGGAAGAGGATTTAGGTGGAAGCTGGATCTCTTTGAATGTATCATATTTTATAGTTTTAAGTTCAAAATCATGTAAATGTTTTGCATAATTTTAAAAAATTAAATAGAAAAGAAACAAAGTAATCTATAAAAATCAAAACAATCTGAAATACTCAGTGGCTTCCCACTACCTACCTTGACTCCAAATTCCTGAGCCTGAATTCAATGATCTCTTTAGTCTGCCCAGCCAAATATTCCCACTTCACTTTCTGAGGCCCCCTTCTCCATCTTCTCTACACACAGACAAACTATTAACATTATCTGTGTGCCTAATTTATTTTGCCAGCTAGACCATACTTCTTTGAGAATGGAATCTAGTTCTGATTTATTTTTGAAACCTAAAATTCTCAGTGTCTAGAGTTATTACCAGAACATAAATTAGTACGGTTATGGCATCTGAAAGTTATTGGCAGGAAATTTTATGTTTATTCTGAAGAATTCAAGGAAGCCATAGCTTTTTGATAATATGTAAAATATCTGGCTAAAGAGTAACTTTCTAGTTACAAAACAGAAAAAATAATTGAAGCAATCTGATATCCATCAGCAGATGAATGGATAAATAAAATGTGGTATATCCATACAATGGAATATTATTCAGCCTTAAAAAGGAAGGAAATTCTGACACATGCTACTACACAGATGAACCTTAAAGACAGTGTGCTGAGTTAAATAAGTCAGTCACAAAATAACAAATACTGAATGATTCCACTTATATGAGGTACTTAGAGTAATAAAATTCATAGAGACAGAAAGTGGAATGATGGTTGCCAGGGACTGGGCAGGAGGTGAGAGGAAGTAGGAGTTATTGTTTGATAAGTCCAGTTTTAATTTTGTAAGATATAAAATGTTCTGGAGAAGGATAGTACCAGGTTGCACAATATGAAGGTGTTAAATGCCGCTGAACTGTATGCTTAACAATGGTTAAAATGGTAAATTTTGTTATGTGTATTTTGTCACAATTAAAAACAATTTTAACAAGGAAAACAAGACATTTGGGAATATCTTTTAATATTGGCTCCTTTTATTAATGTAACAAAGTTTTAACCAAGGCTATCCTCTCCAGAGCCATTAAGGATCACCTAGGGAAGAGACGGCTTTTTGCTTAGAACATGGTACCATGTTACCTACACTCTCTCTGAAACGAATTTGCATAAGAACTGTTGTTTATGGGAATGCATCTTGACGGGGCAGCTGGGTTGCTATGAAATACTCAGGAACCCAGCCCAGCTCTAGGACTCACCCCTGAGCACAAACGCAATGTTGGACACACTGGTAAAGGACCACTGGAATCCAGCAGCCCGGATCCCTTTCTTTGTGGTCAAGAAAGGCAGGAAAAGGGATGCAGGACTGCTACATCAGTGAGCATCACTAATCCGATAAGCAGAGGTCCATGGGTGGTGATGCACCCTGGAAAGGAAAAAGCATTAGGACCATAGAGGACGCTCTAGGACTAATGCTCATCGGAAAATGACTAGGGGTGCTGGCATCCCTGTGTTCTTTTTTCAGATGGGAAACATTCCCCCCAAGGCAAAAACACCCTGAAGATATATTCTGGAGAACTGGGGCCAATTTGACCCTCAGACGCTAAGAAAGAAACGATTTATATTCCTCTGCAGTACTGCCTGGCCACAATATCCTCTTCAAGGGGGAGAAACCTGACCTCCTGAGAGAAGTATAAATTATAACCCCATCTTACAGCTAGACCTCTTTTGTAGAAAAGAAGGTAAATGGAGTGAAGTGCTATATGTACAAACTTTCTTTTCATTAAGAGACAACTCACAATTATGTAAAAAGTGTGATTTATGCCCTACAGGAAGCCTTCAGAGTCTACCTCCCTACCTCAGCATCCCCCTGACTCCTTCCCCAACTAATAAGGACCCCGCCTTCAACCCAAACGGTACAAAAGGAGATAGACAAAGGGGTAAACAATGAACCAAAGAGTGCCAATAGTCTCCAATTATGCCCCCTCCAAGCTGTGGGAGGAGGAGAATTTGGCCCAGCAGAGTGCATGTACCTTTTTCTCTCTCAGACTTAAAGCAAATTAAAATAGACCTAGGTAAATTCTCAGATAACCCTGATGGCTATATTGATGTTTTACAAGGGTTAGGACAATCCTTTGATCTGACATGGAGAGATATAATGTTACTGCTAAATCAGACACTAACCTCAAATGAGAGAAGTGCCGCCATAACTGCAGGCCGAGAGTTTGGTGATCTCTGGTATCTCAGTCAGGTCAATGATAGGATGACAACAGAGGAAAGAGAACGATTCCCCTCAGGCCAGCGGGCAGTTCCCAGTGTAGACCCTCACTGGGACACAGAATCAGAACATGGAGATTGGTGCCGCAGACATTTGCTAACTTGCATGCTAGAAGGACTAAAGAAAACTAGGAAGAAGCCCATGAATTATTCAATGATGTCCACTATAATACATGGAAAGGAAGAAAATCCTACCGCCTTTCTGGAGAGACTAAGGGAGGCATTGAGGAAGCATAGCTCTCTGTCACCTGACTCTACTGAAGGCCAACTAATCTTAAAGGATAAGTTTATCACTCAGTCAGCTGCAGACATTAGAAAAAAACTTCAAAAGTCTGCCTTAGGCCCAGAGCAAAACTTAGAAACCCTACTGAACTTGGCAACCTCAGATTTTTACAATAGAGGTCAGGAGAAGCAGGCGGAACGGGACAAACGGGATTAAAAAAAGGCCACCGCTTTAGTCATGGCCCTCAGGCAAGTGGACTTTGGAGGCTCTGGAAACGGGAAAAGCTGGGCAAATTGAATGCCTAATAGGGCTTGCTTCCAGTGCAGTCTACAAGGACGCTTTAGAAAAGATTGTCCAAGTAGAAATAAGCCGCCCCTCGTCCATGCCCCTTATGTCAAGGGAATCACTGGAAGGCCTACTGCCCCAGGGGACGAAGGTCCTCTGAGTCAGAAGCCACTAACCTGATGATCCAGCAGCAGGACTGAGGGTGCCCGGGGCAAGTGCCAGCCCATGCCATCACCCTCAGAGCCCCGGGTATGTTTGACCATTGAGAGCCAGGAAGTTAACTGTCTCCTGGACACTGGCGCAGCCTTCTCAGTCTTACTTTCCTGTCCCAGACAATTGTCCTCCAGATCTGTCACTATCCGAGGGGGTCCTAGGACAGCCAGTCACTACATACTTCTCTCAGCCACTAAGTTGTGACTGGGGAACTTTACTCTTTTCACATGCTTTTCTAATTATGCCTGAAAGCCCCACTCGCTTGTTAGGGAGAGACATTCTAGCAAAAGCAGGGGCCATTATACACCTGAACATAGGAAAAGGAACACCCATTTGCTGTCCCCTGCTTGAGGAAGGAATTAATCCTGAAGTCTGGGCAATAGAAGGACAATATGGACAAGCAAAGAATGCCCGTCCTGTTCAAGTTAAACTAAAGGATTCTGCCTCCTTTCCCTACCAAAGGAAGTACCCTCTTAGACCCGAGGCCCTACAAGGACTCAAAAGATTGTTAAGGACCTAAAAGCCCAAGGCCTAGTAAAACCATGCAGTAGCCCCTGCAATACTCCAATTTTAGGAGTACAGAAACCCAACGGACAGTGGAGGCTAGTACAAGATCTCAGGATTATCAATGAGGCCGTTGTTCCTCTATACCCAGCTGTACCTAACCCTTATACTGTGCTTTCCCAAATACCAGAGGAAACAGAGTGGTTTACAGTCCTGGACTTTAAAGATGCCTTTTTCTGCATCCCTGTACTTCTTGTTTGCCTTTGAAGATCCTTCAAACCCAACATCTCAACTCACCTGGATTGTTTTACCCCAAGGGTTCAGGGATAGACCCCATCTATTTGGCCAGGAATTAGCCCAAGACTTGAGCCAGTTCTCATACCTGGACACTCTTGTCCTTCGGTATGTGGATGATTTACTTTTAGCCACCCGTTCAGAAACCTTGTGCCATCAAGCCACCCAAGCGCTCTTTAATTTCCTCGCCACCTGTGGCTACAAGGTTTCCAAACCAAAGGCTCAGCTCTGCTCACAACAGGTTAAATACTTCGGGCTAAAATTATCCAAAGACACCAGGGCCCTCAGTGAGGACTGTATCCAGCCCATACTGGCTTATCCTCATCCCAAAACCCTAAAGCAACTAAGAGCATTCCTTGGCATAACAGGCTTCTGCCGAATATGGATTCCCAGGTATGGCAAAATAGCCAGGCCATTACATACACTAATTAAGGAAACTCAGAAAGCCAATACCCATTTAGTAAGATGAACACTTGAAGCAGAAGTGGCTTTCTAGGTCCTAAAGAAGGCCCTAACCCAAGCCCCAGTGTTAAGCTTGCTAATGGGGCAAGACTTTTCTTTATATGTCACAGGAAAAACAGAAATAGCTCTAGGAGTCCTTACACAGGTCCGAGGGACGAGCTTGCAACCCATGGCATACCTGAGTAAGGAAACTGATGTAGTGGCAAAGGGTTGGCCTCATTGTTTATGGGTAGTGATGGCAGTAGCAGTCTTAGTATCTGAAGCAGTTAAAATAATACAGGGAAGAGATCTTACTGTGTGGACATCTCATGATGTGAATGGCATACTCACTGCTAAAGAAGACTTGTGGCTGTCAGACAACTGTTTGCTTAAATATCAGGCTCTATTACTTGAAAGGCCAGTGCCGCGACTGCGCACTTGTGCAACTCTTAACCCAGCCACATTTCTTCCAGACAATGAAGAAAGGAAAGAACATAACTGTCCACAAGTAATTGCTCAAACCTATGCTGATTGAGGGGACTTTTTAGAGGTCTCCTTGACTGATCCCAACCTCAACTTGTATACTGATGGAAGTTCCTTCGTAGAAAAAGGACTTCGAAAAGCAGGGTATGCAGTGGTCAGTGATAATGGAATACTTGAAAGTAATCTCCTCACTCCAGGAACTAGTGCTCAGCTGGCAGAACTAATAGCCCTCACTCGGGCACTAGAATTAGGAGAAGGAAAAAGGGTAAATATATATACAGACTGTAAGTATGCTCACCTAGTCCTCCATGCCCACGCAGCAATATGGAGAGAAAGGGAATTCCTACCTTCCGAGGGAACACCTATCAAACATCAGGAAGCCATTAGGAGATTATTGTCAGCTGTACAGAAACCTAAAGAGGTGGCAGTCTTACACTGCCAGAGTCATCAGAAAGAAAAGGAAAGGGAAATAGAAAGGAACTGCCAAGCGGATATTGAAGCCAAAGAGCCGCAAGGCAGGACCCTCCATTAGAAATGCTTATAGAAGGACCCCTAGTATGGGGTAATCCCCTCCAGGAAACCAAGTCCCAGTACTCAGAAGAAGAAATGGAATGGAGAACCTCACGAGGACATAGTTTCCTCCCCTCAGAATGGCTAACCACCAAAGAAGGAAAAATACTTTTGCCAGCAGCTAACCAGTGGAAATTACTTAAAACCCTTCACCAAACCTTTCCCTTAGGCATTGATAGCACCCATCAGATGGCCAAATCATTATTTACTGGACCAGGCCTTTTCAAAACTATCAAGCAGATAGTCAGGGCCTGTAAAGTGTGCCAAAAAACCCCCTGCACTTCAGGCCATACATTTCAATCCCTGTACCTGAACAATGGAACAACTTCAGCCCAGAAATAAACACCACTTCTGTTTTAGTAGGACCTCTTGTTTCCAATCTGGAAATAACCCATACCTCAAACCTCACCTGTGTAAAATTTAGCAATACTATAGACACAACCAACTCCTAATGCATCAGGTGGGTAACTCCTCCCACACAAATAGTCTGTCTACCCACAGGAATATTTTTTGTCTGTGACCTCAGCCTATCGTTGTTTGAATGGCTCTTCAGAATCTATGTGCTTCCTCTCATTCTTAGTGCCCCCTATGACCATCTACACTGAGCAAGATTTATACAATTATGTTGTACCTAAGCCCCGAAACAAAAGAGTACCCATTCTTCCTTTTGTTATCGGAGCAGGAGTGCTAGGCGGACTAGGTACTCGCATTGGCGGTATCACAACCCCTACTCAGTTCTACAAACTATTTCAAGAACTAAATGGTGACATGGAATGGGTCACTGACTTCCTGGTCACCTTGCAAGACCAACTTAACTCCCTAGCAACAGTAGTCCTTCAAAATCGAAGAGCTTTAGACTTTAGGCTAATCGCCAAAAGAGGGGGAACCTGTTTATTTTTAGGGGAAGAATGCTGTTATTATGTTAATCAATCCAGAATCGTCACCGAGAAAGTTAAAGAAATTCGAGATTGCATACAACATAGAGCAGAGGAGCTTCAAAACACTGGACCCTGGGGCCTCCTCAGCCAATGGATGCCCTGGATTCTCCCCTTCTTAGGACCTCTAGCAGCTATAATATTGTTACTCCTCTTTGGACCCTGTATCTTTAACCTCCTTGTTAAGCTTGTCTCTTCCAGAATCGAAGCTGTGAAGCTACAAATCATTCTTCAAATGGAGCCCCAGAGGCAGTCCATAACTAAAATCTACCGTGGATCCCTGGACCAGCCTGCTAGCCCATGCTCTGATGTTGATGACATTGAAGGCACCCCTCCTGAGGAAATCTCAACTGCATGACCCCTACTATGCCCCAGTTCAGCAGGAAGCAGTTAGAGCGGTCATCGGCCAACCTCTCAACAGGGTTTTCCTGTTGAGAGAGGGTACTGAGAGACAGGACTACCTGGATTTCCTAGGCTGACTAAGAATCCCTAAGCCTAGCTAGGAAGGTGACCGCATCCACCTTTAAACACGGGGCTTGCAACTTAGCTCACACCCGACCAATCAGGTAGTAAAGAGAGCTCACTAAAATGCTAATTAGGCAAAAACAGGAGGTAAAGAAAGCTAGTCATCTATCGTCTGAGAGCATAATGGAAGGGACAATGATCAGGATATAAACCCAGGCATTCCAGCCGGCAATGGCTACCCTCTTTGGGTCCCCTCCCTTTGTATGGGAGTTCTGTTTTCATTCTATTAAATCTTGCAACTGCAAAACAAAACAAAACAAAACAAACAAAAAAAAACGTGGTACCATGCTCTCCTCCCCCACCAGCCCCAAGAGTATTTCCAACAGAAACTTTCTTCCCTGGGAACACTTTGCACCTTGGGCTTTGTATAACCAGGAGTAACACATTGGTGATTAACTTAAGAGGTGTTTTAAGATTCTGATGCTTGTTTCTAATCAAAGCTTTGTATTGGCATGGATCCATAATAATTGCATTTGTGCTTCTGAGTAGAATGCTCTATCCCATCCATGCCTTCCCCTCTATTCTCACAGGAAAAATGACTATGCTGTGAGCTACTGCCACCTGGGAAGCATTTACTTCTGACTTTGTTTTAAAACTTTGTATTTTGTACTCCATTAATATAACATGTAAATAATAGGGGACACTATGTGAAGAGGGCAAAGAGATATGTGGGAACTCTCTCTGTACTTTCAGATCAATATTTTGTAAACCTCATACTGCCCTAAAAACTTAAAGACTATTGATTTAAAAAATAAAACTTTGCATCTGAAATTCTTTGAGTTGCTGTTACAGAAAATGGTCTTATTGGTCCATATAAGTAAAAATGATACTTTGTTAACAGGGAGATATGTTCTTGTTTAAACATGTAATATATCTGGCCAGAAACTGAAGGCATATTGAGCTAGTCAGTCACCATTCTAACCACATTTGAACTTTAAGGAAGAAAACTAATTAGAATGCAATCCCCTAGTTTCTGCTCCTGACTGTGCTGGAAATCCCCACGTTTCTAACACATAGCTTTGCTTCTGTATTGCCACTTAGAGAGTATGGTGAGACACATTAAAGTCTTTGACCATAAAAGCAATTAAATACTGAAAGAAGAAGGGGGCATTTGAAATGCCCTTCTAAGAATTATTTAAAACATGGAAAACAAGCTTACACTTCTAGCTATGATGGAGTTGCATCTATCCAACTCATGGTGATAGAGTTCATAACATAATGTTTAGGGGAAAAGGCCAAAAAGATAGCACACTGTATGATCCCATTTATATAAAGATTAAAACGAGACAAAATTAGAGTATGGCAATATAAGCCTAAATAGTGTTTATGTTTGATGGGTGGCAGACAATGACTGAGAGAGGGCACAAATAAGATTTCTGGTGTGCTGAAATTGGGAGTGATCTCTTCTTGTCTGGGTGGAGATGAGAGAACAGTGTTCATTTTATGTAAATTCTACAAACTGTAAACTTACTATATGTGCACTTGGTGTGTGTATTAGTCTGTTCTCATGCTGCTATGAAGAAATGTCTGAGACTGGGTAATTTATCAAGAAAAGAGTTTCAATTGACTCGCAGTTCCACGTGGCTGGGGAGGCCTCAGGAAACGTACAATCATGGTGGAAGGCACCTCTTCACAGAGCAGCAGGGGACAGAATGAGTGCCAGTAGGGGAAATACCAGATGCTTATAAAACCATCAGATCTCATGAGAACTCACTCACTACCATGAGAAAAGCATGGGGGAAACTGCCCCCATGATTCAATTACCTCCCACTTGGTCCCTCCCACAACATGTGGGGATTGTGGGGAGTACAATTCAAGATGAGATTTGGGTGGGGACACAGCCAAACCATATCAGTGTGCATACAATATATTTAAATAGTAAGTAACCAAAACATGTAGTTAGAAATAAATTACGTGAACAACTAGACATTCCCTGACAATGGAGGTGGCAGAAACTGGACTGGAAGATTCTGAAGGCAGCTTTCAACTGCATTTCACTTGCCCTTCCATAAAGCAGCAGCTCTCCTTCAGGGCTATCTTCCCTGAAGATACATTCTCTCTAGCTCATCTGTCTTCTATATCCAATTTGGATTTTGCAACAGAGAGTTAAATTTATTTTATCAATTTAACCCCTAAGTCAACATATTCAAAATCAAAATCTTCATCATCTCTTGCTTCTCACTTCATGAATTTCCTCCCATTCTCTATCACAGATAAGAGGGTGATCAACTTCCTCAATGTTTAATGTAGAAATCTCATCCTCGCTGCACCATTATGTGATTCCTAGTTGTCTCTCCAAAATCTTCCTCAAATTTATGCCCTCTTCTCCAACCACATTGCTTTCATTTTCTTTTGTTCATTCATTCATTCATTCATTCATTCATTGTGAAGTGTGTAGTGCCTGCGAGGCCCTTCAAGTGGGGTTAAGGATCAGCAGAAGCAAGTTACTTCTGGTC
This sequence comes from Homo sapiens, assembly GCF_000001405.40. Classification (NCBI taxonomy): domain Eukaryota; kingdom Metazoa; phylum Chordata; class Mammalia; order Primates; family Hominidae; genus Homo; species Homo sapiens. Next base: position 41,952,524 of record NC_000001.11, read on the forward strand.
CCTGATAACCAAAGCCCTTGACTTTCACCAAAGCCTTGACATTCCCAGTTGCTTTCTATGTAGTCTCATGAAAGTTCCCTTCCCACTTCTCTCCTCCCTCTCCACTGCCACCAATTCACAACTCTCTTTTCCAGCACATATACCCTTTACATGTGTATATGCACATGCATGTAAAGGACATGCACATTATTTAAATAAGCAAGACAAGTTCATTAAAGATAATTTGGAAAATATATAAAGTAACAAAAGGGAAAAAATCCTATTATTCATATTACTGACACCCAAAGATCGTGTGATATAAAATATCATTTATTTTTAAATGATGATCATCTTTTTTAGTATACAAGTCAAATCATTCCCCTCTTTTCTTAGAAGGTGTCAAGTCATTCCACTGCCTATAGGACAAAAGTCCTTCTCATGAGCAATCGACTCAAAGCCCTTTGCAGTCTAGGCACAGCTGTCCAGCTGTTTTTCTGGTGTCTTCTCTAGTCCCCTGCCTGTCCCCAACTTTGACACATGGGTCCGTGACACTGCTCCTGGTTATGGGCTGTGGATACTGGATCTTCTGTGTTCCTGTCTCTGCTCACATTGTTCCCTAGGCCTGCAATGATCTTTCCTGACTTCCTCAGCCTTGAAAACTCCTATTCACTTTTCAAGACTAGGTTCAAATTTCACTTCTGCTGGATCCCACTTGTGTGACACTTGTCACTGTGTGCTGTGATTATGAGGGAGGCAGCGGCAGAGCTGTTAATAATACTGACTCTGGAGTCAGACTGCCTGGGTTCAAGTCAGATCTGTGGCCTGCTAGCTGTGTGACCTTGGGCCAATTACTTAATCTGTCTTTGCCTCAGCCTCATGTATAAGAGGATAAAATGCTAAAACTCTTCTCAGAGTGTTTCTATGAGGATTAAATGAGATGATCTGGTTAAAGGGTAACTTAGCACAATGCCAGGTACATAATGAGTCCTCAGAACATGTTACTTCTTGTAATTGTCAGATGTCTGCCTCTTCCCTCCTAGACTGTGCACATCCCATAAGAAAGATTTCTTACTTGAATTTGTAGCCCCACCCCATGCTCAGTTTGGAGTAAGTGCTTTATAAATGTCTGAGAAATGAATGAATGAGTACATGAATGAATGAGTGAATGATCTGCCAAATCTTCCCGACATACTCTCTTGCTCTACATACTTTTATTGTTAAAAGAAACCAAGGAGGAAAATTGGGATAATGAGAGGAAGAAGGAAGGAGATGCAAGAGAGGGAGAAGGAGAAGAAGAGGACAAAGAAGAGGAATACCAATGAATTGCCACTAATAATAATGGTATTTGACTTTTGTTTGCACAAAAAAACAGGCATCAATCACAGTACCCAAGGCTGCAGCAGCCCTTTTTTCTGCTAACTCTTCAGAACCCAGAACATATTGGCCCTTACACTTAGTGCAAAGCTCAGTATTCCATTCTGGCCTTTGGGGAAACTGAGTTGTGTAACTGGTTCTCTACCCAGAGAGAAGACCCTCAGATGGCAGACCACCCGAGGTGACACATCTAAAAGGACTGCGCAGGGCCCACCCGCAAGGTTCCAGGACATGGAATAGAAGAGTGTGCACCAGGCATCCTATGCAGGGCATCAGCTCATCCTCAAATTCCCCAGGACAGATGCAGCGCTGGATGTGTGGAATATTTAAAGGTTCCCTTGCAGCTGAAGTACCTTGGCAAAACCTGTTTTTACTGACTCCAGATATACTGGCTTCTACTTCTGTTCCAGAGTCAGTGATAAACCCCCAAGAACTCATTAGTACTTTCTAGCATGCATAAAAGGACAGTAAGCCTTTGTTTTGCTGATTAGGGAGGCCACATACATTTTTAAAAACGGATTATTAAGAAATAAATGCCAACCTTTGCAGAAAAAAACACATTTCTCTCTGTCTCTCATTGAAAACCAAGGAGGCCTTCAGAGACTTCACCTTGGCACAGGCCAGGTGGTTTCACCCCACCCTGCGGGGTCTGGCTCCAACCTGGCAGCTGTTTGCAAGGACAGGCCAGTCGTCATCAAGGCCCTATGTCTCTGAGCAGGGGGTCATGGCCATTGTGAGTCAAAACCCACACAGAGAACACTGGCCTTTCTGATGCTGGCTGCACCACTGCCTTGCAGCTTTCTGCAGAGCCATTAAACCATGAACTTGGAAGTCAGTCAGGCCAGGGTCTGAACTCCAGCTCCTCTGCCTACAGGCTGTGGCCCAGGGCAGGTTGCTTCATCGCTCTTAGTCCGAGTCTCCTCATTTGTGAAATAGGGGTAATAATAGTATCTATCTATCTCTCAGCGTTGTGGTCAGGATTAAAGATAATGCACAGAAATGGTTCCACAAGCTTGGGACGTGAGTCACACTCGGTAAATGATATCCATTGTTATTATTCTTTAGGAACCATTTTCTCAGCTTCCAGGTTTTTTTTTTTTTTCTCTAGTGTTTCCACTGAGAAGATCAAAATTGAGGCTGGGGAGGCTGAATTGAAAATTATAACATCTAATTGTTAGGAGCATTTTCAATGTTCCATGCACTCTGTTGGTAGTATTTACATGTTTTATCTCAGTTAATCTTCACAACAACATATCAGCCAGGTACTACAATGAAACCCATTTTACAACAGGGAGATCCAAGGGTGAAAGAAATAAAGTAACTTATCTTGGGAAAGAGGTAAGGAAGGAAAGAAATTGCTTGGTAGACTGGGTAGGGGTGGGGTGGGAGCCGTTTTAGAAAAATTGTGATGGAAAAAAGAAAGGGAATATTAAGAAGTGTCTCTGTGGGTTATGAATTGGTTCCCTCCTATGTTCTTTCAGAGGCACAAGTGAAGACTGGAATTCTTTTTAATTAGTAGCTCCATCATTGTTATGAGACCACCTAAGTTTAGAGGGCATAGTTAAATAGGAGGAAAGTACTTTCACCAGAATTGCAAACTGTGTCCTACAACAGCACACAAAAAAAAACCCCTCATATTAAAACCAACCACAACAATGACCTCACCGTATTAAGTCCTGTGATGCATCCTGCCATGCAGGGCACATCCTGAAAGGGGAGAAGAGGCAACTAAGGCCTCCAGCTACTCAGCTACACTTAACCACAGTAATCCACCCCTAAGTTTCTCCTGGGGCACAGTTCCTTTTTGTTCTCTCATTTTTGTCCTTTCTTTAATAATGAACGTGTGACTCAGAGGTTTAATGAGTTACCCGGAGAAGTTAACCAGAAGGGAAGCCCATTGAGCAGAGGCATAATTAAAATTGTGAATGGACAGAGGAATACAATCATTGTGGGAGACAGGGAGCACAGGAATGACTCACGGGTTAGGTTGCTTAGAAAAGGGCCTCCGGGACTTAAGTTATTTCTGGGGAAGATCTGGAAATTGAAGGAAAAATCTGGAACTCTTCTACAGTCAAAAGATAGAGAGGCGAGCTGGGACCTCTCCTTTCACTCCTGAATGATTTAGGCTTGTAGCCGGGACTCACTTCCAGCGGAAGGTGAAGAACAGTGAAGGCTGAATTCCCCAGGGAGTCATTACCTCCTCTGGTGCTAACACCACAAGTGTCTAATGTCAACTACTTCTTGGTTTGGACGTTTCTTATAGCAAATTATAACAGTCAGGAGAAGGGAAAAAGCAACGACAGCATCATACTGGATTTTCACTCTTTAGCCCAAACTCAGAAATATTTTGCATCTGTTGAGGCCTGACAGGCAGAGAAACTAAGGAACATAAGCACACACTGGAGATGGGGCTGTTGTAGTTAACAGAAAGTCTGCATGCAAACTTGAGGCCCATTATCTGTTTCGTGTATGAAACGGTCCAGGGTGCTGTGAGTTCTTAGGAGAAATGGAGGCTGATCCTAAGCAAGAAAAACAATACTCCCTAGGTCAGGATCTCTGTAGAGCACCAGCCACAGAAAGCACTTTCCACCTAGGAATCTATTCCAAGAATTTCTGTAACTAAAGCCAGTTCAGATCAGCCATGCTAATGGAGCAGCAGTACAACTTCATCCCAAATATCACATGGTCTAAGTATTAGGATTTATTGTCTTATTTCCATGCTTGTGTTGATGCTTGAAGAGGGCCAAGATTACCCTCTCTTTCCTCCTGGAATACAGAGGCAATCACTTCAGCAATGTGGAGAAGCAGCGATGAAAATAAAAAGAGACAGGAGCCCAAGTTAGGTATGAAGTTTGAAATCCATTTTTAATTTTGTTTGAATATAAGCTTATATGGTTTTTGAACAGCGCTGGGAGCAAATTATTGAAGCTACAATATGAACCATGGAGGAGAAGGAGTTGGAAGGTGCTCTCACTTTCAGATCTTGCTCATTTAAATAAATCCTCCAAACTCCTTTGTCTATGCTCAGAGTGGACAAGAAGTGAATTGCTTGGGTGGTCTAAAAGACCTTAGGATGGGTGAGAAGGAGCCTAAAATTTTCTTTTAGTCAAAACTATATGTTTATTTTGTAAATATATGTATGCATATATTTGGAAGTGAAATTAATATATGAAATGAATTATATTAGCATGAAAGGGCTCAGTGATTTATTTTTCATCCTTACTCAATAGCACCAAGGCAGTAATTTATATTTTTACTATACTTTCTTAAAGTCTACCTCCCACTAATCTGTAAGCCACTATAAACAAAAGTTAAAAGAACTGTCCAGAGTCCCAAAAAAACTAAAAGTTTTGCCAGAATAATCTTTATACAAATAAAACTTCATTTTATCAAATAAAGTAGAATAAAATCCAAAACTGTTACTATACTCATCCTGATACAATTCCCCCAAAGTCATAATTCTCTAAGACACTGCTAAACAAGTAGGGGTTAGTTTCTCATCAATAGCTGTCAGTAAATAGAAAACTATTGAGCACAGCCCTAGTCTAACACAGTGGAGCTGAACCACTTGGGGTTAAGTCCTGGCTTCCACATAAATAGCTTAGGCAAGAAAATTAACCTTTCTGAGCCAATCATGCCCTTTATGCTCTATAAAAGCATCTGGGAGAACATCATCATGCAAGGACAAACTGGGCAGAAGAAAGAACGAGGAAAGTTCAACGTGCAGTGATCCCTACTGTCTAGATTGGACATGGAAAGAAAGCTCAGAACTCTAGTGGAGGAGGATGATTTCAGAAGGGCTTGTTCATGGTCCAGATCTATTCTTAGCTAAAGGATAAGATGAATACCTAAAAGGTTATAATGCAATCCAAAAATCCTTCTAGATTTAGCCAACTCTCAGTCTGAATCACTCCCTGAGTCAGGGTAGGACATGGCACCAGCTCCCGTCCTTGAACAATGCAGTTACCTGAGTCAGAGGCTATTTTGAAAAGCTAAAACTGATCTACATCTGGCATTTCAAGGGCAAGCCAATTCACCCACATGCAATCAACCACAGGTGAGTTTTCCTTCTATTCATAGATATCCTGGAAATAGGCCTGAAAGTGTAGAAGAGGCAATGTGGAGAAGCAGAGTTTGGCATATATGGACTCCCAAACCACTATGAACTAGCTCTGAGACTTTGAAAAGTTATTCAATCTCTCTAAACACAAAACGTCTCATCTATAAAATGGGTAGCAGAAAAGACTGCCCATTTTGAGTGGCACCCAGGGCAAGAAAGAGCTGCGGCAGCTCCCGGCTGCAATACAAGCAGCCTTGCCATTTGGGCCACGTGACCAGGCACATCTCAAGGCACTAATGGCAGCTGTGGTGAATGAAGGTGCTGTGTGGTGCCTTGGGCATGCTCCAGTAGTGCAGACCCTGAGGGTTCAGGAGCGAGACAATGCCATTGTAAGTAAAGGATTATACACCATTCTGAAAACAGCTCCTGGTAGTTATTGAAACTTGGTGAAAACTGAACATCTGAACATGAAACAGCAAGTGACCATATGGGCAGAGCTGTAAATCTTGAACTAAGTACAGTCAGATCCAGCAAGTCATAAGGTCAAGAAGGCCCAGCAACAATCCTCATAAAGTAGAAGAGGTACACCCCAGGTTTCACATGAGCAGGGCCGGGGGTCACAAGCTGCAGGGGCAGATGACCAGGCCCACCCCCACTATGTCACTCACCACTGTTGCAGCAACCCTTCTTCCCTCCTAGATCACAACTATGGCCCATTCCTGGATGACAGAAAAGGAAAAATCCCAAGGCTTGGCTTGGCTCACAGATAGGTCAGCTTGCCTCCCAATGGGCAAAGCTTCAGGAAGCAGGACTGTTCACCCACTTTGCATGAAGAGAAAAGTGGCCCGTGGTAAAGACAGATGTATACAGACTCATGGACAGTCGTGCAAGGCTTGGATGGTGGGTCAGGGGCTTGGGTAAAACTAGATTAGAAGACTGAGGAAATGGAAGTCTGTCCAAGGGCATGTGGCTGGACCTGTGGGAGTGGGCACCAAGTGACATGAGCTCTGTGTTGTGTGTTAAGGCCAACCAGTGAGCACTGATGATGGAAGAGGTGCTTAACTACCACTGGACAGGAGACTTCAGCCGGCCTCTGTCCTTGGCTATCCAGGGCTTATGCAATGGCTCATGAATGGAGCAGCCATGATGACAGAGATAGACGCTACCCACAGGCCCAACAGCAGGAGCTCCTGAATTCTGAAGATGATCTAGCTCCTGATGCTGCTAAACATTCAAACCGCTAGCCACAAAAGCCAATTCTGAGACCCTGAGATGGCACCATCCTTAGAGGAGACCAACTGGCTTGATGGTGACAAGTTGATTTACTCCCACCCTGAAAAGGACAATATTTTATCGTGATTAGAATTGGCAAATATTCCAGGTATAGATTTATTTTTCTTGCCTGCAGGTCTCAGCCACCACTACTATCCAAGGACTCCAACTGACTGCTATAGCTGAGAGTCTGATCCTGCATAAATTCACTTCAGACAAAGAAATCCACCTTACAGCAAAGAAAGTGCACAGGAACACATGACCATGTGATCCACTGCTCCTGCTACTTACCACACCATCCAGATGCTGCTGGCCTGATCGAGCATTGGAACAACCTCTTAAAAGCATAGTTAAGGGGCAAGCTTGGACATAACACCCTGTACAGGTGAGGCACTGCCCTTCGGGAAGTAGCATATACTTTAAACCAAAGCCATAATATGGGGCTGGTTCCCAAGAAACAGAATGCATAGGTCTGGGAACTAAGGCTGGGGGACAAAGCAGGAGTGACCCCACTCTTTATTACTCCCAGTGTCCCTTGTGGAATTTGCACTTCCTACATGTAGTACCTTATGCTCCACGGGGCTAGAGATGTGTCCACCAAGGAACACAGTTTTTGCTAAAATTAAGTTATAGCTGCTACCTCCAGGTTGCTTTAGGCTCTTCATTCTAAGAGTAGGCAAAAAAACTGAGTTGTCTTACTGGCAAGGGGGTATGACCATGATCAATATGAGGAAGTAGAGAGACTGCTACCTAATGGGAGCAGGAAGGAATAGGTATGATGTGATACATATGACGGGTGACCCACTAGGGTATCTCCTGGTACTTCAATAACCAGTTTTAACTCATAAACTGGCAAGTACAACAACAACAGCCTGATAAGGGAATGGAAACCAGGGGCTCAGACCCCCTCAGGATGAAAGTTGGGCCAGAAAGTCCACCACACTAGCCACATTGGTTAGCCAGAAGTGCTAGCCAAGAAAGAAGAATCTAGAAAGGGTAGCAGACAAGGAAGATGATGAGTATTAGTATGGCCTCAGGACCAACTGCAACCATGGAGACGGTAGTTTGTCCCAATAACCCAAAAATTCTGACCAAGAAGAATCCTGCAGAAGTTATCAGAAGATAGAGTAAGCTTACAATGAGAAACAAGTGGTTCTTAATGGTACAAGCAGTAGCTGGTAGCAGAGGCAACAGTTGCCTTAACTAGAGACATCTGAGAAGTATATGCTCCCCACTCCTCCCCCAAGTGTCACTTGTGACAGACTGATACAGGGGAATAAGAGTTCAACTCCCTTGCCTCAAGACAGGACAACCTGTATGGCACATCTCACACTCTAGAGCTCCTCGAAGGATTACACTGAAGCCAGACTTCTTCTAAAACCACATTTTTTCCTAGTTTCTTCTCTGTCCTATACTGCTTTCTCCCTCTGTTGGAGGTTTTTCCTAAGAGCAATCCCTTAATAAACATCTTGCACAAGCTTCCCATCTAGGCCCTGTTTCTAGGTGCCCAAGCAGGATCCACTTTTGCACGCCCACAGTGTTTACAGCCCCATACGAAGTGCTAAAGGCATATGAGAGTTTGAGGTAATGTTTAGCCAATATCCACTCTCCTCCCCCTCCACTGTGGGCAGAAAATACTTCCCTGCCCCACTGTGGCAGATTGTTCTTTCCAAAAATGGCTGCAACACTATCTCTCATCCCTCATGTACTTTTCACAATGTGACCTTCATATCCATCCCATGGAGAGTTGGGATCCATGTCTCTTCCCCATGAAAGTGAGCAGGTTTTTGTGACTGTTTCAACCAACAGAGATTAGTAGAAATGATGCCATGTGAATTTCCAAGGCTGGTCATAAAAGACAAGGTACCTTCCACTTGGTCCTCTGCAACAATTGTGCCAAGTTCTAACATTCCTTGTAAGTGGCCTGATAGTCCTAAAGCCACCAAGCTGTGTGGAAGCTCAAATGAGTTCATGCGGGGTCCACATGAAAAAGCTGAGAGATACCTGGGCAGCTCCCTGCAATGCCAGCTCCAACCATCATCAGACTGTAACTGCATGAGAGACTCTGAGCCAGACCACTCAGCTAAGCCCCACCTGAATCCCTGACCCACATCAATCAAGAGACACAATAAAATGATTGCTATTATTTTGAGCCACTAAATTCCAGGGAATTTTTGCCATAGCAATAGTAACCAAGGCACCCAATGACAGTGAGCTTCGCCACATCACTGTTTTGGGTCAATAGCACTTGCATCTTGTATTTCTGCCATCACAATGAGAAAAGCATGTCTTGGCACAAGCATGACACTGGTACAAGAAAATTGAGAGATGTGTGTAGCTGACCTGGAAAAAACCTGCAATCTGGGCCAGCCCAGCCCAGATCAGCCAGACCTTAGCCAACTGCCTTGCAGATGCATAAATGACAAATAAATGCTCATAACTGTACACTACTGCAATTGTGTGGGATTGCATTGTTGTTATGCAGCATTATGGTGATAACTGATACAAGGAGAAATATGAAAGCGAGAGAAAACATTCCCTGATTCCAAGAATAGGATACTTCTTAACTTGTAATTAGGTGGGCTTTATGCTTATTATCAATAACATTGTCCAATAGCATCTCTATCCCGGAAAATAATATCACTCTCCAATTAGTAATACTGGTCCCTTTTCTGAGGTCCTAAATACATAAGACAAATGACTTCACAGGTTTTCCTTAATCAGGTGCCTTTGGCACCTCAAAAAGAAGACAATGGATAGATAGAAAATATTCCCAGCAAACATTAGCTAGAATTAGAGGCACCATAAGCCAAGAATTAAGTTACAAACCCCTGAGGTAAGAGATCAGGGAATCCCATAAAAAATTGGAGGGGTACTGATGCATCTAAGCAGTACATTAGGGTTATAAGTAAAAAAGCTTCAAGAGATTCACTTAAGCCAGAAATATAGGAAAATAAACTGCAATACAAAAGAGGAAAGGGCAATAAATATTTACCAAGAATGCTCAGGACCAAAGTGGGAAACCAAGAAAACAGAAGAGAGGCCAGGCCCAGATCTCCAGATCAAACCAAACCTCAAACCAGAGCTTACTCAGGTCAGCCTTGGCCAAAAGGATTTGACTTTTCCTGGAACCAGTGGTTTGAAAATCATTCATAGCACATAAAGAATAATTATCGCCCAGTGTCTTTTAAAAATGGAATACAAGTTGATCAGGAAAAATAAGGAAATGTCATACCAAATTACTCGACAATTCATATTTGGATTTTCATGTTAATTTCGTAAAACACATGTCATTTGTGAACTTACTAGGTACTCCCTGGGACGTCACTAGACATTGAGTGTATGAAAGTTATTATGCTCTTTCTCTGGTTCAAAAAGTTGGACCAGAAGGGATGCTGGAACTCTTACTCATCTTTGAATGGCTTTGGGGATACTGACTTGATTCTACATTCAAATTCACCTCATCACACTAACCAGAGTGGCAAAGGTGTTGAGAATATCAAAGTCTCTTGGAAAGACAATAATAAAAAAAATTTCTGAAAGAAAGATGTACTAGAGCCCCACCGAACTCAAGCCAAGCATTTTATCACTACTACCCTAGAGGTTGAGGTACACAAAACCCATTGTTGCAGGGTTTTTGAACAACAGTACAAGTGACATTTTGAACCAGATAATTTTTCATCATGGAGACCCGTCCTGTGCATTGCAGGTTGTTTATTTAGCAGCCTCCCTGGCGTCTACTAACTAGATGCCAGTAACACCTTCTCCTCACCTGCAGATATCAAAACCAAAAGTTGTTTTTTTTTGTTTTTTGTTTTTTTGAGACGGAGTCTCGCTCTGTCACCCAGGCTGGAGTGCAGTGGCGCGATCTCGGCTCACTGCAAACTCTGCCTCCCGGGTTCATGCCATTCTCCTGCCTCAGCCTCCCATGTAGCTGGGACTACAGGTACCTGCCACCACGCCCAGCTATTTTTTTGTATTTTTAGTAGAGATGCGGTTTCACTGTGTTATCCAGGATGGTCTCGATCTCCTGACCTCGTGATCCGCCTGCCTCGGCCTCCCAAAGTGCTGGGATTACGGGCGTGAGCCACCGCGCCCGGCCAAAAGTTTTTCCAAACATTGCCAATGTCCCCTGGAGGCAAAATCACTCCGAGTTTTTTATCCTTGCGATAGTTTGCTGAGAATGATGGTTTCCAGCTTCATCCATGTCCTTACAAAGGACATGAACTCATCATTTTTCATAGGTGGGAATTGAACAGTGAGAACACTTGGACACAGGAAGGGGAACATCACACCCTGGGGCCTGTTGTGGGGTGGGGGGAGCGGCGAGGGGGGAGGGAAAGCATTAGGAGATATACCTAATGTAAATGACGATTTAATGGGTGCAGCACACCAACATGGCACATGTATACATATGTAACAAACCTGCACGTTGTGCACATGTACCCTAAAACTTAAAGTATAATAAAAAAAAAATCACTCCAAGCTGATAACCACTTCATTGGTGGAACCTAGCCTTAAAGGGCCAGCTTCCTAAGCATGAAGAAGCAAAATGTCTTTGGGATGTAAGCAGATAACCAATGGGACAAGCTTATATTAAGGCAGTGATCCAAACTTTTTTTCTGCCGAACAGATTCAAGTTCACAAACAGTCACTCCCGGACATACTCAGATTCTGACGTAATATGACTAGAGCTTATATAAGCTCTACTGCTTTATTCTGACCCAAGAAAGAGTATTAAAATGCAAGTGAGTGAAAATGAAGGTGTTATGGATTGAATGGTGTCCTTCCAAGAAGATATGTTGACGTCCTTCCTAACGCCCAGTCGTTCAGAATTTGACCTTATTTGGAAGCAAGGTTTCTGCAAATGTAGTTAAGATGAAGTTATTAAAGGAAAACTTGTGGAGGAGGGGCCAAGATGGCTGCCTAGAAGCAGCTGCAGTCGGCAGCTCCCACTGAGAAGAACGAAAATGGCAAGTGAATCCTGCACCTTCAGCTGAGGTATCTATGTTCTCTCATTGGGACTGACTAGGCAGTTGATGTGACCCACGCAGAGCGAGGAAAAGCAGGCTGGAGCAATGGCCCACCTGGGAGCCACACGGGGAAAGGGGAGCTCCCAGCCCCAGCCAAGGGAGGCAGTGAGTGATTGTGCTACCCCACCTGGGAAACCATGCTTTTTCCACAGATCTGTGCAACCTGTGGATCAGGAGATCCCCTCATGAGCCCACACAACCAGGGTCTTGGGTCCCACACACAGAGCTATGCAGATGCTCAGTGGCCACTGGCAGCAGGCTGGAGACTGCCTAAGATGACCAAGTTCCTGGGGGGAAGGGCAGCTGCCATCACTGTGGCTTTAGACTGCCATTTTTCCCCACTGGTGCCGGGGAGACTGGGTAGTTTGGACCGGGAGGAATTCCCCCACAGGTGCAGCACAGCAGCTGTGGCAGATCATGGCCAGACTGCTTCTTTAGGTGGGATCCAGATCCATTCCTCCTCACCAGGCCAGAATGTCGGCAATTCCAGCAAGGGGTTTAGGACAAAACTCTGATCTCCCTGGGACAGAGCCCCTGGGGAAAGGGATGGCCACAGTATCTGTGGTTCAGCAGACTTACTCTTTCCTTCCTGCTGGCTCTGAAGAGTCTGGGCAGTCTGGGCAAGCGGGATTCCCCCAAGAGCAGTGCACCCGTTCTGCCAAGGGGCAGCCAGAGTGCTTCATTATGTGGGTCCCTGATCCCATGCCTCCTGACTGGTGAGACCCACCCCCCTCAACAGGGGTCACCAGACATCTTATACAGGAGCATTCCCACTGGCATCAGGTTGGTGCCTCTTTGGGATGGAGCTCCCAGGGGAAGGAACAGGCAGCCATCTTTGCTGTTCTGCAGCCTCCACTGGTGACACCTCTAGGGGCCAAGGTGAATAGGGTCTAGAGTGGACCCCCAGAAAACTGCAGCAGCCCTATGGAAGAAAGTCCTGACTACTAAAAAACAAAGAGAAAGAAACAACAACATCAACAAAAAAGATCCCACAAAACCCCATCCAAAGGTCAGCAGCCTCAAAGACTGAAGGTGGATAAGCTTACAAAGATGAGAAAGAAGCAAAACAAAATTGCTGAAAACTCAAAAAGCCAGAGTGCCTCTTCTCCAAATGACTGCAATACCTCTCCAGCTGAGATGGATGAACTGACAGAAGTAGGCTTCAGAAGGTAGGTAATAATAAACTTTGCTAAGTTAAAGGAGTATGTTCTAACCCAAGGCAAAGAAGCTAAGAAGCATGATAAAACATTTCAGAAGCTGTTAGCCAGAATAAACAGTTTAGAGAGGAACATAAATGACCTGATGGAGCTGAAAAACACATGAGAACTTCACAATGCAACCACAAGTATATCAATAGCCGAACAGACCAAGTGGAGGAAAGAATCTCAGAGCTTGAAGGCTATCTTGCTGAAGTAAGACAGGCAGACAAGATTAGAAAAAGAAGACTGAAAAGGAATGAACAAAACCTCCAAGAACTATGGGATCATATAAAAGGACCAAACCTACGACTGATTGGGGTACCTGAAAGGGACAGAAAGAATGGAACCAAGTTGGAAAACATACATCAAAATATCATCCAGGAGAACTTCCCCAATCTAGCAAGACAGGCCAACATTCAAATTCAGGAAATCCAGAGAACTCCAGTAAAATACTCCATGAGAAGATCAACCCCAAGACACATTATCGTCAGATTCTCCAAGGTCGAAATAAAGGAAAAAATGTTAAAGGCAGCCAGAGAGAAAAGCCAGGTCACCTACAAGGGAAGCCCATCAGACTAACAGTGGACCTCTCAGCAGAAACCCTACATGCCAGAAGAGATTGGGGGCCAATATTCAACATTCTTAAAGAAAAGAATTTCCAACCCAGAATTTCGTATCTTTCCAAACTAGGCTTCCTAAGTGAAGGTGAAATAAAATCTTTTTCAGACAAGCAAATACTGAGGGAATTTGTCACCAGCAGGCCTGCCTTGCCAAAGCTCCTGAAGGAACCACTAAAAATGAAAAGGAAAAACCATTACCAGCCACTAAAAAAACACACTGAAGTACACAGACCAATGACACTACGAAGCAACTCCATTAACAAGTCTGCAAAATAACCAGATAGCATCATGATGACGGGATCAAATTCACATATAACAATATTAACCTTAAATGTAAATGGGCTAAATGCCCTAATTAAAAGACACAGAATGGCAAGCTGGATAAAGATTCAAGACCCATCAGTGTGCTGTATTCTTTTTTTTTTTTTTTTGAGATGGAGTCTCGCTCTTTCACCCAGGCCAGACTGCGGTGGCGCCATCTCGGCTCACTGCAAGCCCCGCCTCCTGGGTTCACGCCATTCTCCTGCCTCAGCCTCCCGAGTAGCTGGGACTATAGGTGCCCATCACCGTGCCCAGCTAATTTTTTTTTTTTTTGTATTTTTAGTAGAGACGGGGTTTCACCATGTTAGCCAGGATGGTCTCAATCTCCTGACCTCGTGATCCACCCTCCTAAGCCTCCAAAAGTGCTGGGATTACAGGCGTGAGCCACCATGCCTGGCCCAGTGTGCTGTATTCAAAAGACCCATCTCACAGGCAAAGACATACATAGGCTAGAAATAGATGGATGGAGGAGAATTTACCAAGCAAATGGAAAGCAGAAAAAAAGCAGGGGTTGCAATTCTAGTTCCTGACAAAACAGACTTTAAACCAACAAAGATCAAAAAAGACAAGGAAGGGCATTACATAATGGAAAAGGGTTCAATTCTATAAAAAGAGATAGCTATCCTAAATATATATGCACCTAATACAGAAACACCCAGATTCATAAAATAAGTTCTTAGAGACCTACAAAGAGACTTAGACTCCCACACAATAATAGTGGGAGACATTAACACCCCACTGCCAATATTAGATCATTGAGACAGAAAATTAATAAAGATATTCAGGACTTGAACTCAGCTCTGGATCAAGTGGACCTGATAGATATCTTCAGTACTCCCCACCCAAAACAATAGAATATACATTATTCTTATCCCCACATGTCACTTACTCTAAAATCTATCACATAAATGAATGGAAGTAAAACACTCCTCAGCAAATGCAAAAGAACTGAAATCATAGCAAACAATCTCTCAGATCATAGCGCCATCAAATTACAACTCAAGATTAAGAAAGTCACTCAAAACCACACAACTACATGAAAATTGAACAACCTGCTCCTGAATGATTCCTGGGTAAATAATGAAAGGCAGAAATCAAGAAGTTCTTTGAAACTAATGAGAACAAAGAGACAATGTACCAGAATCTCTGGAATGCAGCTAAAGCAGTGTTTAGAGAGAAATTTATAGCACCAAATGCCCACATCAAAAAGCTAGAAAGATCTCAAATCAACATCCTAACATCACAACTAAAAACACTAGAGAACCAAGAGCAAACAAACCCCAAAGTTAGCAGAAGACAAGAAATAACTGAGATCAGAGCAGAACTGAAGGAGATAGAGACACACAAAAAAAACCCTTCAAAAAATCAATGAATTCAGGAGCTGTTTTTCTGAAAAACTTAATAAAATAGACCACTAGACTAATAAAGAAGAAAAGAGAAGAATCAAATAGACACAGTAAAAATTGATAAAGGGGATATCATCACAGACCCCACAAAAATACAAACAACTATCAGAGAACATTATTCATATAAACACTTCTATGCAAATAAACTAGAAAATCTTAGAAGAAATGGATAAATTCCTAGACACATACAACCTCCCAAGACTGAACCAGGAAGAAGCTGAATCCTTGAATAGACCAATAATTAATTCTGAAATTGAGGCAGTAATAAATAGCCTACCAACCAAAAAAAGCCCAGGGCCAGATAGATTTATAGCTGAATTCTACCAGAGGTACAAAGAGGAGATGGTACCATTTCTTCTGAAACTATCCCAAATAACAGAAAAAGAGGGACTCCTCCCTAACTCATTTTATGAGGCCAGCATAATCCTGATAGAGATACAACCTGGCAGAGATACAAAAAAAAAAAGAAAAAGAAAACTTTGGGCCAATATCCCTGATGAACATCGATGCAAAAATCCGCAATAAAATACTGGCAAACAAAATCCAGCAGCACATCAAAAAGCCTACTCACCACAATCAAGTCGGCTTCATCCCCAGCATGCAAGGCTGGTTCAACTTGTGCAAATCAATAAATGTAATTCATCACATAAACAGAACTAAAGACAAAAATCACATGATTATCTCAATAGAGGCAGAAAAGTCCTTTGATAAAATTCAACATCCCTTCACGTTAAAAATTCTCAATAAACTAGGCATTGAAGGAACATACCTCAAAATAGTAAGAGCCATTTATGATAAACCCACAGCCAATATCATACTGAATGGGCAAAAGCTGGAAGCATTCCCCTTGAAATCTGGCACAAGACAAGGATGCCCTCTCTCACCACTCCTATTCAACATAGTATTCAAAGTTCTGGCCAGGGCAATTAGGCAAGAGAAAGAAATAAAGGTTATTCAAATAGAAACAGAGGAAGTCACACTGGCTCTGTTTGCAAATGACATAATCCTATATCCAGAAAACACCATCAACTTAGCCCAAAAGCTCCTTAAGCTGATACACAACTGCAGCAAAGTCTTAGGATACAAAGTCAATGTGCAAAAATCACAAGCATTTCTATACACAAACAGCAGACAAGCAGAGAGCCAAATCATGAATGAATTCCCATTCACAATTGCTACAAAGAGAATAAAATATGTAGGATTGCAGCTAAAAAGGGAAGTGAAGGACCTCTTCAAGGAGAACTACAAACTACTGCTCAAGGAAATCAGAGAGGACAAAAACAGATGGAAAAACATTCCATGTTCATGGATAGGAAGAATCAATATCGTGAAAATGGCCATATTGCCCAAAGTAATTTACAGATTCCATGCTATTCCCATTAAACTACCATTGACATTCTTCTTAGAATTAGAGAAAACTATTTCAAAATCCATATGGAACCAAAAAAGAGCCTATATAGCCAAGACAATCCTAAGCAGAAAGAACAAAACTGGAGACATCATGCTACCTGAGTTCAAACTATACTACAAGGCTACAGTAACCAAAACATCATGATACTGGTACAAAATAGACACATAGACCAATGGAACAGAACAGAGAACTCAGAAATAAGACCACACACCTACAACCATCTGATCTTTGACAAACCTGACAAAAACAAGCAATGGGGACAGAATTTCCTATTAATAAATGGTGCTAGGAGAACCGGCTAGTCATATGAAGAAAATTGAAACTGGACCCACTCCTTATACCTTATACAAAAATTAGCTCAAGACGAATTAAACGCTTACATGTAAAACTCAAAACTATAAAAATTCTAGAAGAAAATCTAGGAAATACCATTCAGGACACAGGCATGAGCAAAGATTTCATGATGAAAACATCAAAAGCAATTGCAACAAAAGCAAAAATTGACAAATGCGATCTAATTAAACTAAAGAGCTTCTGCACAGCAAAAGAAATTTTCATCAGAGCAGACAGACAATCTAAAGAATGGGAGAAAAATGTTGCAATTTATCCAACTGACCAAGGTCTAATATCCAGAATCTACAAGGAAGTTGAATAAATTTACAAGCAAAAAACAACCCCATTAAAAAGTGGGCAAAGGACATGAACAGACACTTCTCAAAAGAAGACATTTATGTGGCCAACAAGCATGAAAAAAAGCTCAACAAGAGAAATACAAATCAAAACCACAATGAGATACCATTTCACATGAGTTAGAATGGTGATTATTAAAAAGTTAAGAAAGCAATGCTGGTGAGGCAGTGGAGAAACAGGAATGTTTTTACATTGTTGGTGGGAATGTAAATTAGTTCAACCATTGTGGAAGACAGTGTGGTGATTCCTCAAAGATCTAGAACCAGAAATAACATTTGACCCAGCAATCCCATTACTGGGTATATACTCAAAGGAATATAAATTATTATATTATAAAGATGCATGCATGCATATGTTCATTGCAGCACTATTACAATAGCAAAGACATGGAATCAACCAAAATGCCTATCAATGATGGACTAGATAAAGAAAATGTGGTGCATATACACCATGGAATACCATGCAGCCATAAAAAGGTATGAGATCAGGTCCTTCGCATGGATGTGGATGGAGCTGGAAGCCATTATCCTCAGCAAACTAATGCAGGAACAGAACACCAAACACCACATATTATCTTATAAGTGGGAGCTGAACAATGTGAACACATAGATACAGGGAGGGAACAACATACACTGGGGCCTGTTGAGGGGAGAGAGGCAGGGGAAATGAGAGCATCAGGAAAAATAGTGAATGTGTGCTGGGCTTAATACCTAGGTAATGGGTTGATAGGTGCAGCAAATCACCATGGTACACATTTACCTATGTAACAAACCTGCACATCTGGCACAGTACCCCGCAATTTAAAATGAAATAAAATTAAATGGAAGATGAGCTCATTACGGTGAGCCCTAATCCAGTATGATTGATGTCTTTACAAAAAAAAGTGGGGGAGAATTTGGACACAGACTTAGGCACAGAGGGAGGACTATATGAACATTGGAGCAACCCTGCCACAAGCTAAGGAACATCTAGGGCTACCAGAAGTTGGAAGAGGCAAGACAGGATCCTTGCCCTACAGGTTTCAGAGGAAGCTGCCTGGCCCTGCTGACACCTTTATTTTGGATTTCTGGCCTCCAGAACTGTGAGACAATAAGTTTCTGTTGTATATAGATTTGATGTAGAAAAAAAATATAGACCTGATTTAATTTTTAAATTGGTATAATTTCAAAACATTAGTGTTTTACTAGCTGCAATAAATTACTTGCTGTGCAGTTACAACTGATTTAAGCCACCAGTGGGTCACAACACAATGGGAAAAACTGCCACACCGCAGGGTATTCTGTGTTGTGCCTCAGAGAAATTTGAAATCGAATTTATAAAAGTTATTCACTTGGACCACAGTAATCTGGCATCTATAAAAATGTATACAGTCTATCAATAATCTTAACAGGATTGGGGAGGGGGTCAGAAAACAGATGGTCAAACTACTAGTGGCTCCCCACTTCCTACAGGGCAATATCCAAACTCCTTAGCCAAGCATGAAATGCCCTTTGCAATCTGATCACCGCCTATTTTCCAGATTCATCTTTGCCAAATCCCCTCACACCTGCCTTGTTCCATCTGGAGCTGATCTGGTGCCCCCCACCCAAGTGTTTTCATGTCAAGGTACACACAGAAGATGATAATATTTGAGGGTGCACTGGGAAAACAGACAAAGCTGTGTCTGATGACAGCTGGCTTGGGAGCTCCAGTCGCCCCAGACCCCACCTGGCAGCCCAAAAGGCTAAAAAGATCAATAAATTGGTAAACCTGTACATATTCAAAGCATCTCAGGATACCACCACACACTACTCAGTTAGGAAGCCCTATTCTAAATCCACTATAATCCTTCTCTAACCTATGATGGTTTGAATGTTGTGTCTCCTCCAAAATTCATGTTGCAACTTAACCCCCAATATAACAGTATTAAGAGGTAGGACCTTTTGGTGGTGATAGACCATGACAGCTCTGCTGTCATGGATGAATTAGTGCCTTGTAAAAGGGCTTGAGGGGGCAAGTTACCCTTCCTGTCCCTTCTACCATGTGAGGACACGGTGTTCCTGCCCTCCAGAGGACGCAGCAACATGTTGCCATCTTGGAGGCAGAGAGCAGCCCTCACCAGACACCAAATCTGCTGGTGCCTTGATCTTGGACTTCCCAGCTTCCAGAACTGTGGAAAATAAATATTCTTTATAAATTACCTACTCTCTAGTATTTTATTATAGCAGCACAAACAGAGTAGGACAGTGCCTTTGTTTTCATTCAGGAAGTCCTACCTCTCACCAAGTTCACCACTCCTCCACCTTGCAAACTGCTATTTATCCTTCAAAACCCAGCCCAATGACCATTTCATCTATGACGTCTTTCCACCTCCCCTCTGCTATACTCCCACTGTACCCAGTAACAAGATCCATGTCATGGTCCTTGCCATGTGGGGCTGCCATTGCAGCTGGCTCACCTAGAATGTGGTCTTCCAGGGTCCAGGAACCATTAGGAGCCAACTGGGCCTATAGTGATACAGCACATATTTATTGATCTCCTGTTAGAGGCAAGGCAGTGGGCCAGGCATAGGGACTCAAGGGTAGACATGGACAAGGAGGGTCCCTGCCCTCCTAGAGCTCATAGCCCAGTGAGGGAGATGGACATTAAACTGCCTTCCATGCAATTGATTACTTCATTACAATGGTGGGACATGTTTCAAAAGAGAAGTACAAGCATCAATAAATGCACATAAGTTGACCTGATCTACTTTAAGAGTCATGGAAAGCTTCCTTGAAGAGGTGGCATGTAACAGATGAGCTTCAAAGGATAAATAGGAATTAAGTGAAGAGAAAATGGGTGTGAAGTAAGCATTCCGTGTTCCAAACCAAGCATTCTGGTTCTTGACATCTTCACATCCACAGGCCTGGCCAAGGCAGATGCTAAATAAATATTTACTGATTTAAATTCTTTGAAAAGTTTGAGTACCTTTAAGCACTTTTTCTCTGAGTGGGTTCTTCCAAAATAATAATTATTATTTTGGAAACTCTTTTCAATAATTCAAATGTACAAATATTTATTGAAACATTATTATATAATGCAAGTCTCCTAGAGCTCAAGGCAAAAAGATGAGCAAGAATTTTCCAGGCAAAGAAGATAGAAGAAGGTATTCCAAGCAAAGTAGAAACCACATGTGCGTGCACACACACACACACACACACACACACAATTATGAAAGCAAGAAAGCACACAGTGTGGTCTGGAAATAGCATGGAATTTGGTTCTGATGAGTAAGGGACCTTGGTAAGGAACAAAGAGATCAGGGTGTATATAAGTTATCTATTGCTGAATAAGAAATTACTCCCAACAACACACATTTATTATTTCACAGTCTGTGGGGTCATGAAGCCAGGCATGGCTTAGCTGGGCGTTCATTACCAGCTTCAGGGTCTCTTGCAAGGCTGCAACCAAGGCCTTGGCCCTGAGACTCTCACAAGGCCTTACCCAAGATACCTGCTAGAGCCGCAGTCATCTCAAGATTTGATTGAGGTAGGATCTGCTTCCAAGACCATTCAGTGGTTGTCAGCACTCATAGGCTGTTGGCAGGATGCAGTTCCTTGTGGGCTGTTGGGCTGAGGGATTCAGTTCCTTGCCATGTGAGCGTCTCTGACATGGTAACTGGCTTCACCAATGGAAAGAGAAAGAGAGAGGCAGAGACAGAGACAGAGAGGCTGCTGGCAAGACAGAAATTATAGTCTTTTGTAGCCCAATCACAGAAGTGATATCCCATCTCTTTTTCTCTCTTTTATTCATTGAAAGCAGTTCACTAGGTTCAGCCCATATGCAAGGAATGATAGGAGTCAGAGGTCACTGGGGACCCAATGGAAGAATCGGAAGAAGAGGAAACAGCATAGGAGCCAGTGGCAAGGGCAGGGCAATCGGTAAGACTATCATGAGGCCCCAGTGACAGGAGACCCTGAGAAAGAGCATCCAAGAAAGGATGGCGTCACCAGCATCAATGCTGGAGGGAGGCCTAGGAGACAACTGCAGAGAAGGTCATTGAAAATGTCACTGATGTCACTGGAGGGAATTCAGTGGAGGGATGTGGAAACCAGATTATGCGTGCAGGACAGAGGGCATGCAAGGTGAGGGGACAGAGAGAAAACTAGTGTCTTCAAAGAAATGGGGCAGTCAAGGCAAGAGCTGGCATAGAGCAGCCTCTTAAGAAGAGATTCTTAGGCTGGAAGAGAGCTGGATGCGTTCACAGCAAGGAGGGCAGGGGGTGGAGGTAGAGACTGGAAAAAGCCAAAGGCACAAGAGAGAAAAGGGGCAATGTCTATTTTTGTGTAAGATTCCCAAAGAGCTCAGGCAGACTAATAACAGGAATTTAGACCTGGAGGGGACAGAGAAGACATCTGGTTTTCCTCCTCTTCCGACTCCTCAGTTACTGCTACCAGCTCTACTCTGTGCCCATCCTAGGAGCAGTTGGTTCTCTTCCCTCCCGTTCCTGTCCAAACCCTTCCCTTCTAACACTTCCTCTAAGCTGGCTTGGCCACTCCCATGGTTTCAGCATGCTATCACACCTGGCCCCAGCTCACCCCTCTGGCTTCACATACATCCATAACCCCACTCCACCCCCTACACACACACACACACACACACACACACACACACACTGTATCCTCTAGCCATTCTGAACCTTAATAATTCTTCAAAGCTGTGAAGCTCTTTGTCTCTGGTCCCTGGGATGTCCTGTGTGCTGTGCTCTCTGCTTGGAATACTCTTTTCACACCCCTCTTCACATGACCAGATCTCAGCTTAGATGCAACCTCCTCCAGGAAGCCTTCCTGAACCCCCACTGTGTAATCCCACAGGACAGTAAACTCTGAATTGCAGTTGCCTTTTTACTTGTTGGCCTTCTACTGGACAGAAAACTCTGTGAGAGCAGAGGCCGTACCTATGGTAGTCACCATAGCTTCAGCATCTAGTACAGCGGTTGGCTCCACACAAATTTATTGAGAGTAGCAGATGCTCTGGTGCATGGCCATTATCTCCACGCAACCTGCCCTTCAGGACTGAGGTGAAGGGCTGAGGTATGGAATTCTCTCCACTGCTGATGGCTCTCAGCTGAGTCCATTTCTGGGCATTGCTCCAGACTGAAAGGAGCTAGCTTCCCAAGGGCCACATCCCTTCCTGAGAGCAGCCATGGGTCCAATGCCTACTGGCACAGGGATGCAAGAATATAAAGACCTGGAGACCTGGCCCCCTTGCCTCAATTTGGGACAATTATGAGGAGCCATCCAAGCTTCCAAGCCTCCTGTGGGATCAGCAGGGGCCTCACTGTGAATAACATCACAGTTCAACTGCCCCCCTCTACCCAATCCTGCTTCCCTCATTCCCCCACAGATGTTGACCCAGAGAGCACTCCTCAATAAACCTGCAAATCTGCCTGCAAATCTTTATCTCAGAGTTGGTTTCCCAGGGAACCTGACCTGAGGCTAGTGGATACACACAAATGAATTTGTCCAAATCACTCCCCCACAGTAAGAATGCAGCAGGAATGCCCACCACAATGTTTCCAGGCAAGCTCCTATGGTAGCAGATAGTGGGCCTTCAGGAGATATTGATTGAATGAATCAATCTGGTCATTGAGCCCTTGAATTCTTCCTGTGACTCTCAACACACACTTGATGAATCTGGTTTGAATTACAGTGCTGTATTTCTTTGGAAGTACAAAAAACTTGATTTATACAATTTTTATAGTTCATTCAGTTGGTTGGTTAGGATGAGTCTATCTGAGCACAGTATAGTTGAATTCTGCTGCTATTGCTAGAAAAGAAAGCATAATGCCAAGGCCGCTCTCAAAGGACCTTTCTTTAGACCTAGTAAACCAAGACTGAAGGCAGAGGTTCCAGAATGGGTGATATGGACCAGAATCCTGGTGCTACTTACCTTGCCAGGGAGCACATAAAGAGAGTCTGTGGTGGCCAATGTCCATGGAGAGGTGTGCTTTTGGAGGACAGATTCATCCAGGAGTGGGTGAACCAGCACAGCATGTTCAGAGATCAAGGGCCCTACTGTTGGCTCACGAGTAGAAGAACACCCAGCCAGCACTTCCCTAAGGGCAAACCATTCTCAGCCCTGAATGTGAACAGCACGTACCAAACTCAGAAATTCATCTCAAAACTAGTGGTTTCATCCACTTGATTGATGTTCTCTTTGCCCTCTAGGTCAACCACGCTTACGTCTACATCTGTGATTAGAGCTATGACCCACTGAAGTCAATGGAAAAGAAAAGAGAGGATAATTTTTGTGTCTATTCCACGTGTGACTTGAAAGTTTACCACCACTCTTGCCGTACCTTTCATCTGAGGATCTCCTAAATACGTTTGTGGCGTCATTCATTAATTCCTTTCACTTCTCTCTAAAGCACTATTATTCTTCTCCTGAGACGGAGTACTTTCAGGCTCAGAGGGGATGAGCAATTGGCTCAGGTGGAAGCATTCGATGCCAGAAACACAACTCGGAACTCCCAATCCTTAGCCTGCCTTGCTGGGCTAGCTTGTTCTGGACTGCTTCCCAACTACAGATTCACAAACCTCCCGTCTGTTCTAATTCTGCCTCTAAGAATTCACACCTGAGGGTGTGACAACCCTTTCTTTGCCTGATAATTTATATAACATGCAATTTCCATATTTTGCTATCTTAAAAGTAAGCATGTTATACAAATTTATGGTATTTATTTTCAAGCATGTTCTTAGATACTGCAATTCAGACTAAATCTAAAGTTATTTATCATAGTAATTCAGAACTGCTGTTATAGCACTAGGTTTGCTGCAGATGTAATTAGTTAAGATGAGATTATACAGTAGAGTGGGCCCCTAATCCAATATGACTGATGTCCTTATAAAAAGGGGAAATGTGAACATAGACACGCACTCAGGGAGGACGCCATGTTATGCTGCAGTAGTTATGCTGCCACAAGCCGAGGAATCCGCAGAAGCTGGGAGGGTGGAACAGACCACCCCTTGTGCCTTGAGAGGGAGCACGGCCTTGTGGACACCTTGATTTCAGACCCCTGGCCTCCAGGACTGTGCAACCATACACTGCTGTTGTTCTAAGCCACCCGGTTTGTGGTACTTTGTTCTGGCATCTGGGAGACTAATACAACAGCAGTACTCAACATATCTCTAATGTTTGCAATGTTAAAACCGTAACAGTGGTCACCTGTTTATAACCAAAAGCGAAAGGATGGACATGAGCTGAGTGGTGGGGAGAATGAGTTGGGGCCTATGGAGTGTGTTATAACAGCGTGAGTGGACTAAGGTGGAGAGAGGGAGAGAAACAAGGTAAAAATAAAAATCAGACAAGGAGTTCAGGATAGGGCTTGACAGGGCAGTAGATGAAGGGTTAGGATGAGAACTATTACCTTCCATGGCTCCTCCAACTCCACAAGCTAGAGGCTCCAGGTGGTTCTTCCCTTGTGTGAGCTGCCACCTGCTGCTACCACCAAATAAGGGAACACAGCTACCCCAGGAGAGAGGTGTGCCCCACGCTCCCCCACTCCCCAGCTGCTTGCTTGCCTGCCTGCCTGCCTCTCAGCCTCAGGAGGTCCCACCTGCCAGCCGCCGGTGGAGGGAGCAGGTGCAGGCAGAGGTGAGTGTCACATCCCCCCATCTCTCCTGCAGCTCCCAGACTGATTGATGATTAAACCTGAGCATGAAAGAGGAAGAGGACTAGGAAGTTCAGAAAATGTCACTCATTCATCAGAACATCTGCGAATAAAGCAGAGGTCTGAGGAGTAATATATTCCTTGAAAAGCTGCAACATACAAGGACAGTGCTGTGAGAGGACCAGATGCTGTGAGACCCACAGCATAAGTGACACATTCCATGTTTCCTTCCAACACCCAAAGGCACAATAGTGAGACTGGCCTGCTGTGTGTGTCCCACTGTCTGATTCCTCCAGCAATCCTGCCTTTCCCTGACCCTGCTCATGGTAATACACCTCACGTGGATGCTTCAGCTCTAGAGTCAAACTTTAGAAGCATGCAAAGATGTGAGGTCTACGAACATCATGTAACTGGGGAATCACCTCAAACAATTTCATGTCAAGTAAAAAAGAATCAATCATACCAATAGGCAATGTCTCCGTAATAAAAGAACTGAATAGTTCCTCCTAGAAACTGTGTCTGCCAATACTTTTTATTCCTACTTTTTTTTCCCATTAAG